>NW_018654717.1:600000-938970 GCF_000001405.40 Homo sapiens
TGTTTTTATAAAAGCAATCTTGTAGAAAGAACCCAAAGTGGCTCCCCGTTTTAAGACCCTGCAAACAGAGAGACCAGAGTATGGAGTCTTGGTCTGATTTCCACACCTTCCTTAGATTTCCCTGTGTGTAAAATCCAACAACAATCTTTGACAAATTGCCTCCCCCAGGGGAGAGATGGAGGAAGTGTTAACTTTGCTTTTTTTTTTCTTTTTTCAGACAGAGCCTCACTCTGTTTCCCAGGCTGGAGTGCAGTGGTGCAATTTTGGCTCACTGCAACCTCTGCCTCCTGAGCTCAAATGATTCTTGTGCCTCAGCCTCCCGAGTAGCTGGGACTACAGGCAGATGCCACCACACCTGGCTAATTTTTGTATTTTTAGTAGAGATGTGGTTTTGCATATTGGCCAGGCTGGTATCGAACTCCTGGCCTCAAATGATCCACCCTCCTCAGCCTCTCAAAGTGCTAGAACTACTATAGGCATGAGCCACCATGCCCAGCCACTTTGCTATTTTTTTAATAGACAGCTTCGAGGTCCAGTATGATTTCACAGATTAGGAAACATCACAGGCAAAGAAGAACACTTTGCACTCAAATAGTAGAATGTTTTCATTTTCAAAGAGCTCTCACCTGCCATCTAATCTTGTCTTCCTAGCAGTCCTGGGAGAGAAGTAGATGTGGTTTCCAATCCCACTTTCCAAAAGAGGAGACTGAGGCAGAGGCTTTGCAGATACACAGAGGACATGTGAGGACAGGTGAAGTTCATGATCATTGTCAGCGCCCTCCCCCAACTTGACATTCCCAGACCTAGTGGACTTCCAAACACAGGAGACAGAAGAACTGATCAATCAATTCTGCCATGGGTGCCAGGACCCAATTTTTCCCTGGCTAACTCGGTCACATCCTGTCTGGGATCTCCAACTATTATCCATCCCACAAGTCTCAGCTAAAACAGGAATTCAACGGGGAACATTTTTCTGAGGCTCCAGGATTGGGCTAGGCCCTCTCCATGGCTCTCTGACCTTCCCCTACTGCAGAACGTAGCACCTGTATGTCACTATTTGTTCAAACATGTGTCTTTCATATGCTCTCCACGTTGTCTGCAGCATCTGCCAAGAATAATAATGAATGGTAAAACCTAATTTCTATTGAGTGCCGATGATGCACTTTTAATGTGACATCTTATTTAATCCTCACTATATCTGCAAAAGTAGAAGGTATTAATAGCCAATTTTCAGATAAGAAAGTCAAAGCACAGTTTCTATAACTTACCCAAGCAGCTAACTAGGAGGCAGCTCAGTATGAGCCCAGGGAATCATATTCCAGAGACCATGTTCTCCATTACTAGAGCAGGTACCTCCCCAGAATCTAGCAGGTGGTTAACGAGTCTTTGTGGCATAAATGAACAGAAGGACAACAGATGGATGGATACATAGGTGGATGGATGGATAATGGGTGGGTGGGCAGGTGGACGAATGAATGGATGGTTGAGTCAGTGAAGGGATGGCTGAGTGGGTGGAGAAATGGATGAGTGGGTGAGGGGTTGAAGGGATAAATGGATGGATGGGTGGGTGGATAGATGGTTAGATGAGTGAATGGGTGGATAGATGCATGGGTGAGCGGATGGACAGATGGGTTGGTGGGTGGGTAGGTGGATGATAGCTGGGTGCATAAGACAGTGGGTTGGTTGGATAGATGGGTGGGTGGGTGGATAGATGGGTGGGTGGTTGGATGTATGCATGTCTGGATGGATGGATGGATGGATGGACGGATGGAAGGAAGGAAGGGTGGATGGATGGATGGACAGATGAACAGATGGACTTGGGCATTTATTCGGGGTCCTCCAAAGAATTGAGTGATTTCCCTAGGGTGTCTCATCACCTGCAGGTAGGTGGGCAAGGGGGCTTGCCTCTGTAATACTCATGATTATAGGTAGTGCTCAGCCTTAGTCACCACTCTCAGAACGCTTTATTGACTAGGAAAGTCAAAACTGGCATTGATAACTAATGCAAATTGCAGCTATAACTAACAGAAGATGTTGAGCTGATGACAGCTGGGCAACCAAGAATCAATAACTTCGCTGTGTCATATTACTGTCATGCTGGGCAGGTAGAGCCACGGATTCCTTCATCCCTCCATCACATTGAGGATGCTTATCAAGACTTCCCCAACAATGGGGACAGGGATATTATCAAATACTTGCAGTTCACCCCAAAATGCTCACCCTCTTCGTTCCACCTGCACATGACCTTCAGCTCAAAGACATTTCCAGTCCTCCAGGTCAGCCCTTCTTCCAGCCTTTGAATTAACCCTGATGACGGCCTGCCCATTAGGTGTCTTCAGCTTTCATCACACAGCCTTTTCCAAGGCTCTCCTTCAGTCCAGCCCTCACTAAACGCTGGAACTGTTGTTGACAAAATCCAGAACAAGCTGGGTGGGGGATGCAGTTGGGAAGCAGACTGTAGTAATGGGGAAAAATTCTAAGCAATCTCGATCACAGAAAAGAAACTGAACAGGTAAGAGAGAGGCAGTCAAGAGAACAAGTGTGAATTTTGCATAACTGAAGCTGAAGAAGATCGGGGGGCATGGTAGACCACAAGATAAATATGATATAGCCTCCTTTTTAAAAAAGTATAAACATCCACCCTTTCCTACTGACAACTGTGCTTCAAATATTGCTAAGGTCTTTACTAAAGGTGAGTCAGAAAAACTGGGTATTTTATGCAATACAGTAAGAAGGCCCATAGGCAAGTATGTTCCTGACAACACCTTCTAGGATAAGCCCTGAGATTCTAGTTACACCTGTCCTAAAGTTGTCTCTCACTCCTGCTGTTGGAGAGCTACCATGAGAGAAGAACCATAGTAAAGTGGTTAAGAGTGTGCACCCAGCGACCGGCCAGATGGCTACAAACCATCACTATCTAATACCGAGCAAGTTACATAATGTTCCCAAGCCTCAACTTTCTCATCTGTAAAATGGGTATGTTGTCATTCATTAATCAAATTCTAGGTGAGCATATACTAAACACCAGAGACACAAATGAGAATCAGAACAGGCATGTCCCTGGCCCTTATGGTGACCACAGTCTTGAAGGGGAAGGATGACACGCACAGAAATAGGAAGCCATAGCTGAGCTAGTGTCTACCACAGAGAGGCACCTGGTGTCATGAAAGCAGATAACAGGGGGTTGCTGTGACTGAGTCAGTGTGGCCAGACGTCCCTGAGGATGTAGTGACTCCACTGTCAGATGAGACCGTGACCAGGTGAAGAAGCAGGGAGAGGGAAAATTTTTCCAGGCGGAAAGAGCAGGATGTGCAAAGACTCTGTGGCAGGAAAAGAACAAAGGAAGTGCAAGAGCCTGAAAGAGGCCAGAGAGAGCAAGTGAAAATGTGGATAATCACAGCACCGACCTCATACAGGACTTGCAAGAAATCGAGACCCTGTCTGTAACAGATTCAGCAATGACTAAATAGAAACTATCTCCTAAAAGCACACGATGAGGCTCCTTGGTGGTATTTCCCACATGAGGCTGCCATGCACTCAGAAGCCAAGTTCAACCTGTCTGTAGACAACCTCCAAGCCAGCTGGACACACATAAACCCTCAGGCTCAGGATACCCAGGACAGAGTCCTGGATGCTTGAAGTCATGATAAGTATCCAGAATGACACAGAATTCCAGCCAGGCGTGGTGGCTCATGCCTGTAATCCCAGCACTTTGGGGGCCGAGGTGGATCACCTGAGGTCAGGAGTTCAAGACCAACCTGGCCAACATGGTGAAACTCCCTCTCTACTAAAAATACAAAAAAAAAAAAAAAAAAAAAAAATAGCTGGGTGTGGTTGTGGGTGCCTGCAGTCCCAGCTACTCAGGAGGCTGAGGCAGGAGAATCGCTTGAACCAAGGAGGCAGAGACTGCAGTGAACTGAGATTGCACCATTGCACTCCAGCCTGGGCAACAAAAGTGAATCTCCGTCTCAAAAAAGAAAAAAAAAAAAATGACACCGAATTTGCTAAAGGGGGAGAAAGGGCTTTCTTCCAAAGCTGGGCCTGGTTTCTACAGAGAGTCTTTCACATGAAAATTAGGCAGCTCTTTGCAAGCACCTCAGAGGAGAACCCCTCACCCTGATGAATCAGGCACAGGGGCAGATCCAAGACAACTGGCTGCGTGCATATGAACAAGTCTATGGTGGAAATGCAGTGCTTTATTTGTTTGTGGTGGTTTAATCACCAGGAGGGAGAAGCTTCTAAAGCAGCATTCAGAGGTGGCTGTTGCCTGGGTTTTCTGGAAGGGGGAGGCGGTGAGGATGAGGGCTTCCCTTTCATCTGCAGGCCCCTTGCAGAAGGAGCTTGGGAAAGCTTTGCAACCCTCTGCACACTGTTTGCCATCTTGTCTGGCTGGGACGCCGAGCTCCAGATGGGGGCAGATGGGATAGCTCTTGCCACCGTATTTGGAGAGAGATGGCAGGGAAGTCAGCCCCCGTGGAGAAGACAGGAGCAGGCACGTGCTGGACAGTGCTGCCCAGGCCCCTGGGGCTGAAGTGTCCAACCCCACAGCCTCTAGGTGCCACTAAAGCAGCCCAAGAGGACCTTCTCTGTCCATCTCCATCCTGGCACCTACAGACACTTGGAGAGAGTCCTTCACATGGGAACTCACAAATGCACACTGATAACCCCCACACGGAACTCTCATACGTAGCAAGTGAAAAGACAGGATGCCAGCTTAACTTGAATTTCAGATAAACAACAAATCATTTTTTAGGGTAAGCAGGTCCCAAATATTGCATGGGATATATTTGCACCAAAAAAAAAAAAAAAAAAAAAAAGGTTAATGAGAAGTTCAGGTTTAATTGGACCTCCTGTATTTTACCTGGCAAGCCTAACCATGCATAAACACAACCTCGAGCTTGAAACTCACAGAGAAGCCACGGCCGTGCTCACACACGTGCACAAACCCATATGCCTTACAGAGTCAAGGGCTGTGATGAGGGTCCCCACCCTTGCACACTTCTCTGTCCTCTGTCTGGGCTCAGAGTAAACAGGGGGTCACCTGGAATCCACGTCTAAGCTGGGCTTGGAGGTGTCCTAATGAAGCAGGATGCTGACATGCACTTCCCCAGGTCAGCTGGGACTGTAGCCAGGCCTAGCTTCCAGTCTCGGGCCTAGAACACACAGCACAGCCCCAGACCTTGGCAAGAAGGCTTCATCTCAAGGGCCACTGGTGCAGGAACTATTAGAAGCCCCACTTCTTTCCTCTGTTTCTGCTGCCATTGCCCCAGTCTCTGACCCTGCCACTCAATCACTCTATAAACACAGCAGGTACTAGGGGTGGCTCTGGGCTCAGCACTAAAGACACTGACCCTGGTAAAGCCACAGTCTAGCAATGACAGTCAACCACGTATCAGCAACAGCCCTGCCCCACACGTGCTGACTGCGCACAAGGCCGGCGCTGTGAACGTGCTCTCAACAGTGATCTCACTGAACCCTCATGGCAGCTCTAGGATGCAGACAGTAGCATCACATTATCCCCATTTTACTTTTGAGGAAACTGAGGCCTGAAGAAGGCAAATGCAGGCCTCGAGATTTGCAGTAACATTGCCAGGAATGTTTGAGAAAGCAAACTTCTCCAGAGTGAGGCAGTCTGCCAGAGCTCAGAAGCCAGAGTCCCTGTTAGCAGGGGCTGGGGGCACTGTGGGGTGAGGGCAGACAAGTGGGTAGGGGCTGGAACCCCCAGGACACCAGGGTGCAGACTGGTGTGAGTAAAAGAAAGAGGGGCTGTCATGCCATCATCTGCAGAAGATGATGTCTACAGAGGACAGTACCATGTGAGCCCTTGGGGAGGTGGATGACTGGATGGAATTTTGCACAGGATGCAAATTGAGCACAGATCCCCCTCTGACCTAGACAGCCCACTTCCAGGAACATCTCACAGAAATGCAGGCACAGAGCACCAAGTGATGTGTGTAAGGAAATTCATCAGAACACCGTCTGTGACTGGGAAAAGGCGGAAACCATCCAAAGACGTATCGGTGCAGGGCTGGTTAAACGAAGCGTGGTGCATCCACAGGTCAGAATAACTGCTGGGAGAAGAAGGTGGTACCCAGGTTCCAACGTGAGACAATGTCAAAGACATGCTGCCTGAAAAGCAGGCTTTCCAAAGAATAAATATAGCATTATTTCATTTTTACTTTTTTAAAAATATTACAATAAACACTTATGTGCAAATACATGTGCTTGTGTGCACAGAGGAAAAAGCTGTGGACAGAAACAGAAAACCAAACACGGTGTGCTCTCACTCATAAGTGGGAGTTGAACAATGAGAACACATGGACACAGGGAGGGGAACATCACACACCGGGGCCCATCGGGGGTGGGGGACAAGGCGAGGGAGAGCGTTAGGACAAATACCTAATGCATGTGGGGCTTAAAACCTAGTTGACGGGTTGATAGATGCAGCAAACCACCATGGCACATGTATATCTATGTAACAAACCTGCACATTCTGCACATGTATCTCAGAACGTAGAATAAAAAATAAAAAGAAATCAAAGAAAAAGGTGGGGAGAGGTATAACCCAACCCTTCCCAGTGTTACCTCTGAGATGCAAGATCAAGAAAAGCAAATCAAGAGGTAGTTTTGCTTTCTGTTTTCTATATAAATTTTTTTTTTTTTTTTTTTTTTTTCTGGAGACATAGTCTCGCTCTATTGCCCAGTCTGGAGTCCAGGGACACAATCTCGGCTCACTGCAACCTCCTCCTCACCACAACCTCCTCCTCACTACAACCTCCTCCTCAGTGCAACCTCCTCCTCACTGCGACCTCCTCCTCACTGCGACCTCCTCCTCACTGCGACCTCCTCCTCACTGCGACCTCCTCCTCACTGCAACCTCCTCCTCACTGCAACCTGCTCCTCACTACAACCTCCTCCTCACTGCAACCTCCTCCTTACTGCGACCTCCTCCTCACTGCAACCTCCTCCTTACTGCGACCTCCTCCTCACTGCAACCTCCTCCTCACTGCAACCTGCTCTTCACTACAACCTCCTCCTCACTGCAACCTCCTCCTCATTGCAACCTGCTCCTCACTGCAACCTGCTCCTTCTGGGTTCAAGGGATTCTCTTGCCTCAGCCTCCCAAATAACTAGGATTACAGGCATGCACCACCAAGCCGGACTAACTTTTGTATTTTTTGTAGATACAGGGTTTCACTATTTTGGCCACCTGGTCTCAAACTCCTGGCCTGCCCACCTTAGCCTCCAAAAGTCCTGGGATTACAGGTGTGAGCCACCACGCCTGGCCTGCATTGCTTGAATTCTCAGACCACATGGACCCTCTCATCTGGCCCAATTGCAAGAGTCCAAGGCAGGAAAGGCAGAAGGCAGGGGCTTACCCCTCCATCAGGACAACATAGAACAGAGTCAAAAAAGGAAAACATGAATGGATCAGTCAAGAGGGCCGTGCACATGCCCTCCCAGGCACCTACATCTTGCAACTTAAGCCGACAGCCTTTCAAGCCACAGAGTCTTCCTCCCCAGAGACTAGCAAGGACACAAGCCCTGGCCAGGCCCTTCCAGGAAGATGTTCTGAGGGACAAGCTGGGGGGCACAGTCAGGGGTGGCAGGAGGAAAGGGGGACACGAAGCCAAGGAAACCAGGGCACCCCATGCTTCCTGAAGGCAACTAGAACAGGGCGCCACACAGAGCCCCTGTGTACCTGTTTCTACAACAGCCTGAATACAAGGAAAAGGAAAACAAGGAAAATACACAAAGCCCAGCCTCACCAGGAGCAGGTTAAATAAAGGTGTGTGAATTTTCCTCATGTCCTTTGGAATTGGAAATCCAAGCTTCCTCTTCTGTGCCTTTAAGGTCCTGGCCGCTGCCCCACAGCTCCCTTCTCTTCCCTCCTCCTCCTGTCCTATTTTTTTTTTTTTTTTTTTTTTTGAGATGGAATCTTGCTCTGTTGCCCAGGCTGGAGTACAGTGGCACAATCTCAGCTCACTACAACCTCCACCTTCCGGGTTTAAGCAATTCTCGTGGCTCAGCTTCCCGAGTAGCTGGGATTATAGGTGTCACCATGTCCGGCTAATTATTGTATTTTTAGTAGAGACAGGTTTTCACCATATTGGCCAGTCTGGTCTCAAACTCCTGGCCTCAGGTGATCCGCCCACCTCGGCCTCCCAAAGTGCTGGGATTACAGATGTGAGCCACCATGCCCGACCCTCTTGTCCTAACTCTGCCATCTCTTTGCAGTCTCCCCTGAGCAGCTTTTCCTGGGCCCGCACTGCCCCCTCCAGACCTGCACTCTCAAACCACCCCCCAATGCCCCCTGGCCCTGGCTCCTGCCCCGGGGCTCTGATCCTCAGCTGGTGAGGTCTAGAGGGTCAGAGGGAGCCAGACTCCTTAGAGAAGCTAAGGCGGGAGACCTGTGCTGGGCTGTGGTTAAACTGCCCCCTTCCAGCTGGGGCCGAATTGAAAGTGAAAGACTGCCCCCAGAATACAGGGCCCTCAGAGGCCCTGGGGATCTGTGCTGGCAGTCAGGAGGACTGTCACCTCAGTGCAGTTGCCTGCAAGAAGGGCTGTGCAGGAAGCTGCATGTTGCTCAGAGAACAAAAAAAGGAAATTAAATGCACCATCTCCTTATTAGCATGAGCTTTTGAGGCAGACACTTAAATATGCATGCCTAGACATTGTAAAATTTGGGGGAAATGTTAATTTCAATAACGCCACTTCTTGTGCTTGCAGAAACCATTCTTTTATCTCCCTTCCTAGTCATTTGCGGGCTCCATCCCTCAGAGTGGCAGCGCCAAGACAGCCGGCCTCACTGGGTTTTGTAAGCTGTGCAAGGTGAGATCCCAAGCCCTGGCCTCGAGACCCATCTTAGGAAAATGTTAGAACAGGGCAACAAGTTGCCATTTCCTCCCTCCTTTCTCTTCCCCATACAAAAATCAGAAAGCACCCTTGCCCAGTGCCCAGCCACAGTGAGGAAGAAACCCCACACAAAATCCTGGGTTGTGCCCCTGATACCAAAGACCTGCAAAATTGGGCCTCACCTGCTGCAACCTCAGCCCAGACTTGTGTACATTTCAAGGGTGGCTGGACTCATGGCCGCCTGGGACGTCAGAGTGGTACGAAGTCCTCTTAACCTAAGACTGTCAGGGTACAAGGATCAGCATTTTTTTCCTTTCTCTCCAGGGCCAGATGGTAAATAGTTCAGCTTTGCAGGCCATAGGTCTCTGTCCCAAATATTCAACTCTCCATTGTAGCAGGAAAGCAGCCACAGACAATAGGCACTGAAATGGGTGTGGCTGTGTTCCAATAAAACTTTATTTGTGTGAACAGGCAGGGGGCTGGTTCTGGCCTGTGGGCTATAGCCTGCCTCCTCTGCTACAGGCTGATCTCCAAGGACCCATCCATCTTGTAGACCAGCAGCTGGCACACAGGAGCTGCTCAGATACTTGAAGGAGGAATGGAGAAGGCAAACAGCCCCCAGTGTGCAGATGTGAGGGTCTCCCAGCGGCACCATCCTTTGCCATCTCATGCCAAGGGACAAAGCCAGAGCAGGGCTCTCCACCAAGGCTGGGTTCTCCTCCAAGGAAATGTGATAACAGGACAGGAAGCATCGTGGAAGGATAGGGGCTTTGGAGTCCCACAAACCACAGTTTGCAAGACCAGGAGCATCCTGCACTTCCTTGCACACATCCTGGGTGGGTACTGGAGCATCTAGACTTAGAGTGAATCTTCTCCCCATCCTCCCCCAACTGGCCTCCATTAAACTTCCAGCAACAATGTGGTGTATGTACACAATGGAATACTATTCAGCCTTCAAAAAGAAGGAAATCCTGCCATTTGAGACAACATGGATGAGCCTGGAGGATATTATGTTAAGTGAAATAAGCCAGGCACAGAACGACAAATACCACATGATCTCACTTACATGTGGAATCTAAAAAAGTTGAACTCGGCCAGGCATGGTGGCTCATGCCTGTAATCACAGCACTTTGGGAGGCTGAGACCAGCAGATTTCTTGAGCCTAGGAGTTCGAGACCAGCCTGCATAACATAGCAATACCCCATCTCTACAAAAAATACAAAAATTAGTGGAGCATGGTAGTGCATGCCTGTACTCCCAGATACTCAGGAGGCTGAGGTGGAAGGATTGATTGAACTTGGGACGTCAAGGCTGCAGTGAGCCATGATCACAACCCTGCACTACAGCCTGGGCAATAGAAGGAGATTTTCTCAAAAAAAAGAAAAAAAAAAAAGAGAAGAAAAAAGTTGAATTCACAGAAGCAGAGTAGAATGATGGTTGCCAGGGTGGGGAAGTGGGCAGATGCCAAAGCACACAGAATGTCATTTTTAGAGAAGAATAAGTTCAGGAGATCCATGGGACAACAAGGTACCTATAGTTAATAACAACATATCATACACTTGGAAATCACTAAGAGAGTAGATTGTTTAAGTGTTCTCACCCCAAAAAGTAAGTCTGGGAGGTGATATGTTATTTAGATTGATTTAGCCATTTCATAATGTATACATACCTCAATCACATCATGTTGTATACCCTCTTGTACATAATTTTTGCCAATTCAATAAATTCAACAACTCCAAAAAACAAGACATTCTCTTTACAAAAATAATTATTAAAAATAAAATTCAGAATTCTATTTTATTTATTTATTTATTTTTGAAACAGAGTCTCGCTCTGTCACCCAGGCTGGCTGAAGTACAGTGGTGCGATCTCGGCTGACTGCAACCTCTGTCTCCCAGGTGCAAACGATTCTCCTGCCTCAGCCTCCCAAGTAGCTGGGATTGCAGGTGTGTGCCATCACACCTGGCTAATTTCTGTATTTTTAGTAGAGACAGTTTTGCCATGTTGACCAGGCTGGTCTCGAACTCCTGACCTTAGGTGATCCGCCAGCCTCGGCCTCCCAAAGTGCTGGGATTACAGGTGTGAACCACTGCACCTGGACAGAATATAAAAGATTGTTTAATTCAACTAAAACATTAAAACACAGATTATTTCTATAAGTGGTAATTGTTCTAACATGTTTTGGTCAAAATAGTCTCCTTACTTATCCACAATTAAATGGTTAATTGATATTTGATTGGATTTTTATAAAGTTTTCAAATCATGATTGATTTTTCCAATGTACAGTAAAATGTGTTTGAAAATATTGCATAAAAATTAACATTTAAAAATGGTCAGGCATGGTGGCTCATGCCTGTAATCCCAGCACTTTGGGAGGCCAAGGTGGGCCGATCACTTGAGGTCAGGAGTTTGAGACCAGCCTGGTCAAACCTCATCTCTACTAAGAATACAAAAGTTAGTCAGGCATGGTGGCACGCACCTGCATTCCCAGCTACTTGGGAAACTGAGGCAGGAGAATCGCTTGAACCTGGGAGGTGGGCTCCCCAGGCTTAAAGCAAAACCCCCATCTTGTCTGTCTCCACTCTCATCCCAGGCAATCGCCGTCATTTCCACAGCCTCAACCACTGTCTACCTGGGATGCCTCCCAAGCCCGGGTCGCCAGCCCAAACCTGCCTTCCTAGCCCCAGACCCATCTGTCCTGGCACACATTGCCCCCTGGGTCCTCAGCAACCTCAGCCAATGAGACCAATGCCAACTTCCCGTCCTTGCCTGACACTGTCAGCCCTGAGATCAGACTTGACCATTCACCTCCAGTACCTGATAGGTCCGTCAGTCCTTTGGAACATATCCCACGAACATTCCCCAAACCAGGCACCGGACTCCACACATCAACACCGTCACGTGAGTCACCTGCATCCCTGGCAGGGACCCCTGTCCCAGCCTCCAACTCATCTCCTTCCTGTCCCTTGAGTTCTGTGTCACATTCCAGAGGCCACAAGAAGAAAAATGACCACCTTAATGAAATTAAAAGAATTGAGAAGACATTTCTCTATGGTCCAAAATCTTTCCAACTGAGAAACACATATCAAGATCCAGCCTGCTGGCCCTGTGGTTAAATGTTCCTGAAATAATTAAAGCCCAGGGCAACACAGCCCCCACTCCACAAGTACTCCCAGCACAGTAAGACTTGCTTCTCTACAGGGGCTTGAAATGTCCAGTGTGTACCCTGCCCCTCTCTGTCGTAGCTAACAGGAATGTGCTCCGTGTCTTCTTCCTGCTCAAAGGACCGTCCACCAACCTGCGCAGGCAGCACTTTCGGCAAGGGGAGGATGGGAGAACGTCCTACCATTTCCCACTTACTCACTGCATTCATCAGGAGCCTGCCTCACAAATTACAAGAGCGCCACGGCAGACCCACGACGTTCCAGCGGGTGGCCATGTCTTCATGTCAACTTGAAAGATCATCGCCAGGGAAATATCTATATCTCGGCAGAGAACTTCAGCCTGTGTAGTCCAGCTGTGCTCAAATGGAAATCCAAAAACCCAGATGTTGGTCAAAACACCCTGTCTCAGGGAGCTGGCTCTGCAGGTCCCCAGTGTGAGAGTGAACTGGGTGGGCCACCTGACCTGTCTACCCACATCCCGGCCTCCTGGAATCCTGGACCCTGAGAACTAGGGGGATGTGGTGGGGAGCAGGCAAGTCTTGTGCAGAAAGCCAAGATGCCACCCAAATCCACTCTGCAGTCTAGGAGGGCGATATTCTGGTCTGCACCACACCAGTGCATGAGGGGATGGAGGATGGAGTATAGACAAGCCAAATGTAAAAATATATTGTCCAAGTATTTTGTGCTTTGTCTGTGTTACAATGCGATGACAAGCCCAGTGTGCTGGCTCACACCTGTGATCTCAGCAACTTGGGAGGCCGAGGCAGGCGGATCACCTGAGGTCAGAAGTTTGAGATCAGCCTGCCCAACATGGTGAAACCCCATCTCTACTAAAAATACAAAAATTAGCCAGGTGTGGTGGTGGGCACCTGTAATCCCAGCTACTCTGGAGGCTGAGGCAGGAGAATCACTTGAGCCCAGGACGTGGAGGTTGCAGTGAGCAGAGATCATGCCACTGTACTCCAGCCTGGGCAACAGAGTAAGACTCTGTCTTAAAAAAAAATTAAATAAATAAAGGCTATGCCCAGTATTTTCCATGTACTGTCTTATTATCTCAGTAAATCCCATATAACCTTCCTATGAAAGTGTATCTCATTTATCTCCATTTTATAGATGAGAAAACTGAGGCCCCTGGAGTAGTATTAATTTTCCAAGACAGCATTGCTCATAAAGGGTACAGCAGGGACCCAAGCTCGACACTCTCACCCTCAAACATTTCCACAAGTGTAGACCAATGGCTCTCAACTGTGGTGGTTTTGCTCACGTACCACTCCCTTGCCCCACAGCATTGAAACCATCTGGAGACATCTGGGGTAGCCATAGCTGGGAGGATAGAATGGCACCTAGAGGATGGAGACCACAGATGCTGCTAACCGTCCTACAATACACAGGACAGCCCCCCCCCACCACCACGAATGGTCTCACCCCAAATGTTGTGACTGTGCCAAAGCTGAGAAATCCAGGTTTCTCCTCAGCAAGAAGGAAAATACCTGCAACGTGGATGCACCTCTACAAGAGCCTCAGGCTGACAATAACCTTCCTGATCTGGTTTCAACCCTGGATGCTTTTACCTGGTGCGTCCATCAGGGATTTCAGGGACTCCAGTGAGTTATCACCCTCGAATGCTCGGTTCTGCCTGACAACCCAGAAATCTCTGCCAAGGTGCCTGGTCTTGGGGAAGGCTCAGCAAGCAGTTGAGGTTGACAACAAAATACCTAGGAGAGACTTTTCTCTCTCTCCAGCAGGAGCTGTGGGTCAGACACACCCTGGGATCATTCACAAGCGGTCAATAAAGGCTTGGGGAGGGGCAGATTTTCTAGGCCTTCTCAATGGGGTGGGTGTTTGTGGATACACAAGAAGCCTGTGAAACTTCTGATATTGGCAGGAAATCAATGCCCCCATCCTCCACCCCCACCCCCACCTCCCCACCATAAACACATGCCCTGCAGCAGGACTTGACAGTCAGGGGCTCCTGGGGTCCCGATTTATCTGCTAAAACATCCTCTAGCCACCACCGAATAAAGCAACCCCTTGCGACCCAACCACAAGAGCACTGCCTGGAAGCAACTCCAAGGGACACCAAGTCACATTAAAACCTCAGCCATCCAGAACACCAGGCCTGGTGATGAGAAAGAACATTTTATCCTTAAAAGCATCTGAATGCCCATGCTGCTTCTTGCAGAGAAAAGTCCAAAATAATCTGTTATTAAAGAACGAGGATGGTTTTGACATTTTTACCAAGCTAGTGGTCTACGCAGACAAAATCTCATAAAAGGGCACTCTGTTCTTCTTGATCCACTCAGACATGGCCTGTGAGTGAAGAAACGGGCTCTCCTCCTCAAAGAAATCACTGCTGATCCTCGTACCAGCCTGACACTGCTTCATGGGTTCTTCAAAGAGAGTATTCCCATAGGAACTAAAAGGGAAGAGGAATGTGTCTGGCGGGCATTGTGGGCAGCAGCGAGCTTTGGGCCAAATTTTAAGTTTGAAAATCAAGATTCCCTCTTTTCAAGGGGCTGCCGGACTGAGCAGATACAGGCACCGTGAAAAGAGGGTGCCATGTTCAGATTCAGGAAACAAGGATGGTTTCTATTCAGTTCATCCATCATCCTTCAGGTCATGCTATTCCCATTTCCCTCTGTGGACCAAAAAATTCAGCGGGGTTTCTGCCTTTTAAACATTTCATTATCAACATATCATCCTTTTAGCCTCCAGAAAGCATTTTAACATGGAGATTCTGGCTTAAGACTCTTGTGGGTCTGTCTGTCTCTCTCTCTCTTTTCCTTGAAACGGTCTCACTTTGTCACCCAGGCTGAAGTGCAGTGGCGTGATCACAGCTCACTGCAACCCAACCTTCCAGGCTCTAGCAATCCTCCCACCTCAGCCTCCCAAGTACTTGGGACTGCAGGCACACACCACCATAACTGCCTTTTTTTTTTTTTTTTTTTTTTTTTTTTTTTTTGGTAGATATGAGGCTTCACCATGTTGCCCAGGCTGGTCTTAAACTCCTGGGCTCAAGTGATCCCCCCCTTTCGGCCTCTCAAAGTGCTGGGATTATTGGCTTCAGCCACCATGCCCAGCCAAGGACCTTGTCTCTTGTGAAGTACTCCAGAACAAAACATCACTGCAAAAACACATCAGGGCATGAGTTTTAGTCTTAAGTCCCACTTATCCACCATACACTATGTGCCAGGCACAACGCTAAGTGCTTCTATGGACGAGCTTCCCTTAATCTCAGCAGCAACAACCCCAGGCAATGGGGCCTGTTGACAGATCCATTTGCCACTGAAGACAGTAAGGCTCAGACAGGGTAAGTGGCTTGTGCCATGTCAGCCAGCTAAGGAGGGGCAGAACCAGGATGCAAACCCCAGCCACCTGGCTCCAGAATCGCGTTCCCAAGGTCTCACTACACTTGGTCACTCCACCGCATTCTGGTATCCTGGTCTTTGGCAGAGTCCACGTAAAAGAGGGAGGTAGAGGGAGTGAGAGGGACTTCATGCAATAAAGTTTCCCGGCGTTACACTGCCACCGTAATTGTGTCCCCAACCAGGACCTCTCCCTTCTCATCCTTTCCGTGATCGGCCCTGGAAAACCTTCCAAAGAACTGTCCTCCTTCTCCCGGGATCTCAGAGAAAATTCACCTGAGTTCAGTGTCCAGGTGACCCAAGCTCTGAATGCGGTAACGTGGACGGGGAGAAGAGGATGTCAACATGAGCAAGCCTCCCAGACAGCATCCACGAGCAACCCCAAGACTGGGCGGGGGGGCTCTGATGCCGCCCACGGCGAGGAGGGCTGCCCATGCTGCCTAAATGGGTTCAGAATGAAGACCGCCCTCTCTCCCATGTGGGGCTCATTAACCATGAATCCAATTATTAAGACAAGCTCAGCTGAGCAAATGGTCAAACATAAAAACATGTGGAAGGAACAAAGAGGTCAACCCCATTATCCATTAAAAACCATCAAGGTGGCGGCCCTCACTGAGGGGTACAGTTCTCCAGCGGGCCCTCATCTGCCCTCCAAACCCACATGCCTCCCCAGTGGAAGGCCAGCAAAGCCACACAGGAAGAGTTGGGGTAGGAAAGCAGAAAGTGAACCCCAGGAGGCCAGCCTGGCTACGCAGCCCCATCCCACACACACTGGCCCGGTGATTCAGGGGCCAACGTTTGCAGGACACCGGGAGCTCACAGGGACAGCGCCCCGGGGATGCAAGGAACTTTGCCTCTCTGTCCTTCTCTGTAGGGATGGAAAGAGGAGAGCGATTTCTGGGATGGAAGCCATCTGCCTCCTCTCAACTCTTGCTGCCCAACCAGAAAGGGAAGAAAAACAGGAAGATGCGGGACAGGTGAGGAGCTGGGTGAGCGCCGCCAGCCCGCAGTCCAGCCAAGCAGGGCTTGGCCAAGCCTGGCGCCAGGGACTTCCCCCCTACCCCCACCACTGGCCCCTCGCCAGGTGAGAGGCACCGACAGGGTCCCAGACAGATGCCCCAGACAGGATGCCCAGCGCAACACCCGCCACTTCCCCTGCTAGGGGCCCCCAGGACGCGGGGCTGCCCCTCTCTTTTTGGCCAGCCGCAGAGTCCAGTGGGTCTCCCAGCCAGCGACGTCGTGGGAGAATCAGGAAGTCAAAGCCACACAGCCGAGAAGCGGCAGCTGGCGTCTCGGAGGCCGTCACGCGCTGTCACTCCGCGCCCTTCGGAGTTGCCGCTAAAATACCAACTTCAACCCGGGGCCGGCCACGGAGCCTCCAGCCGCCCCTACCGGCGCCCCCGGCACCCCCGGACCCCAGCGCCCGCGTCACTTACTCCTCTGCGGTCGCCACCTGTCTGGGTGCCGGTCTTCTCCCTGCCTGGCCGCGGCGCGTCCTCCCCGTTCTCGCAGTCCTCGGGCTGTGCGCTTCCCCCCTCCAGCTACAGCCGCAGCCTCTTCTCTTCGGGAGGGACGTCGTCCTCCTCCCTCCTGGGCCGGCCATCCCTGCCTCGGGGCTTGCCAGTGGCTTCGGAGCTGCCGGAAGGGCTGGCCATGGCTCGGGGGCTCTGCCTGCACCTGGAGAAGAGGAAGGATATGGCCCGAGCGGCCTCTCGGTGGAGCTGGGGCGTCTGAGCGCGGGCTCGGTGGGTCCGCGCGGCGCGGAGCTGGGTATAGGGGCCGGCGCGGGCTCCTCCGCGGGCCGCGCCTGGCTCTCTGGCGCCCTCTTCTGGCCGCTCTCGCGCACCTCCGCCACGCCGGGCCCAGGCCTGCGTAGCTCTCACATGTCCTGGCCCAGGAGGTCGCTGTCCCTTGCCCATGGACAGGCCCGCTCTGGCAATGCCCTGCACCTCCTCCCCGCCCCGGCCAGGTTGCACCCCGATGGTCTCCCTGCTCAAGGAGGAGAGAAGAGAAGGGACGCCACTAGAGGGTGGACATCGGCCACAGCCACCTTGTCTTTGCTCTTACCCTGTGTCTTCCAAGATTTGGAGGTGGTGGGAAACCCGAGGCTGCTCAAAACTCGTGGAGAATTCCTCCTGCAGGATGACATGAATGCACCTTCCCATTGCCTACCAACAGATCTTTTTTGAGCATCACTGTGGACCAGTCGTGGTGATGGGGGAGGGGATATTGTGGAGAACATGACAGGCATTGCCTTCACCCAGTGGGGCTCAGCTCTGGGTGGGAAGGCATTGAGAATGGACATTGTCAATTCGGCCAAAGGAGGCCAAGGAGAAGTGCTGGGGGCATGGGAACTGAAAAAGAGAGGAGGCTCAGCACGTCTTTGAGCTGGGAGAGGGACAGCAGCAGCGGCTTTTCCAAAGGAAGCAACAGCTGAGAGAGGTCTCAGAGAGTTGTTCTCAGCCCAGTGGAGGGTGTTCAGGCAGAGGGAACAGCGTGTGCAAAAGCCCAGAGGCTGGGAAAGAAGCAGAAAGAGGACTGTGGGGCTGGAGCATGGTGGGCAAGGGGAGGAAGGTGTGGTGGGCAGACAGATTGCCTGGGACCCAGCCGTGCAGGGGCAGAGGAGATACGGGATCCTTGCAGGCCCCCAGCCGGGGCTCAGGCACAGAGACAGTGCAGGTGGGCAAAGGGAGGAGACGTGGAGAAGTATTTTGGAGGCATGCCCTGATGAATGAGCCCAGGATGCACCCTTAGTGTCAGTGTGGAGCTCCTTCCTTGACTGTGTGATTAGCTGAACTCGGGGGTATTTTCTGGACATTGAGGTGCTACACCAAGAGCCCAGGACAGGCTAAGTGAGCACTAGCAGCTCCTGGCCCACCTCAAAAGCAGGAGAGACAGGGGAGACTGAGGAGGCCGGGGCGGAAGGGGAAGCCAGGAAGGTAGGAGAGGCCAGGGAAGCAGAGGAGGCCCGGGAGGCAATGGAGGCAGGAGAGGCTGGGGAGGTTATGTCCTTTCCATGATTCTGCCCTCGATCCTAGGCCCCTGAACTCCCTGAGCTTCCCCACCCCAAGCGCTGGAACCAGGTTGCACAATGGTCTCCCCACTAAGCTCCTGATGGCAGCCCCTACCCTGCTGTGCTCCCTGTTTCAACCCTAACAGCTCTCACAGTGGGCAGCACATAGTAGGTGCTCAGGAAACACTGGTGGGAGAGCACGTGGGTCTGCTCAGCACCTTCCTCTCTCCTCCAGCTCTCCCCTGTCACGAAATAATTCTGATAACGACACATGGACTTTAAGACCCTCTTCTATTACTTTCCATATGCTAATCCATCTATACCTCACAGCAGCCCTGGGGGTGGGTGCAATGAGGATGCCCATTTTATAGAGGAGGAGACTGAGGTATAAAGAGGGTAAGTGACATACGCACACTACAGGGGCTGGGGCCAAGTGATCAGAGCACTCAATCCCCAAAGGCAAGGTGGATGCAGTTACCATAAAAGACAGCAGAGTCAAAGCTGCAACCAGAATAGCCTGACTCGCAGCGACCTATGGTGCCTGTTGATCCTGGCTTTCCTAGAAGTGAAATAGATAAGAAGCCTGCCACATTTTTACTGGAACTGTGTTTGCAGAAGTGTTCTAGGTCAAGTGAGCAGAAGTCTAATCTGATTAATAAAAACAGAGTCACAGTCCCCGGTCAATTTCCAGACATAAGCCAGTTCACAGACCTGGAGTCCCTTGTGTGAATGGGAAGCCAGGTCCCCTCCAGAAAGGACTCTGCTACACTGCCAAAAATTTATACTGTCAATCTTTCTCCCAGCCTGCTCCCAAGGGAATAAACAGCCTTTTGCTAGGATGACTGAACAGGAGAAAAGGAACTAATGGGACCTGTGCAGGATCACTGGACACAGGCTCTGAACTGGCACTAGGATGAGACTAGGGTCTACCAGTCAGAATAGGCATTTTGAAGGTCAGGTGAATGTTGGTGCAAGTTCATGACACGGTAGGTCCATTGGGTCCCCAAATCCATCCTCTGGTTATATACAAAGCGGCAATGCTGAGATTCAAATTCAGGGCATCCAACATAGAGGCTGGGCTCTTACTCATGAAACATTCTGACACTAGTAACCAATTTAAAAATGTAAACACCTCCTGGGGCTAGTGAGAGTCCTCCAAACAGTCATGTAAATTGGTTCTGTCAAGGATTTCCTCCCACCCACTGCTGAGAGCCAGTTGCAAGGAGAGACTAGGGAAGGGCATTGGGTAACTTTGTTGCTAAAAGCTCTTCTGGATAAAGACATTTGGGAAAAGAAGCAAATAGATTTCAGCAGAAGAGGTAAGAAAGTAAGTTTATGTTTGGCCAGGCACGGTGGCTCACGCCTGTAATCCCAGCACTTGGGAAGGCCGAGGCGGGCAGATCACGAGGTCAAGAGATCGGACTATCCTGGCCAACATGGTGAAGCTCCATCTCTACTAAAAATTCAAAAATTAGATGGGCATGATAGCGCACGCCTGTAGTCCCAGTTACTCGGGAGCCTGAGGCAGGAGAATCACTTGAACCCAGGAGGTGGAGGTTGCAGTGAGCGGAGATCATGCCACTGCACTCCAACCTGGGCAACAGAGTAAGACTCTGTCTTAAAAAAAAATTAAAATAAATAAATGCTATGCCCAGCATTTTCCATGTACTGTCTTATTATCTCGGTGAATCCCATATAACCTTCCTATCAAAGTGTATCTCATTTATCTCCATTTTATAGATGAGAAAACTGAGGCCACTGGAGTAGTATTAATTTTCCAAGACCGCATTGCTCATAAAGGGTACAGCAGGGACCCAAGCTCGACACTCTCACCCTCAAACATTTCCACAAGTGTAGACCAATGGCTCTCAACTGGGGTGGTTTTGCTCACGTACCGCTCCCTTGCCCCACATTATTTGAAACCATCTGGAGACGTCTGGGGTAGCCATAGCAGGGAAGGTAGAATGGCACCTAGAGGATGGAGACCACAGATGCTGCTAACCATCCTTCAATACACAGGACAGCCCCACCACCAGCACCACGAATGGTCTCACCACAAATATTCTGACTGTGCCAAAGCTGAGAAACCCAGGTTTCTCCTCAGCAAAAAGGAAAATCCCTGCAACGTGGATGCACCTCTACAGGAGCCCCAGGCTGACAATAACCTTCCTGATCTGGTTTCAACCCTGGATGCTTTTACCTGGTGCGTCCATCAGGGATTTCAGGGACTCCAGTGAGTTATCACCCTTGAATGCTCGGTTCTGCCTGACAACCCAGAAATCTCTGCCGAGGTGCCTGGTCTTGCGGAAGACTCAGCAAGTGGTTGAGGTGGACAACCAAATACCTAGGAGAGACTTTTCTCTCCCTCCAGGAAGAGCTGTGGGTCAGACACACACTGGGATCATTCACAAGCGGTCAATAAAGGCTTGAGGAGGGGCAGATTTTCTAGGCCTTCTCAATGGGGTGGGTGTTTGTGGATAAGCAAGAAGCCTGTGAAACTTCTGATATTGGGAGGAAATCAATGCCCCCATCCTCCCCCACCTCCCCACCATAAACACATGCCCTGCAGCAGGACTTGACACTCAAGGGCTCCTGGGGTCCCGATTAATCTGCTAAAACATCCTCTAGCCACCACCGAATAAAGCAACCGCTTGCCACCCAACCACAAGAGCACAGCCTGGGAGCCACTCCAAGGGACATCCAGTCACATTAAAACCTCAGCCATCCAGAGCACCAGGCCTGGTGATGAGAAAGAACATTTTATCCTTAAAAGCATCTGAATGCCCATGCTGCTTCTTGCAGAGAAAAGTCCAAAATAATCTGTTATTAAAGAACGAGGATGGTTTTGACATTTTTACCAAGCTAGTGGTCTACGCAGACAAAATCTCATAAAAGGGCACTCTGTTCTTCTTGATCCACTCAGACATGGCCTGTGAGTGAAGAAACGGGCTCTCCTCCTCAAAGAAATCACTGCTGATCCTCGTACCAGCCTGACACTGCTTCATGGGTTCTTCAAAGAGAGTATTCCCATAGGAACTAAAAGGGAAGAGGAATGTGTCTGGCGGGCATTGTGGGCAGCAGTGAGCTTTGGGCCAAATTTTAAGTTTGAAAATCAAGATTCCCTCTTTTCAAGGGGCTGCCGGACTGAGCAGATACAGGCACCATGAAAAGAGGGTGCCATGTTCAGATTCAGGAAACAAGGATGGTTTCTATTCAGTTCATCCATCATCCTTCAGGTCATGCTATTCCCATTTCCCTCTGTGGACCAAAAAATTCAGCGGGGTTTCTGCCTTTTAAACATTTCATTATCAACATATCATCCTTTTAGCCTCCAGAAAGCATTTTAACATGGAGATTCTGGCTTAAGACTCTTGTGGGTCTGTCTGTCTCTCTCTCTCTTTTCCTTGAAACGGTCTCACTTTGTCACCCAGGCTGAAGTGCAGTGGCGTGATCACAGCTCACTGCAACCCAACCTTCCAGGCTCTAGCAATCCTCCCACCTCAGCCTCCCAAGTACTTGGGACTGCAGGCACACACCACCATAACTGCCTTTTTTTTTTTTTTTTTTTTTTTTGGTAGATATGAGCTTCACCATGTTGCCCAGGCTGGTCTTAAACTCCTGGGCTCAAGCGATCCTCCCCCTTCGGCCTCTCAAAGTGCTGGGATTATTGGCTTCAGCCACCATGCCCAGCCAAGGACCTTGTCTCTTGTGAAGTACTCCAGAACAAAACATCACTGCAAAAACACATCAGGGCATGAGTTTTAGTCTTAAGTCCCACTTATCCACCATACACTATGTGCCAGGCACAATGCTAAGTGCTTCTATGGACGAGCTTCCCTTAATCTCAGCAGCAACAACCCCAGGCAATGGAGCCTGTTGACAGATCCATTTGCCACTGAAGACAGTAAGGCTCAGACAGGGTAAGTGGCTTGTGCCATGTCAGCCAGCTAAGGAGGGGCAGAACCAGGATGCAAACCCCAGCCGCCTGGCTCCAGAATCGCATTCCCAAGGTCTCACTACACTTGGCCTCTCCACCGCATTCTGGTATCCTGGTCTTCGGCAGAGTCCACGTAAAAGAGGGAGGTAGAGGGAGTGAGAGGGACTTCATGCAATAAAGTTTCCCGGCGTTACACTGCCACCATAATTGTGTCCCCGACCAGGACCTCTCCCTTCTCATCCTTTCCGTGATCGGCCCTGGAAAACCTTCCAAAGAACTGTCCTCCTTCTCCCGGGATCTCAGAGAAAATTCACCTGAGTTCAGTGTCCAGGTGACCCAAGCTCTGAATGCGGTAACGTGGACGGGGAGATGAGGATGTCACCATGAGCAAGCCTCCCAGACAGCATCCAGGAGCAACCCCAAGACTGGGCGGAGGGGCTCTGATCCTGCCCATGGCGAGGAGGGCTGCCCATGCTGCCTAAATGGGTTCAGAATGAAGGCTGCACTCCCAACTTCAACCCGGGGACGGCCACGGAGCCTCCCGACGCCCCTTCGTCGCGTCCCCGGCACCCCCGCGCCCCTGGCACTCCCGGACCCCCGCGCCCGCGTCACTTACTCCTTTGCCGTCGCCACCTGTCTGGGTGCCGGTCTCCTTCGTGCCCAGCAGCGGCGGGTCCTCCCTGTCCTCGCAGTCCTCGGGCTGTGCGCTTCCCCCCTCCAGCTACAGCCCCAGCCTCTTCTCTTCGGGAGGGACGTCCTCCTCCTCCTCCCTTCTGGGCCGGCCATCCCTGCCTCGGGGCTTGCCAGTGGCTTCGGAGCTGCTGGAAGGGCTGGCCATGGCTCCGGGGACTCTGCCTGAACTTGGGGAAGAGAAAGGACACGGCGCGAGCGGCCTCTCGGCGGAGCTGGGGCGTCTGAGCGCGGGCTCGGTGGGTCCGCGTGGCGCGGAGCTGGGTATCGGGGCCGGTGCGGGCTCCTCCGCGGGCGGCTCCTGGCACTCTGGCGCCCTCTTCTGGCCGCTCTCGCGCACCTCCGCCACGCCGGGCCCAGGCCTGCGTAGCTCTCACATGTCCTGGCCCAGGAGGTCGCTATCCCTTGCCCATGGACAGGCCCGCTCTGGCAATGCCCTGCACCTCCTCCCCGCCCCGGCCAGGTTGCACCCCGATGGTCTCCCTGCTCAAGGAGGAGAGAAGAGAAGGGACGCCACGAGAGGGTGGACATTGGCCACAGCCACCTTGTCTTTGCTCTTACCCTGTTTCTTCCATGATTTGGAGGTGGTGGGAAAACCGAGGCTGCTCAAAACTCGTGGAGAATTCCTCCTGCAGGATGACATGAATGCACCTTCCCATTGCCTACCAACAGATCTTTTTTGAGCATCACTGTGGACCAGTCGTGGTGATGGGGGAGGGGATATTGTGGAGAACATGACAGGCATTGCCTTCACCCAGTGGGGCTCAGCTCTGGGTGGGAAGGCATTGAGAATGGACATTGTCAACTGGGCCAAAGGAGGCCAAGGAGAAGTGCTGGGGGCATGGGAACTGAAAAAGAGAGGAGGCTCAGCACGTCTTTGAGCTGGGAGAGGGACAGCAGCAGCGGCTTTTCCAAAGGAAGCAACAGCTGAGAGAGGTCTCAGAGAGTTGTTCTCAGCCCAGTGGAGGGTGTTCAGGCAGAAGGAACAGCGTGTGCAAAAGCCCAGAGGCTGGGAAAGAAGCAGAAAGAGGACTGTGGGGCTGGAGCGTGGTGGGCAACAGGAGAGAGGTGTGGTGGGCAGACAGATTGCCTGGGACCCAGCCGTGCAGGGGCAGAGGAGATAGAGGATCCTTGCAGGCCCCCAGCTGAGGCTGACGCACAGACACAATGCAGGTGGGCAAAGGGAGGAGACATGGAGAAATATTTTGGAGGCATGCCCTGATGAATGAGCCCAGGATGCAACCTTAGTGTCAGTGTGGAGCTCCTTTCTTGGCTGTGTGATAAGCTGAACCCGGGGGTATTTTCTGGACATCGAAGTGCTACACCCAGAGTCCAGGACAGGCTAAGTGAGCACCAGCAGCTCCTGGCCCACCTCAAAAGCAGGAAAGACAGGGGAGACTGAGGAGGCCGGGGCGGAAGGGGAAGCCAGGAAGGCAGGAGAGGCCAGGGAACAGAGGAGGTCAGGGAGGCAGGGGAGGCAGGGGAGGCTGGGGCGGCTGTGTCCTTTCCATGATTCTGCCCTGGATCCTAGGCCCCCGTACTCCCTGACCTTCCCCACCCCAAGCACTGTAACCATGTTGCACAACGGTTTCCCCACTAAGCTCCTAATGGCAGCTCCTATCCTGCTGTGCTCCCTATTTCAACCCTAACAGCTCTCACAGTGGGCAGCACATAGTAGGTGTTCAGGAAACACTGGTGGGAGAGCACGTGGGTCTGCTCAGCACCTTCCTCTCTCCTCCAGCTCTCCCCATCATGAAATAATTCTGATAACGACACATGGGCTTTGAGACCCTCTTCTATTACTTTCCATATGCTAATCCATCTATACCTCACAGCAGCCCTGGGGGTGGGTGCAATGAGGATGCCCATTTTATAGAGGAGGAGACTGAGGTATAAAGAGGGTAAGTGACATACGCACACTACAGGGGCTGGGGCCAAGTGATCAGAGCACTCAATCCCCAAAGGCAAGGTGGATGCAGTTACCATAAAAGACAGCAGAGTCAAAGCTGCAACCAGAATAGCCTGACTCGCAGAGACCTATGGTGCCTGCTGATCCTGGCTTTCCTAGAACTGAAATAGATAAGAAGCCTGCCACATTTTTACTGGATCTGTGTTTGCAGAAGAATTCTAGGTCAGGTGAGCAGAAGTCTAATCTGAATCATAAAAACAGAGTCACAGTCCCCCGTCAATTCCCAGACATAAGCCAGTTCACAGACCTGGAGTCCCTTGTCTGAATGGGAAGCCAGGTCCCCTCCAGAAAGGACTCTGCTCCACTGCCAAAAATTTATACTGTCAATCTTTCTCCCAGCCTGGCCCCAAGGGAATACACAGCCTTTACCGGGATGACTGAATAGGAGAAAAGGAACTAATGGGACCTGTGCAAGACCACTGGACACAGGCTCTGAACTGGCACTAGGGCGAGACTAGGGTCTACCAGTCAGAATAGGCATTTTGGAGGTCAGGTGAATGTTGGTCCAAGTTCATGTCATGGTAGATCCATTGGGTCCCCAAATCCATCCTCTGCTTATATACAAAATGGCCATGTTGAGACTTAAATTCAGGGTATCCAACTTAGAGGCTGTGCTCTTACTCATGAAACATTCTGACACTAGTAACCAATTTCAAAATGTAAACACCTCCTGGGGCTAGTGAGAGTCCTCCAAACAGTCATGTAAATTGGTTCTGTCAAGGATTTCCTCCTACCCACCACCCCCACCACTGAGAACCAGTTGCAAGGAGAGACTAGGGAAGGGCATTGGGTAACTTTGTTGCTAAAAGTTCTTCTGGATAAACAAGAGCCTTATCCAGGAAAAAGAAACAAAATAGAGTTTCAGCAGAAGTTGCGAAAAGAAGCACATAGAGTTCAGCAGAAGAGGTAAGAAAGTAAGTTTATGTTTGACCAGGCACGGTGGCTCACGCCTGTAATCCTAGCACTTTGGGAAGCCAAGGCGGGCAGATCACGAGGTCAAGAGATCGCACCATCCTGGCCAACAAGGTGAAGCCCCGTCTGTACTAAAAATTCAAAAATTAGCTGGCCATGATGGCACACGCCTATAGTCCCAGCTACTCGGGAGCCTGAGGCAGGAGAATCACTTGAACGCAGGAGGCAGAGGTTGCAGTGGGCCAAGATCATGCCACTGCATTCCAACCCGGTGACAGAATTAGACTCCATCTCATAAAACAAAACAAAACAAACAAAAAAAGTAAGCTTATTTTTAAGCCTGAACAAGTGTAGTGGTTTAGGGGTTCTGCAAACACGGCCCCAA
The DNA here is from genome assembly GCF_000001405.40 of Homo sapiens. Taxonomy (NCBI): domain Eukaryota; kingdom Metazoa; phylum Chordata; class Mammalia; order Primates; family Hominidae; genus Homo; species Homo sapiens. Next base: position 626,292 of record NW_018654717.1, read on the forward strand.
TCAGGCTACAAGATGTTCTGGCAGCAATATTTACAGCCAGTCACTCCTGGCCGGCTGAGCCACTTTTCAAAACACCCTTGCACGGCTGTGCAGAGAGGCTGGCTCCACTGGCAGCCGGCAGAGCCATAACTCACAGTGTCACCGCTGCCCTCAAACCACTTCGGTAAGCACTTTGTATTTTTGAGACGGAGTCTTGCTCTGTCATCCAGGCTGGAGTGCAGTGGCACAATCTCGGCTCACTGCAAGCCCCGCCTCCTGGGTTCATGCCATTCTCCTGCCTCAGCCTCCCAAGTAGCTGGGACTACAGGTGCCCGCCACCATGCCTGGCTAATTTTTTGTATTTTTAGTAGAGACGGGGTTTCACCGTGTTAGCCAGGATGGTCTCAATCTCCTGACCCTGTGATCTGCCTGCCTTGGCCTCCCAAAGTGCTGGGATTACAGGCGTGAGCCACCGCGCCCGGCCTGGTAAGCACTTTTAATCAATGCAACAGGAATAAACATTTGCTGCAGAGCGGCAATGTGCAGGAAAGAACATGCTTCCACTTAGGATCAGAAAGCAAAACCTCCTGGCTGTTTGCATCTATGCAAGAGCTCACAGGAAAAGCCCTCTGTGTGGCTGCCAGCCTCACACACTCCCCCCAAGGGGTGAGTTTCTCTTTCCATGTTAATCTATGCTCTGACGTGCCATCTGTCAACCACCACACCATTCTCAGTTGACATTTCAAAGCATCTTTGCCCTGAGAATGGTCACCAGCCCTGCCCTGCAAGCCCCCAGGTGACAATGAACTTAAATGAGAGAGAAAACAGGTTTCGAGGTGGATTTCAGTTCAGCATCTTGGAGTCTCTGTGTGGACATGAAATCTGTCTCCCCAGCTGTGGACTGAATCCTTGTTTGTCATCTGGTTTGGTTCTTGGGGACTTGGAAACTCGTAGGCACCTTTGCAATTTGTCAAGAAGCTGCACGGCCCTTCCAACAAAAGCAAGGAATAGGAACAGAAGCCCAAGGCTTCAGATCAAGGTGCAATTTAAAGCAGCCTCAGTATAAAAGCAAACAAGAGCCAGAGGGATGCCTAAGGCAGAGTCTAGACCCCAGGGCAGCTATAAGGCAAAGAGAAAGAGAGAGAGAGACAGAGACAGAAAGACAGAGAGAGATGGGAGGAGACATGAGGCACCCAGGCATCTGGATCAAAATCCCTACAAGAGGGGCCTCCTAAAAATGCAGGAGGCTGAGGTGGGTGTACACAGAAGTTCAAGACTAGCCTGGGCAACATAGCAAGACCGTGTCTTTACAAAAAATACAAAAATTAGCCGGGTGTGGTGGTGTATGTCTGTGGTCCCAGTTACCCAGGAGGCTGAGGTGGGAGGATTGCTTGAGCCCAGGAGGTAGAGCTGCAGCGAGCTGAGATAGCACCACTGCACTCCAGCCTGGGCAACAGAGTGAGACTTCATCACAAAAAAATTTAAAAAAATTTTTAAAAAGGATCACCCCGGCTACTCGAATGGGTAATAAGAAGGTAAGAGCAGAAGCAAGGAGACCAGCAGGGACATTCTGCAGGTGGGAGTCCACAGAGGCTCAGACCAGGCTGGGGCTGAAGACTGCCTGAATTCTGTGTATATTTTGATGATGAAGAAACTCACCGACTCTTGAAGAGTGGGCTCCAGGAGATGGTATTTTTAACAAGCTCTCAGAGGATTCTAATGCAGGCTGAAGTTGAAGAACTGGTTTAGGTGAAGCTTCTGTTTCATCCTTGGGGAAGTACCTACTGACTTTTCTCTAAGCCACCACAAAAGAGGTGCTAGACAAGATGTGCTCCAATGTCTGAACATGTGTGCACAGCTCTAGAGCCAACCTAAGGACACTGAGTCAAAGGTTAGGAGTACAACAGTGAACAACAACTGTCCTCTTTTCAATAAGCTTTGCATTTAATGAGAGAAAAAAAAGCAAAAAAAAAAAATCATTTTCAATTCAGAATGGTAAGAGTTATGGTGACACTATGCCTGGGGCAATGGGAGCACATAGAAGGGGCACCCAATCGGCCAGGTGCAGTTGTTCATGCCTGTATTCCCAGCACTTCGGGAGGCCAAGGTGGGTGGATCACTTGAGGCCAGGAGTTCAAAAACAGCCTGGCCAACATGGTGAAATCCTGTCTTTACTAAAAATACAAAAAAATTAGCCAGATGTGGTGGCGGGCACCTGTAATTCCAGATACTCAGAAGGCTGAGGTGGGAGAATTGCTTGAACCCGGGTGGTGGAGATTGCAGTGAGCCAAGATTACACCACTGCATTCCAGCCTGCATGGTCAGAGCGAGACTCTTTCAAAAAAAAAAAAGAAAGAAAAAAGAAAAAGCTCGGAGGTGGGTGGGCATGCAATCTATATCAGGTGGTGAGAAATCCTTCTCCACCACAGGACTCCTCAGTTGAAGACTAGAAAATGGTAGGAACTAGCCAGGTTGATAGGAGAGGTGTGGAAGATCATTCCCAGCAGAGGGAAGAGCATGTGTAAAAATCGAGACGTGGAGGGTGAGGAGCTGAGAGATGTTCATATAATTGTAAAAAGTGACTAATATAGAGGTAAGTTGGAGGCAAATCTTAAAGGCTCTTTGTCGTGTCTATCCTGTAGACAAAGGGAGACAGTAGATGTTTTTATGCAGGGGAGTAATGATCCACTTTGTGCTAGAAGAAGAGTAGTCTGGCTGGAGGAGAGTGGGTGGTGAGTAGACCAGGTAGGAGGCTGCAATACGCCAAGTGAGACAAGATGGTTGGCTGGACCAAGGCTGTGGCAGTGAGGATGGAGAGGAGACAGTAGACTAACTTGACTGAGAAAGAGGGAGGAATGAAGGAGGAGGCCCAGGTGATTTGGAAGCTGGGTGGATGGTGGTGTGAATCTGACGTGGTGAGCCCTGGCAGAAGAGGAAATCAGGAGAGGAAAGGTAAGATGAGGTCAATGCAAGACAGACAGCCAAGTGGAGATAACAACTGGGCAGCTGGATTCATCAGCCTGGAGTTATACAGAGAGCTCTGGAATGGAAATAAAGAGGAAAGGACTTTGGGAATAGGTGAATCCTCCCAGAATAATGTGTAAGAAAGGAGAATAGAACACAGGGGACAGAAAAAGGGAAGAGATTTGTTATTAAAACCAACCATCCATCAGACATCTTCCAATAAAACACTTGTTAGAGGTTTCCTCAGTGTGAGTTATTCAGGACCAGAGCTAAAGACCATATTCCCAATAAAATAACTGCTGGGAAAGTCTTCATGAAAATATTTAATGCTGCTTTTAAAACAACAACAATAAAAAGGCTTTAGCTACTGCACAGACCCTGGAGCAATTTTTCAGCAAGTGTCTATCAAACACGAATCTGATCTGACTCAAGGAGGTGTCATATCAAGTGTAAAAATCCAATTCCAATGTCCATAAGAGCCTTTCTGCCAGGTACAAGACCCTAATCCAGTTGAAGTGATTTTCTATTGATTAATAGGCTGGGAATACACAGGTTGTTGGTTTTTGAGATTTCCCTCCCTGTGCCTTCATGCCAGCTGTGAAAGAGTCAAAAGGCTCCTAACTGTCAAAATAAAAATGACACTTCGTCACAGAGGAAGCAGATTATAGGTCAATCACATTGATGACTTTTTAACTATGAGAAGCCATTAATGTTACTGAATAAGCAAATCTGTTTGCATAAGCAGATTTTTATAGGCTACTGGGAATAAAGGTTTTCCTAAGTGGGTGATTTGTACAACGATAGCCTTTGGGTCTCTGATGGAACAGCTCTGACGAGGAAATGTTCCTTTAATTATGTGGAAGGCCAATTACCACGTTATAGCCACATTGTTTTGCAGATTGCATATAATTTCACAATTTCCATAGCTTCAGCACGATAATTCTGGAGAAAATTCAGGCACCAAGGAGACACTTGAGGCACACTATGCTGGAGACAGATGTTTTAGCGAATTCAGTTTAAGCTTCAACATTAAAGTTATTTTGTTGAATAAAACATAATGCAATAATGAGCTTGTGTATGTCAACTCTATAGTGCAGGTAATAATAGCTAGAGAGAGCATGTCCCGTCTCCTCTTTTTAATGCTCATTTGAGTAATACATAATGCTATAGAGAGAACTTTTCTCTAATATGTGCTCCACCTCAGGCTAAGCGTGTTTTGGGCAACTGTGCTTCATGAAAAAAAAGGTAAAGGATCTAATTTGGGAGCCACTCACAAAAGTGCTACCACTTGATGTTTTTTTATACTCTGAGATTTCTTATTCCCAGTGCCTACCAGGAATGGACTTTCTGGAGAAGCTCAGATTAATCACTCCTTATGAGAGGTAACAGCGTGCTGGCAGCCCTCACAGCCCTCGTTCACTCTCGGCACCTCCTCTGCCTGGGCTCCCACTTTGGCAGCACTTGAGGAGCCCTTCAGCCCACGGCTGCACGGTGGGAGCCCCTTTCTGGGCTGGCCAAGGTCAGAGCTGGCTCCCTCAGCTTGCAGGGAGGCATGGAGGGAGAGGCATGAGCTGGAACTGGGGCTACGTGTGCTGCTTGCCTGCCGGCTGGAGTTCTGGATGGGCGTGGGCTTGGCGGCCTTGCACTAGGAGCTGCCGGCTGGCCTTGCCGGCCCGGGCTGTGAGGGGCTTAGCACCTGGGCCAGCAGCTGCTGTGCTCGACTTCTCACTGGGCCTTAGCTGCCTCCCTGCGGGGCAGGGCTCGGGACCTGCAGCCCGCCATTCCTTAGCCTCGCCCCTCTGTGGGCTCCTGTACGGCCCAAGCCTCCCCGATGAGCACTGCCCCCTGCTCCATGGCACCCAGTCCCATCGACCACCCAAGGGCTGAGGAGTGTGGGTGCATGGAGAGGGACTGGCAGGCAGCTCCACCTGCAGCTCCTGTGCTGGGTCCACTGGGTGAAGCCAGCTGGGCTCCTGAGTCTGGTGGGGACTTGTAGAACTTTATGTCTAGGTAAGGGATTGGAAATACACCAATTGGCACTCTGTATCTAGCTCAAGGTTTGTAAACACACTAATCAGCACCCTGTGTCTAGCTCAGGGTTTATGAATGCACCAATTGACACTCTGTATCTAGCTACTAGGGTGGGGACTTGGAGAACCTTTGTTTGGACACTCTGTATCTAGCTAATCTAGTGGGGACGTGGGGAGCATTTGTGTCTAGCTCAGGGATTGTAAACGCACCAATCAGTGCCCTGTCAAAACAGACCACTCAGGCTCTCTGTAAAATGGACCAATCAGCAGGATGTGGGTGGGGCCAGGTAAGAGAATAAAAGCAGGCTGCCCGAGCCAGCAGTGGCAACCCACTGGGGTCCCCTTCCACACTGTGGAAGCTTTGTTCTTTTGCTCTTTGCAATAAATCTTGTTGCTGCTCACTCTTTGGGTCCACACTGACTTTATGAGCTGTAACACTCACCGAGAAGGTCTGCAGCTTCTCTCCTGAAGCCAGCAAGACCATGAACCCACTGGGAGAAATGAACAACTCCAGACCTGCAGCCGTAAGAGCTGTAACACTCACCGTGAAGATCTGCAGCTTCACTCCTGAGCCAGCGAGACCACGAGCCCCACCTGAAGGAAGAAACTTCAAACACATCCGAACATCAGAAGGAACAAACTCTAGACACGCCACCTTTAAGAACTGTAACACTCACCAGGAGGGTCCACAGCTTCATTCTTGAAGTCAGTGAGACCAAGAACCCACCAATTCTGGACACACTTATACACTTGGCACTGGGAGGTCTGTATGGAGCAAGTGAAGAAATCAGCAGAGTGAAGATAGACGGAGAACAACATGATGGGGGAAAGGCAAAGTTAGTGCCACATTGGTTTCAATTCTGCCACTCATGAGTGAGACCCATGACCTCCTCTCTCTAAGACTCTGTTGTTCTTATCTGTAGAGTGGAGGAATAGAAGGGCCTTTTAAAGTATTAACATTTCCTGACCTATCTGTAAAACACTTTCATTCAAACTGATGGGAATCTTGACTGCTTTGCCAAGAGGGCATAATAATCATCAAGCTGAATGCACCAAACAGCATTGCCTGAAACTATCTAAGCAAAATCTGAGAAAGTTACACAGGACAGACAAACCTCCTATGAGAGTAAGAACTCTTCAGCACATGCTTAGTGTGTCAAAGACAATACTGTGTTCACACCATTCCTCTTCCTGGACATGCAGAAAGACTACATTTCCCAGCCTCACTTGCAGTTAGTTTGGAACCATGTGACTGCATTTCCACCAATAGGAATGTAAGAAATCACTTCTGGGCCAAGGTTATCAAAGTGTGAGCTATGTTCCCTCTCTTCCTATTCATATGGCTACAAGTGAAAAACTCTGAGATGGCAGAATTAAAAGATGGAAACCTGCAGAATCTCTGAATCACTGTTGGACAAGGGCCCCCAAGGAGAACCCCTGCCCTGCACCAGACTATGCTATGGGTGTCAACCCACTGAGAGTTCAGGGTTTATTCGTCTCAGCAGCAGTCTATTGTTACACTGACTAACATCCTGAGGTTTGAGAGGTCTAGCATATTGTTAACTGAAGTTAGATTTCAATTACACTGAGAACCTTATCTATTTAAAAATAAAAACTCTCCTAAAAAAAAAATCCACATTCCTTTTAACCACATGTGGCAAATTTGCAAAAAAAAAAAAAAAAAAAAAAAAAAACTGGCCACATATTAGGCCATAAATAAGTCTCAACAAAATCCACTATACGATTGACAGTGTCCAGAGCACATTTTCCTGACCATAATGCCACAAAATTAGAAGTCAACAGCAAGAAGATAGCTAAACGCAAGCATATATTTGGAAAATTAAAAATATCCTTTCATGAGTTAAATGAAAAATCATAATAGAAATTACTAAACATTTACAACTGAATGAAAACACAACTTTATATATATATGTATATATATAATGTGTGTATATATATATATATATATATATATTTTTTTTTTTTTGTGAGTCTTCCAAATTTGTTCTTCTTTTACAAGGTTATTTGGGAAATTCTGGGTCTCCTGCAATTCCTCTTACAGTTTTATGCTGTGTGTCAATTTCTGTGGCTGGGTCTATGAGAACTTATTGTAGTTCTCATAGACCAGGGTTTGCATGTTGCTGTCTAGAGCCCTGATCTGCTGCACCATGTCCGTCTCACTATCCATCAGCTGGGCCAGAGGGCACTCTCTAGGAAGCTTGTCTAGGTAAACTTCCGGGTCGAAGTGCACCCCGTTCAGATCAGTGGGGTCCAGGGGTTCGGTCCCCGCGGGGAGTCCCACCGCCTCCACTTCCGAGAGGCCGTTGTAAAACTTCAGCATCCTGTCCGCCTTCCACCGACGCTCCTTGAGCCTCCCCCTCGGGCCCTTCTGGGGAGTCCCCAGGTCCACACCCCGGGCTAGGCCCAGTGACAGCTGCCGCCGCCATAGCTCCAACTGCAGCCCACGGGCGTAACTTTTATATTTTTAAGTTGGATACATGGAGCTACTTGGCTTTTGCTTTCATCACCTCGTTGAGGAAAGAGCTGGTTGCTTATGGTACCCCTGTTTTTACTGCAACGTGTAATGGATGAGAACCTCCCTGTTGCAGAGAGCAAAACACTGAACTAAATTGTGCTGTAACACAGCTCTGTATTGGGGGAGTGGGAGTGATCATGCAAACGCTTGCAAATTTGCACAGTGACAGAGACAATCGTTTGGGCAGCTGTTCACTATATGAAAAGGCAATTGACCAAAAGTCAGTTACTGAGCTATCTCAATACTTTCATTTTATTTTAACTTTTGGCAGCAGGGTGCAATTAAAGGAGAGAAAGAAAACAAAGTGATAAGTGTAAGATAATGTACACACATGTGTAAAAGAAAATGACAAGACAGGATGACTATTTGTCTCTTGGTTAGCTCCTTGGGCTCTATGTCTCCTTCCTCGGAGAACCTCGTTTTCCTTTGCCCAGATTTGTTAGGGTGGGTAATCCGGGCGCCTGCTCCCCCATGATGGAAGCCAAAGACGTCCCTGGAGCAGCGTCCCGCTGCATCCTTTCCTGCACTGCCCACATGGACACAACTCAGCCGATTAGTCTTCCTCTCAGAACTTTAGTCTTGAGCAAAGGGATTAAAGGGTGAAGTGACTGAAGGTATGCCCTTCCAAAGTGGTACGTGAGCTAATGGCTAAATTTTGCCAAGCCCATCCAAGCACTTTTTTTCGTAATTTTTATTTATTTATTTTTTTGAGACGGAGTCTTGCTCTGTTGCCCAGGCAGGAGTGCAGTGGCGTGATCTCGATTCACTGCAACTTCTCTCTCCCGGCTTCAAAGGAGTCTCCTGTCTCAGCCTCCCCAGTAGCTGGGATGACAGGCGTATGCCACCATGCCTGGCTAATTTTTTTGAGTTTTTTTGGTATTTTTAGTAGAAACAGGGTTTCACCATGTTGGCCAGGCTGGTCTCGAAATCCTGACCTTGTGATTCGCCTGCCTCAGCATCCCAAAGGGCTGGGATTACACACGTGAGCCAACGCGCCCAGCTTCAAAGAGTTTTAAGCAGAGCTCAGAGGTCTTAACCACAGGCACATCGGAGGAGCATTTTTGAAACACTTTCCATCTTCCTCAATAGGAATGGAAGCCAAACTCCGAATTGATGACTCCTTTGAGGAAGTTGAGAGCTGTAAGGAAAGCCAGGAACAGGGGCAAGGGAGAGATGCGTCCCGAATGATCCTGTGCAAATTCTTTCTGGAATCCTTGATGTGATCTCAGCTGCCCTTTCTATACATGACACAGTGATTGTGGCACCCACTGGTCTAGCTGTGGTCTACAAGGAACCCCCAAAGGGAAGGGCACAGTGAGCAGGGGCATCCGCCTGAGTGACGAGGATTTGAGAGGGCAGGTTGGTTGCAGGGAGAGGACTTGCCAAATGACATGTGTCTGGACTTAGACTGCCTGGTTCAAATTGGACTTCACCCTTTTTGACTTCGTGATCTGGTACAAGCTACGTGAAAATCCGTTGAGCTTTTTCTAGTCTGTAAAATCATCATGAAATGTGCACTAATAACTGGGAGACTATGCAGATGAAATGAAACAAGCTGCATAGAGCACAGAGCTCAGAGCTTGGCCTTTAGGAAGCCCTCAGTAAGGGTTCATGATGCCATGGTGTCTGTCGTCATCCTCTTTATCCTCATCATCACCATCATAATCTCTTTGTTGTTCTTAGGGAATAGCTAGAGGGGCTGATTCCCTGCTATCATGGGTGAGATGTTTATGAGAAGGACAACCAGTGGGGGAGGAAAGCAAAATTTTGAATAAGATTTCTGAGACCCCCAGCACAACCAAGAACATAAACTGCACAGTCTGCTGAGCAGAGAGTTGCATATTGGTCTCCTCACATCTGCCCACCGCACTCTCCTGTTTGTCCTGAGGATGAGGAAACAAACAAGTCTCCCGAACGTCCCTCAGCACTCACTTGAAGGGGTGGCCTCCCCCTCCACAGCTGTGGGTATTTCCAGTCGGGTAGGACAAGAGACTGAGAAAAGAAATAAGATACAGAGACAAAGTATGGAGAAACAACAGTGGGCCTAGGGGACCGCCGCTCAGCATACAAAGGACCTGCACCGGCACAGGCCTCTGAGTTCCCTTAGTTTTTATTGACTATTATTTTTATTATTTTAGCAAAAAGGAATGTAGTAGGAGCACAGGGTGATAATAAGGAGAAGGTCAGCAACGAACATGTGAGAAATAGAATCTACTTCATAAGGAAGTTCAAGGAAAGGTACTATGACTGGATGTGTACGTAAGCCAGATTTATGTTTCTCTCCACCCAAACATCTCAGTGGAGTAAAGAATAACAAGGCAGCATTGCTGCAAACATGTCTCGCCTCTCACCATAGGGTGGTTTTTCTCTCATCTCAGAATTGAACAAATGTACAATCGTGTTTTATACCGAGACATTCAGTTCCCAGGGGCAGGCAGGAAACAGCGGCCTTCCTCTCTCTCAACTGCAAGAGGCTTTCCTCTTTGAGTAATCCACCTCAGCACAGACCCTTTACGGGGGGCGGGCTGGGGGATGGTCAGGTCTTTCTCATCCCACGAGGCCATATTTCAGACTATCACATGGGGAGAAACCTTGGACAATACCCTGCTTTCAAGGGCAGGGCTCCCTGCGGCTTTCCACAGTGTATTGTGCCCCTGGTTTATTGATACTAGAGAATGGCGATGACTTTTACAAAGTATACTGCTTGGAAACATCTTGTTAACAAGGCACGTCCTGCATAACCCTAGATCCCTTAAACCTTGATTTCATACAACACATGTTTTTGTGAGCTTCAGGTTGGGTCAAAGTGGCTGGGGCAAAGCTACAGATTAACAACATCTCAGCAAAGCAATTGTTGAAAGTACAGGTCTTTCTCAAAATGGAGTCTCTTATGTCTTTCCTTTCTACATAGACACAGTAAGAGTCTGATCTCTCTTTCTTTTCCCTACACTCACTGAACTGCCTCTCCCCTCTGCTGGGACATGACCACGGAGAACAGGTCCACTGTCCTCCCTGCGTGGTGCACCATGGAGGCTCAGGCTCCGTCCTCAAGGCTGGCAAGAAGACAGGGTGAGACATGAGCCTCCTGATACAGGTGACGGCTGTGGAGCCCACAGGACTGCAACCTCACACTGCAGGGCGGGAGGCACAGACTGAGTATTTACTATCCTGTGGCCTGGGGGGCTCAGGCACAGAGCTCCTCATTAGCCAAAGCCGCCCAAGTTCCCCAACCTCTAAGGATGTCCTCACAATAATGCAAGAAGAAGAAGAGAAAAGTGAGTGTCCATAGAAACTTTGGGGCTCCTCCTCTAATCAGAAGAAAGCTGGTGTGTATTCTTCGCTTCTTTCTTTTCTTTTTAAACATCCAACTGCTTTAATTTTCATCTTTTATAATGGGAAAATATACCACGTATAAATATTAAAAATTATAAATATATATTAGTTCATATAGAATGGCCAGTATAAACATTTACAATTTCCACTCTTTTTCAGTTTACAGATTATTGACATTAAGTACGTTCACATTATTTAGCAAGCATCACCGCCATCATCTCAGGAACAGTTTTATCTTTCAAAATGGAAATTCCACCCATTCACCAAGCTCTCCATTCCTTTCTCTCACCCACCCCTGGGGGCCACCTTTCTAGTTTGCAACTCTATGAGTTTAACTACTCTAGACACTTGATAGATAAGTGGAATCATACCGTGTTTAATTTTTTTGTTTTGGAGACAGAGTCTTTCTCTGTCACCCAGTCTGGAGTGCAGTGGCGTGATCTCGGCTCACTGCAACCTCCACATCGTGGGTTCAAGCGATTCTTGTGTCTCAGTCTCCCGAGTAGCTGGGATTACAGGCTTGCACCACTACGCCCAGCTAATTTTTGTATTTTTAATAGAGACGAGCTTTCACCATATTGGCCAGGCTGGTCTCGAACTCCTGACCTGAAGTGATCCGCCTGGCTCAGCCTCCCAAAGTGCTGGTGTTACAGGTGCGAGCCACTGAGCCTGGGCCTGTTTATCCTTTTGGGATTTATTTATTTCACTGACGATAATGTCTTCAAGGTTCATCCATGTTGCGGCCTGCCTCAGAAGTGCCTGTCTGTTTTTTTTGTTGTTGTTGTTTTTTGTTTGTTCGTTTGACTTTGTTTTGTTTTGTGTTTCCATGGAGTCTCACTCTGTCGCACAGGCTGGAGTACAGTGGCACAATCTGGGCTCACCTCCGCTTCCCGGGTTCCAGTGATTCTTGTGCCACATCCTCCCGAGTAGCTGGGACTATAGGCACACGCCTCCATGCTCATCTCATTTTTTGCATTTTCAGTAGGGACAGGGTTTCCCCAAGATGGCCAGGCTGGTCTTGAATTCCTGACCTCAGGTGATCCGCCCACCTCGGTCTTCCAAGACGCTGCGATTACAGGCGTGAGCCACCGCACCGGCCAGAAGTGCCTGCCTTTTGAAGGCTGAATAGTCTTCCATTGTATGAAGGAACTGCAGTGTGCTTTTTCATTCATCTGTCCACGAACCCTTGGGTTGCTTCCACATTTTGGCTCTTGTGAATAATGCTGCTATGAATATGGGTGTACACAAATCTGTCTTCCACTCCTGGCTTCTTTTTTGTAGGTACCCACAAATGCAACTGCGGCAACATCTGATCATCCTGTTTCTAATTTTTCCAGTAGACACCATACTATTTTCCCCGTTCCTTCACGGTTTTACATTCCCTCTGATCAGATTCGAGCATTCCTACTTCCCTCTAGTCTCACCAATCCTGTTTGTTTATCATATCCATCCTAATGTGTGGTGTCACATTCTTGGTTTGATTTGCGCTTCCTTATGATGAGTGATTTTGAACATCATTTTAGATGCTTATTGGCCACTGCTATATCTTCTTTAGGAACACGTCTACTTGAGTCTTCTGACCATTGTTGATGGGATGCTTTGGGTTTCTTGTTGTTTAGTTCTGCCTGTTCTTTATGTATGATGGATATCAGCCTCTTTTCAGATATACGCTTTGAAAATATTTTTCCTAATCCATGGGTTATCTTTTCACTCAGTTTGCCGTGATTTTGCTGCACAAAAGTGTCTGTCATTTCGATGTAATCCAAGGAATCTAATTTTCTTTTGTTGCCTATGCTTTTGGTGTCACATCCCAGAGAACATTGCCCAATCTGATGTCATGAAAGCATGGCCAATGTTTTCCTTTAGGCGAATGATTCTTTTAGCGCTTGGGGTGAGGTCTTTGATCCAGTTTGTGTTAATTTTTGCCCCTGGTGTGACATAGGGTCCACCTTCAATCTTCTGCATGTGGAAATCAAGTTTCTCCAACACCATTTCTTGAAAAGGCTGTTTTTCCACCAATGAGCTTTCTTACCACTCATGTTAAAAATCATTTGAACATACAGGTGACAAGTTATTTCTGGGCTCCAAAATAAACAAACAACAGCAGACAACAGATAATGTTACAGCATGGGCTGGGCGCGTCGCTCACGCCTGTAATCCCAGCACTTTGGGAGGCCGAGGTGGGCGGATCACCTGATGTCAGGAGTTGAAGACCAGCCTGACCGACAGGGAGAAACCTCCGTCTCTACTACAGGCGCATGCCTGTAATCCCAGCTACTCGGGAGGTGGAGGCAGGAGAATTGCTTGAACCCAGGAGGCAGAGGTTGCGGTGAGCCAACATTGCACCATGACACTCCAGCCTGGGCAACAAGAGCGAAACTCCATCTCAAAACAAAAAACAAAAAACAAAAAACCAGCATGATTTCAAGAGCAGAAAGAGAAGAGCTGAAAAACCAGCATAATGAGAAAATTAGGAAGTTTCTTACCAAAGCATCTGGAAATATTCAAGAAATTCTTGTGAACTAAAATTTTCATACTGTACAATCAAACACTAGAACTCACTTATTCCATCTTTCTGTATTTTGGGACCCAATTATCCACTTGTCTTCATTCTCCATCCCAACCCTTTTCTTCCTAGCGTCTGCTAACCACCTTTATACTTTCCACCTTCCTGAGATTCCTTTTGTGTGTAGGTGTGTGATGGAGTCTCTTTATGTTGCCCAGGTTGGAGTACACAGGCACAATCCGGGCTCACTGTAAGCTCCGTCTCCCGAGTTCAAGCGCTTCTTGGGCCTCAGCCCTCCGAGTAGCTGAGACTAGAGGCACGCGTCACCACGCCCGGCTAATTGTTTGTTTTTTCCGTAGAGACGGGGTTTCACCATGTTGGCCAAGCAGGTCTCGAACCCCTGGACTCAATTGATCCGTGCGACTCGGCCTCCCAGAGTGCTGGGATTACAGGTCTGAGCCACCACGCCTGGTCAAGGTTTCCTTTTTTCTTCCTACGTAGAAGTGAGGACATGAAATATTTGACATTCTGTGCCTGGCTTATTTCATTTAATATACAGACCTGCAATCACATCCATTTTGTCTGCAGCAGAGAGGATTTTCTTCCTCTTTAGGCTGAATAATACTTCATTGGGTGTGTATACCACAGTTTCTTTATTGAAACAAATTTCTAAAGAGCAAATATTTTTAAAGTCTCAGAATGTGAAACTTCAGGGATACCGTGCCCATTTTATTCTTTTCTATTTCCCATCTTATGTATATGCAAGTGTATAACAAAGCAGCAATTGATGTGTGTATAAATCTATAACTTCAACAATTGCAAAATGTAAATGCTAAGTGGTGGCTGGGCGCGGTCCCTCATGCGTGTAATCCCAGTACTTTGGGAGGCGGAAGCGGCCGGATCACCTGAGGTCAGGAGTTCAAGACCAGCCTGACCAAAATGGAGAAACATTGTCTCTACTAACAATACAACAACAACAACAACAACAAAAAGATAGCCAGGCATGGTAGCGCATGCCTGTAATCCCAGCTACTTGGAAGGCTGAGACAGGAGAATTGCTTGAATACGGGAGGCAGAGGTTTCAGTGAGCCGAGACCGTGCCATTGAACTCCAGCCTGGGCAACAAGAGTGAAACTCTGACTCAAAAAAAAAAAAAAAAAAAGGACAAGAAGGAAATAGAAAATGCGAAATGGTAAGAAAAAACAGCATAATAAACATTTGTATGGCGTTGATGGACAATGCATTTGAAGATAATATTTGAAGAAATCATATTACAATTAATTTCTGTTCTTACTCATTGCAGCTTGATGCCTCTAAAAACTTCGTCATTGGAACCATCTCTGGTGCTTTAAAAGAAAAAAAAAAATCCACACACTCACACAGGTGCAAGGAAATCAGAATCTCAGGTATTGAGAACCAGTCCTCATCATGTGTAAGCTGCCCAGGTGATTTGACTCAAAGCCAAGATTGAGGAACGGCGACATGGATATCTACACAGAACCTGCCTAAATAGATTCTCTAGAAGAAGTTTATAAAGAAATTCCACATGAACTGTGGAAGAGGATATGAATTTGATGTACAGTATGTCCTCACTTAACATCTTTGAAAGTCTCTTGGAAACTTCACCTTGAAGCAAAATTATGTACAGTGAAACCACTTATTTTTCATCAACAGTATAACTACACGACTTTGAACAACCAATGCTGTTGGAGGACCTTCTGTACATTGTTTCCATAAAGTCAGTTTTCAGGGAATTCCAAAACGAAGTGAGGACTTCGTGTATATAAAATGATGGTTGTGATTCCACCTGGATGACATGGTTATTGCTCAGAGACTAAAAGAGGCCACCTAGGTATAGAAGATTCTGTCATGAGGTTTCTGCTAAACCAAGGATCCCAGAATCGTCACTCATTCCAGATAAAGGCATAACGAAGAAAGCAATATTCACAAAGGAAATGCGGAAAGGAATAAAAGCCATCAAGCCACAAAAAGAATGTGACTGAGGGGCAGGATTTGCAGATAAAGAGATTTAATGTGATTGCCCTTTCTCACCCACACAAGAAAAAGGATGGAACAGATCATGAGATTCGAATGCTCTGCTGCCCAGCCTCCGCAGGGCACTTTGTATGTCCCTGTTTCTCAGGCTGCAGATGAAAAGGTTCAGCATGGGGTGACCACAGCGTACATCACTGATGCCACCACACCATTCCTGGGGGGTGGTGACACAGCTGAAGTCAGGTACATGCCAATGCCTGTTCCATAAAACCAGCAAACAACTGCTAGATGACAGCCACAGGTGGAGAAGGCTTTATACTTCCCATCTGACGATGAAATCCTTAGAATGGAGGGGACAATTTTATAGTAAGACAAAAAGATCCCTGAAATGGGAAGAAAACCAAACATAGTACTATCGAAATATATGAATATGTTATTGATGACGCTGTCAGAACAGGCAAGTTTGAGAAGTTGAGAGGGGTCACAGACCAAATTAGAGATTTCCACATTCTTGATGATGGTTAATTGTAACACAATCCAACTGTGCAGCTGGGAATCCAACAGGCTAAGGAAAAAGGACACCAAAACGAAGAAGACACAGAGGTGAGGATTCACGATGACTGGGTAGTGCAGAGGGCGACAGATGGCTACAAAGCAGTCATAGGCCATCACAGTCAGGAGCATGCCTTCTATACATGCAACAAGGAGCAGGAAAGACATCTGTGTCAGGCAGCCCGCATGAGAGATGACTCTGCTATGCGACTGCGTGTCCACAATCATCTTGGGAACCATGGCCGAGGTGAAACCGATGTCAGGCCAGCACAGGTTGGAGAGGAAGAAGTACATGGGGGTGTGGAGGGGGCAGTCAGAGCTGACAGCCAGGATGCTGAACAGGTTCCTCAGCACCGTGACCAGATACATGGACAGGGACAGGGACAGCAAAGCGAGGGCCGGCTGCAGTTGTGGATCCTCTGAGAGTCCCAGGAGGAGGAATTCTCAGACACCTGTGAGATATTAGTCCCAACATCCCAGAGGGTGTACACTACCCCTGTGATATTGTCCCTAACTTCCAGAGGGGAGAGGATGACATCACTCCCAATATCTCAGAAGTTGTACATCCCCCGTGATATTGTTCGTCATATCCAGGGAGGCGCAGGATGACATTCCATTGAATTTCGCGACAGGCCTACACGCACAGTGTGATACTGTTCCTACTATCCAAGAAGGGAGAGGATGATATTACTCACAATAAAGCAGTGGGTGTACATCACCCCTGTGTTGTTGTCTCTAATATCCGGGGCCGGGGGAGGAGGGGAGAGGATAACATTGCCTCCAATTTAGCAGGTGGTTTGACGCCCCTTGTGCTGTTGTTTTAAATATCCAGCGGGGAAGACAGTAGTACTATTTTTGATAGTCCGATTCATCCTCTCCACCTTTCCGGAACTCTGAGGCCGGGAGGCGGCATGTAGTTTCCGTGCGATCCCCAATACCTTTGCCGTTTTCTGTACCAAGGCAGCCAAAAACGCAGGCCCGTTGTCTGAGCCGATCCATAAGGGCGGTCGAAATCTAGGAATCACATCTCGAAGAAGCACAGGGATTACTTCACCAGCTTTCTCAGTTCGTGTTGGATAGGCCTCCACCCACCCAGAGTAGGTACGCCCAAGAACCAGTACATGCTTGTTACCTCCACACTTTGGCATCTCCGTGAAGTCCACCTGGAGACCTTCAAAGGGGGCTGCTCCACAAGCTCGTATGCCGGGCGGAACGGCTGGACCTTGACTCCCATCTTGCTGTCAGCAGGTAACACACCGCTGCCTCACCGTTTTGGCAAGGGTTGACAAAGGCGAGATGTAGAAATACCGGCCTAACAACTTTTCCAGTGACTCCTGACCTCGATGGGTGTTTTCTTGCACAGCCAGTACAACTGCAGCTCCTAGCAGCTGTGGCACAGCTACTCTCCTATCTGGTAACTGAATCCATCCTTCCTCCATCACTTGTCCTTCCCTCTACCTGGAGAAAGTCCTTTCTTCTTTAGAAGAAGCAGGTCCAAGATCAGGTGTTTGAGGGAGCACTGATGCCCAGAAGGGGGCAGTTGCTGCTTTTCGAGCCTCTGACTCAGCGCGGGAATTCCCCAAACACAGCAAGGTGGAAGCTCGCTGGTGTCCTCTGCAATGCCTAACTGCCACCTTGTGGGGTTTCCATACTGCTTCTAATCATTGCAAGATTTCTTGTGGATATTTTCTGTCTTTCCCCCCAGAATTCAATAGGCCCTTTTCTTTCTATCACACTCCATGCACTTGAAGGGTTAAAAAGACATACCGAGAATCAGTGTAAGTGTTGACAGTCTCACCCTCACTGAGTTCTAAGGCCCAAATGAAAGCATTGAGTTCAGCTTTCTGGGCTGAAGTGGCCTAGGGCAACGACCTGGTTTCAACAACAGTGTCCAGAGTTATCACTGCATACCCTGCACCTCTCTCTCCTTGGGGGTTGAAGAAGCTGCTCCCATCCACGTGTGGCTCCCAGTCTACTGATGCCCAAGTCTGGTCCCGGAGCTCAGGTCTGCTAGAGTCAATTGAGTCCAACACTTCTACACAATCAGGCTCGACAGGGCTCCCTGATACCGGCAGCAAGGTGGCGGGGTGTAGGGTGTTACAAACTTCAATGGTTATACGGGGATTTTCACAGACCAAAGTTTGGTACTTGGTGAGCCTGGCATTCGTTAGCCAATGACGTCCTTTAGTATTCATCACCACAGCACGGGAGGCCTTTATGTTCAGGTTTCGCCCAAGAGTCAGCTTATTTGCTTCTTGTACTAGCAGGGCAGTTGCTGCCAAGGCCCTCCAACAGGGGGGCCATCCTTTAGAAACTCCGTCTAGTGGTTTACAGAGGTAGGCCACCAGCCTCAGCCAGGGCCCCACAGTTTGGGTTCAAAGTCCAGCTGCCATCCTTTCTCTCTCTGATGCATACAATGGAAAAGGCTTTGTCAGATCGGGTAGCCTCAGGGCTGGTGCTGCCAGAAGTTTTTCCTTTAACTCATGAAATACTTGCTGTTGTTGGGATCCTCATTCCAAAGATTCCCCGTCCCCGCCCCCCTTGTGACCTCATACAAAAACTTGGCTAATACTGCAAAGTTTGGGATCCACAGTCTACAAAACCCCACAGCTCCTAAGAATTCTCCTACCTGCCTTCTGCTCTTAGGCTCCGCTAGATGGCAAATGACCTGCTTTCTTTCTGATCTCGGGCTGCGTTCCGACCCCTGTCGGATAGTAAATCCCAAGTAACGTACCTGCTGTCGGCAGATCTGAGCTTTCTTCTTGGACACCTTCTACCCACAGTCCTCCAGGTGCGGTGTAGGGCATCTGTTCCCTTGGCACACCCGACTGCCGTGGGGTGTCCCAGCAGAAGGTCATCAACCTACTGGAGCAACAAGCAGCCTAGGTCTCTGCTAGGAAACTTCTGGAGGTCTCGAGCCCATGCCTCCCCGAAGATGGTGGGGGAGTTCTTGAACCTTTGGGGAAGCCCGGTCCAAGTGTACTAAGTAGTGACACCTGACTCCGGATCTTCCCACTGAAAGGCAAACAGCTTCTGCCTCTCAGGGGCTAATCTGATAGGAAGGAAAGCGTCTTTTAGGTCCAAGCAGGTGAACCAGCTGTCCTCAGCTGGCGGCAACCCCAACAATGTGGACGGGTTAGGTACTGTTGGATGTAAAGTCAGTGTGGCTTGATGAAGCAAGCGCAAATCCTGTACCGGCCGGTAGTCCTTGGTCCGTGGCTTGGGAACAGGCAGGAGGGGAGTGTTCCATGGAGACTGACAAGGAACAATCATTCCAAACGTTCTTAGGTGCTTGAGATGGACCTGGATACCTTGAAGGGCTTCTCTGGGGACCGAGTCCTGTTTTTGCCTCACCGGCTGGGCCCCAGTCTTAACTGGCCAATCCTGGAGGGTTCTCTTCTGCCCGAACTCTTGGCCAGCGCTTAGCCAGAGCTGGTCTTTTCTCTTTGCCCGGGTCAGTTCAGAAAAGTCTCCATTCCTCCTCTCGGGGGACCATAAGCGTCATAATGACTCCCATTCCGGGTAACTTTAGCAGCAAAGAGCCGTGCTCTGTGAAAGAGGCAGTGGCTCTCAGCTTGCTGAGCAAGTCCCTTCCTGAAAAGTTCAAGAGACTGTCAGGCATGTAACAAAACTGATGAATGACTTTATGTCCTCCTACAGGACAAGTCCAAGGCAAGCAGAAAGCTTGCTTTGCTGAAACCCCCGTGGCTCCGATGACGTCAGTAGTCTTTTTCGGTAAGGGGACGACCGGGGCGGTTACTAGCGAATGTTCAGCACCGCTATCTACAAGAAAGTTAATGTCTCCACCCCTGACTGTCATTCTGAACAGATGTCAGAATGGGGATGCTTGAGCCCGGTCTCCCTCAGTCCAAGAACCCTTCTGCCAGGTTGAGCAGGGCCCCTTCCTCCTTGTCCGGGGCCTCCGGCTCTGAGTCACCTTCTTTTGAGCTGAGGGCATTTGTTCTTCCACTGTCCTATTTCTTTACAATCAGCACACTGGTTACGCTGCAAACTCTGACAGCCAAGCTGAGTTTCTTTCCCAGGGCCCCCTTTCCCTTGCCTCTTTGCGGGGGCCCCTCTGATTGCTGCAGCTGACAAACAGGTCGGCGTGTGGCCGGGCCTGACCTCCATCCTCTTTGCCGTTTTCCTTACGGCTTACTGCATACCTGTTTACAAACACCTGGCTAGCTATTTCTAGTAATTGGGATGGATTCTTCCCTGCAAGCCCAGTCTGTTTCTGCAGTTTTCTTCTCATGTCTTCTGCACTTTGATGGACTAAAGCCATGTGAATCATGCGCTGATTTTCAGGGCTATCGGGATCAAAGGGAGTATACATATGATAGGCCTCATACAGTCTCTCGTAGAATTGTGCTGGACTTTCTTCTTTTCCCTGAATGACCTCAGAGAGCTTGTTAACGTTTGTGGCCTTCTGAGCTCCCCTCATTAATCCTTCCAAGAGAGCTTCCCTGTCTCGGTTTAGCCTTTGCATCTCCTCTCTTTCATGTGGGTCCAACTGGGGGTCGGTTCCTGGCAACTGGGTCCTTCCATACTGTTCGGGGTTTTGATAATCAGCTGGTGCATGTTCCTCTAGCCACTTAGTTGCTGCTTGGAGGACTCTCTGCCTTTCTTCACTGTTAAAGAGGAAAATGAGCAACTGGTGCCAATCGGTCCAGGTGTGGTTGTGGGTCTGGATAACAGTTTGGAGCAAATCAATTAGGGCTTGTGGCTTTTCGGTATAGGGCGATGTATTGTTTTTCCAGTTGAGAAGGTCGACGCAGGTGAAGGGCTGGTACCCAAAAATACGTCTCTCCACTACATGAGCATTTTCATCTATCCCAGTATACCGCTGCTCTCTCAGGGGCATTTGTGTCCCCGTTTTGGGTCGTAAACGAGCTGCCGAGGAAGGGGTGGAATGGCGCAATGCGACTTACCGCAATTAATAATCTCAATTATTAACTGACACTAATAATTATCAATATTAATAACCCATAATATAATTTTTAAAATCAATACGGATACTAATGATAATTAATATTAAATAGTTATACTAACAATAACAATACATGATTAATATTGATGATTATGACGCCTGATATTAATAACTGATACTGATCTTATTCTTTAGAAAATAGTAATATTAGCTCCTAATAATTAATATTAATATTAATAATCTGAGAACTTTTTATTAGCAATTACTTCTTAATATTAATATTAATATCGGCCATTCATATTCATGTTAATAAAAAACAAGGAATAATTCATACTAATAGTATGCCCTAATACCTCAGTGGGTGTACACCCACCTGTGATATTGTTCCTAATGTTCAGGGAGGGAGAGAGCATGATATTACGTTCAATATCGCAGCAGGTGCACACCCAGCCGGTGATATTGATCCGAATATAATCTCCAGGGGGTGGAGTATGACATTACTCCCAATATAGCACTGGGTGTGCATCCACCCGGTGATTTTGTTCCTAATATTCATGGAAGAAGAGAATGCTATTACTCCCAACATCGTAGGAAGTGTACACCCCCGTGTGACATGGTTCTTAATAATATTCCAAGGCGGAGGGGGTGATATGACTACACATATGGCAGAAAGTGGACACCCCCAAGGATATTGTTCCCACGATCCTGGAGGGAAGAGGATGATATTGCTTTCAGTATCACAGAAGGTGGACACGCCCCCACTGATATTGTTTCTAATTGCAACGTGGGAGAGGAGGATATGACACGCGATATCCCAGGGAGTAGAAACACCCCTGTGATACTGTTCTTAATATTCAGAGAGGAAGAGGATGATATGACTCCCAATACAGACGGGTGTACAACCTCTGTACGCCGGGGTGAACACCGGTGGGTGAAACAGTTCACAATCTCCAGAGCGGGAGACGATATTACTCACAATATGATAAACAGGCTGTGAGTCCACCGCGGATCCTAAAAACCAGGGGGGCAAGAGGGGTTAGCTCTTACTCTCCGCATGGCGGGGCGTGCCTCACCCCCTGCGATGGGGGTCCTAAGAGCCAGGAGGTAAGATGGGAAGGCTCTTAATACCCGCATCAAGGGGCGTGCCTCACACCACTGCGATGGGGGTCCTGAGAGCCAGGGGGGCAAGAGGGGCTGGCTCTTACCCCAAGCATAGCAGGACGTGACTCACCCCGCTGCGATGGGGGAAACTAAGAGCCAGGGGGGCAAGAGGGTTTGGCTCTTACAACCCGAAACGGGGGGAGTGCCTCACACCCTGCGATGCGGGTCCTAAGAGCCAGGGAGGCAAGGTGGGATGCGGGAGACAGTGGCTGTCCTCCATCTAAATTGCAAGAGGCTTTCCTCTTTGACTACTCCACCTCGGCACAGACCCTTTACGGGTCTCAGGCTGGGGGCCAGTCAGGTATTTCCCATCCCACAGGGCCATATTTCAGACTGTTACATGGGGAGAAACCTTGGACAATAACCTGCTTTCAAGGGTAGAGGTCGCTGCGGCTTTCCACGGTGCATAGTGCCCCTGGTTTATTGAAACTAGAGAATGGCAATGACTTTTACCAAGTATACTGCTTGTAAACATTTGGTTAACAAAGCACGTCCTGCACAGCCCTAGATCCCCTAAACCTCGATTTTATACAACACAGGTTTTCTGAGCTCCAAGTTGGGTCAAAGGGGCTGGGGCAAAGTGGATGAGGCAAGGCAACAAATGAACAACATCTCAGCAAAGCAATTGTTTAAACTACAGGTCTTTTTCAAAATGGAGTCTCTTATGTCTTCCCCTTCTACATAGACACAGTGACAGTCTGATCTCTCTTTCTTTACCCTACATCCAAGGGCTTGAACATTTCTTGACTTGTTGGCAATCCAAATCGTTACGTCTCCGAAACAGAGTTGACTGAGGGGACCGCAGGGCTGGGCAGGACCTTTGACTTGCTATACATCCACAGGAGCAAGAAAACCTCAGCCCCACTCTACCAACACGCACCTAGTAAAATTCCGCCAACCGCATCTCACGCACGCTAACACGTGGGGAGCGTTGCTTGCACCACGAGTCCCCATTTGGCTCAACCGCCGATGCCAAGTGTGTGGTTCCAGTTGCGACGGCCCCCCGTGAAGTGGCTTCCGGATGTGCGAAGGAACCAGGCAGAGTTTCACTGGCCAAATAGACCCCAGCAAAGCTGAAGTTAACTCCCACATTCGGGATGTACTTCAGAGGTAAAACATTCATCCCGTCTTCTTTCCGGATGTCTGACACCATGGTTCTCCCCCTGATCCTAAGAGTAGCTGAGGTAGAGACTCACTGAAAGATCTAGGCAGGGATATCCCATCATGCACAGGCTCTCTCCATTCTCTGACCTGGGAACAACTCTCAGCAGGATTCCACATCTAGGAGGCCTCGGAACTCAGTGGGATTTTCTGAGACACACCAACTGGCTGCTCCCTCTCCGCCGCTGTTGAGGGTCGTTATCTTGATTATCCAGATCACCTAGAAAGTATCCGTATCCAGAATGAATAAGATCAACTCTCTGCTCCTCTGACAGCAGAGGGAGCAGGACCATAAGGAACCAAAGAGCGTGGAAGGAAACGATGTGACAGGAAAGCTCAGAGAACCGCCACAGGGGGTCGTCAGCAGGCCTTCCAACCTGAATCATGAATAATTAATGAAGCGCAAATCAAAGGGGACTGGAGTTTCAGCAGGAGCAATTCATCCAACGGGAGATCGCCGGAGGGCCAACAAGATTGAGAGACTGGGAGCCGGGTGCAGTGTCAAAGGGGACGCGACTGGTTCCAAAGCTCGAGAAGACCATGGGGTCACTTGGGCTACATGAGAAAACGCCCCAGTGTGCTGGTTCATCATTCCGACTCCTGCCTGTCTCTTCCCGTCCAAGGAACATGGACCCTAAGTCGTGCAGGTGCGGATGACCACGGGCAGAATTAGGGGCCGTGGCACAAAAGTTCACCGACACGGGAGTTCCACAGAAGGTGCGGTGGATCTTCGCAAATCCAGAGACATGGCAATGGGACCCAGGGAATTACAGCCTCACAGGCGTCCGGGAGACTTTTCAGGCATAATGCCTGGAGTCGCAAGAGGAGCTGAAAAAGGAGCCAGGCACTGAAGGACAAAGCGTTGTTGACTTTCCTCATCTGTGTTTCCCAGTGCGGTCCAATTCACGGTGGTTTCCAAGCGCCTCCTGGGGGAGAAAACACATGAGGGTGCGGTCAGGGTTCTCTGCTGACAGACTTACCTTGGGGAAGAAAGAGAAGCTCTGAAGATGGATCATGGCCGTGACTGCATGTCAAGGAGAGTCTCCTTGATGACACTGAGGCCTACGTCGAGAGAGACAAAATGTGGTCCAATTAAAAGGTGTCTATTTTACCACATTTTTTAAAACGAAACAAAACAAAACAACAAAAAAGATGGAAAAGAAGACAGGGGTACAGGCACCAGTGTTACATGTCTGACGGGGAACATCTATTGTTCAAAGCTTGCAGCTGTACAAGTAGGTTTTAGAATGTCTGTCAGCAGTGGACAGGATCTTAGAGTGGGCTGTGCAGATAGACCTTTCCAGGTCATGTAATTGGATTAAGTTAATTGCAATTAAGGTACAGGTAACTGATTAGGTTAGGGTACGTTCCATGTCAGGTGACCAGAGGCAGTATAAAAGGCAGCCTGGAAAGCAGAGGTCCCTCTCCGCCCCTTCCTCCGTCGTTCTGGATGCTGCATCGCTTCCAGCCGGGCTGCTGCAGCACCTGCCCATCTCAGCGCCAGCCTGGGAAAGAAAGTAGACGTGTAATTTCAGGTTGGTTTCGCTGAACAATTGTTTCTTTCACGCAATCCCTGGGGGGTATTTGCGGGGGGTGTGGGGGAGGAAGAGACAAAGGAGGCCGAAAGAAACCGATCACACTGGGGCTTGCTGGTGGGGTAGGATGTGTTCTCGTTACTAGTAATTCTTGGAACAGAAAACGAGACAACATATCCGTCTCCACGTGTGGGAGAAGACCAAGATGGGAATGCGAAAAGAAATGTACTGCAGCATGCTGAATTGGTGGGTAAATGGAAACAGGACTTTGGAAAAAAGGGGGGTTTGCCCTTCAGCCGTGTAAGACGTCGATACGATACGGCACTTCTTCCCCGTTTGTTCAGATGAATTCGTGTGGTGTGCGTAAAATACCAGGAAAATAAATAAAGAGGGGCTGGAGCTAAAGCCAAAAGATAGAACAGGAAAGATCCTCACCTGCTAGTGCGGTAGAGAGGAAGGTAACTTCTCTGTATGAATTTGTGCTTGGAAGTTGCCTAATGAAATGGCAAGAGTAGCGATTCAAGTTGTCACAGGAAGCATCCCTTATCCGTGACTTCAAGCAGACCTGCCAAAGGGTGGCACACGCCATGCCCTGTGTCTTCGATCATTCTGTCCGTCAAGGGAGATAGAATCACCGTGTCTTCTACCGGAGTGAATCGTGAGAGACCTAAGTCCAGTCTCCAGAATCAGTTGTTTGTTTGGGGTTGAAAGCTCAACCCCCCCATACCTAGGCCACGGGCCCTGTGGCAGGTGGGGTTTACTCTTGGACTAGGTAGTCATGGCAGAGGAACACACAATATCCGAGGATGCGCACAGCACATTGTGTTCTACAGATTTGACCGACTGGTGGTGAGGTCTCCTCATGACCACACAGGCAGGGAGTTAGCAGGTGGCTTCCTGTGGGTGTGTGAATATCCAACGTGCTTAACCATCGACATGTGTGTGTTTGTGTGTGTTTCAGGTGGCCCAACAGTCCACCCCTGAAAAAGGCGGTCATAAAACCCCCAGGAGACGAAGATGATGGCACGTCGGGACCCCAAATCTTGGGCCAAGAGACTGGTGAGAGCCCAGACCCTCCAGAAGCAGCGGAGGGCCCCAGTTGGGCCAAGGGCTCCCCCGCCCGATGAAGAAGATCCCAGGGTAAGTGTAGCCCTGGATCTCTTGGGTATCGGGGTGGGGGTGGGGACGGGGGGAGGGGCTGTCCCACGGTCCTCAGAGACTGGGTTGGATTCCAAAGAGTTCTGTCACCACCAGCCAGGTTGCTTTTCCCATCCAAGGTGGGCGTGGCTTGGGACCTTCTCCCCGGCCCGATAGGTCCCTTGAGAGACTCTTGGGGGCAACCTCCCTTTCTACTTAGAGTCCTGTGTAGCCACGTTTGGCTGCGTTGTTGACATCGGCTTCACCATCGTGCCCCTTGGAACCTTGAGTCCTTCCTTTCAGAGTTCCTCCGTCACATGGGCTTTGCGAGGGAACATCGTATCCGAAGTCTCCCAGCACTTAACGGCCCCCATGCCGGTGTCCCCTCTTTGGAATCCTTATTCAGCTCTGAATTCACAATCCGTCCCAATGTTGACGTGGGATCGCTGCCTGTGGCTTCAGCTCACTCACTGACATCACTTCCTTTCCACCCGCAGCTCAAGTGCAAAAACTGCGGGGCCTTTGGCCACACGGCCAGAAGTACCAGGTGCCCCATGAAGTGCTGGAAGGCAGCCCTGGTTCCAGCGACCTTGGGGAAAAAGGAAGGGAAGGAAAACCTGAAACCATGGAAGCCCCGGGGTGAAGCCAACCCGGGGCCCTTGAACAAGGATAAGGGAGAGAAGGAAGAGAGACCAAGGTGAGCAGTGGGAGGGGTTTTCACCACTCTTAGGGTACGGCCTCCCAAGGACATGGTGTCTCTGCACCTGCACACCGTGTGCCTTTCCGTCTCCGGGCCAGGGAAGGAACGCTGCAGAGAAATAGGCCGGAGCTCCGTGTCCTCCGGGGTTCCACACCCAGGAGCTCCTTGGGCTCTGGGAGATTCAGGGACGGGGAGAGGCGGGGGCGCTTCGTGCAGGTTCCCCACGACAGCGGGAAAAGCGATGGAATCCAAATCACAGTCCTTAGTTGGGAAGCCTAGAGGGCCACCTGGAGGATGGGAAGGTTGGCACGTGAGGGAAGGTGCAGAGGCGGAAAGGGCACCAGATGTCCATTTCTGTATCACAAAACACGGAATGGGGCTGGGCCCCAGACGGGGTTCTCCCTGTCTCCTGGGGAAAACCAGGGGGCACGGCCTGACCTTCTTCTGTTCTGCAGGCAACAAGACCCGCAGAGGAAGGCTCTCCTCCACATGTTTTCCGGGAAACCTCCAGAGAAGCCGCTGCCGAATGGAAAAGGATCCACGGAATCTTCTGATTATCTGAGGGCGAGTGTCACCCCGGGCCCCTGGTCTTTTTCTCCTCTAGGTCACCCTGGTTGATTTCCTTTCAGCTTCCCGTCTGCGGGAGGAAATCGGGGAACCCCTCTTTCTTGCCTTCTTGGGGTCAGGGACTCCACGATCCTTCCAGGTCAATTGGATTCCAGGCGAAGGCATCTGAACATGCCGTATTTCCTGTTGCTTTCTTTCTGTCCAATTATGGCAAGCCTGCCAACAACACGTTCCTAGCGGCATGAGGAAATTAGTCCCTCAGAGGCCCCAAACGTGGAGAAGGCGAAACCCAGGAACATGCATGTGTTCAGAGAAGACGTCCCGAGTACCCTTGAGCCAGCAACCTGCCTTGGGAAGGGCATTAGTCCGTTCCACTTCATGGAAGGCTGAGTGGAGGCGCTTTGATCCAGTTAATGCCCAAGACGCGATCTTTTGAACAATGGTGTGCTTAGATCAGCTACACATAGCTCGAGAGCGCATCTTTCATGTGTCTTGTCCTGATCAGCACTCAGGTGGAGGGTCTGTCCCTACTTCCAAGGACCGCCTGTCGATACTGTACTAAGAATTTCATGGCGTGTGCACCTTGTCTTTGGATGTGCTTGATTTTCACGTTGGCTCCATGCTGAGGAACTTCTAACCTGTGTTGTTTCCTCTCTTTCAGGTTGCAAGCGGGCCAATGCCGGTCCACACAACCAGTAAGAGGCCGCGCTTGGACCCTGTCCTCGCTGATCGCTCAGCTACCGCAATGTCTGGCAGGGGCTCCGTCTTGGCTTCACTGTCTCCCCTCAGAAAAGCCAGCCTGAGCTCCTCCTCAAGTCTTGGACCAAAGGAAAGACAGACAGGGGCTGCGGCCGACATGCCTCAGCCTGCAGTCAGGCACCAGGGCCGCGAGCCTCTCCTCGTGGTGAAGCCGACACACAGCCGCCCCGAGGGTGGCTGCCGAGAAGTTCCCCAGGCTGCCTCCAAAACCCACGGCCTGCTCCAGGCCGCCAGACCCCAGGCACAAGACAAACGTCCTGCGGTGACCTCACAGCCCTGCCCGCCAGCCGCCACACACAGCTTGGGCCTAGGCTCCAATCTCAGCTTCGGGCCAGGAGCCAAGAGACCTGCCCAGGCTCCGATTCAGGCTTGCCTGAACTTCCCCAAGAAACCGAGACTGGGTCCCTTCCAGATCCCCGAAAGCGCCATCCAGGGAGGTGAGCTGGGGGCCCCGGAGAATCTCCAACCTCCGCCAGCCGCAACCGAACTTGGACCAAGTACGTCGCCCCAGATGGGCAGGAGGACACCGGCCCAGGTGCCCAGCGTCGACCGGCAGCCTCCGCACAGCAGACCTTGCCTGCCTACTGCCCAGGCCTGCACCATGTCCCATCACTCAGCGGCCAGCCATGATGGGGCCCAGCCTCTCAGAGTGCTCTTCCGGAGACTGGAAAACGGACGCTGGAGCTCCAGCCTCCTGGCGGCCCCCTCATTTCACTCTCCTGAGAAGCCGGGAGCCTTCCTCGCTCAGAGCCCTCATGTGTCAGAGAAGTCTGAGGCTCCCTGTGTTCGTGTCCCACCGAGCGTCCTCTATGAGGACCTTCAGGTTTCCTCCTCCTCAGAGGACAGCGATTCTGACCTGGAGTGAGACTGCAGGTGGCAGGGGCTCCTTGGCCTCCGGCTCCCGTGACTTGGAGGGGACTGTGGGACTGAGGAGCGCAGAGCAGAGAGCACACTCTGTGCGGTGACTCCGAAGCTCCCCGGCTGTGGCGCTTCTGTGGATGTGGGAGCCCAGGCCAGGCAGGGAGCAGATGCAGGGACTCTGCCTCATTGAATTCTGGTGAGGGACGTTGTAGTTGGCGTGGTTCTCCGGAAACGCGCCAGGAAAAGCTTCCGTGCCAGAGATTCGTTGCCTCAGAAACTGCGTGACGCGCAGGAGTCAGACTTCCGCTGGGACGTCAATAGGAAACTGGGGAATTACTGTGTATTTGCTCTCTAGATGACTGAATAAGGGAAAAGTTAGGGAACCCTGAGAGGTGCAGCCCTTCCGCTGTGCCCCGCCCTGAGAGCAGAGTTTCGGACGCTGGGAAGCGTGCTGTGCGAAGCGCTCTCGGGGTCTTTCCTCAGCCTCGAAAACTGGGCTCTGGAATGCCTTTGTACATATGTGTGTTTAATGTGTTTTGAAGTGAATAAAATTCTCAAGAAGATGACATATTGTCTTTTGACTCTCATTCCGTGTTTGTGTGTAACTGATTTTCCAAGTGAAGGGGTGGCCTGCCCCTCCACACCTGTGGGTGTTTCTAGTCGGGTGGGATGAGAGACGGAGAAAAGAAATCAGACACAGAGACAAAGTATAGGGAGACAACAGTGGGTCCAGGGGACCGGCACCCAGCACACCTAGGACCTGCACCGGCACCGGCCTCTGAGTTCCCGCAGTTTTTATTGATTGTGATTTTCATTATTTCAGCACAAAGGAATGCAGTAGGGGAGCAGGGTGATAATAAGGGGAAGGTCAACAAAAACAACACAAAACAAACACGTGAGCAAAAGAATCCATATCATTATTAAGTTCAAGGGAAGGTACTATGCCTGGACGTGCACGTAGGCCAGATTTATGTTTCTCTCCACACAAATATCTCAGCGGAGTAAAGAATAACAAGGCAGCATTACTGCCAACATGTCTCGCCTCCCGCCACAGGGCAGCTTTTCTCCGAGCTCAGAGTTGAACAAATGTACGATCGGGCTTTACACCGAGACATTCAGTTCCCAGGGGCAAGCAGGAGACAGTGGCCTTCCTCCATCTGAACTGCAAGAGGCGTTCCTCTTTGACTAATCCACCTCAGCACAGACCCATTGCGGGTGTCAGGCTGGGGGACATTCAGGACTTTCCCATCCCACGAGGCCATATTTCAGACTGTCACATGGGGAGAAACCTTGGACAATACCCTGCTTTCAAGGGCAGAGGTCCCTGTGGCTTTCCACGGTGCATTGCGCCCCTGGTTTATTGAGACTAGAGAATGGCAATGACTTCTACCAAGTATACTGCTCGTAAACATTTGGTTAACAAGGCGCGTCCTGCACAGCCCTAGATCCCTTAAACCTCGATTTTATACAACACAGGTTTTTGTGAGCTCCAAGTTGGGTCAAAGGAAGGGGCTGCGGCAAGGCAACAAATGAACAACATCTCAGCAAAGCAATTGTTTAAACTACAGGTCTTTTTCAAAATGGAGTCTCTTATGTCTTCCCCTTCTACATAGACACAGTGACAGTCTGATCTCTCTTTCTTTACCCTACATCCAAGGGCTTGAACATTTCTTGACTTGTTGGCAATCCAAATCGTTACGTCTCCGAAACAGAGTTGACTGAGGGGACCGCAGGGCTGGGCAGGACCTTTGACTTCCTATACATCCACAGGAGCAAGAAAACCTCAGCCCCACTCTACCAACACGCACCTAGTAAAATTCCGCCAACCGAATCTCACGCACGCTAACACGTGGGGAGCGTTGCTTGCACCACGAGTCCCCATTTGGCTCAACCGCCGATGCCAAGTGTGTGGTTCCAGTTGCGACGGCCCCCCGTGAAGTGGCTTCCGGATGTGCGAAGGAACCAGGCAGAGTTTCACTGGCCAAATAGACCCCAGCAAAGCTGAAGTTAACTCCCACATTTGGGATGTACTTCAGAGGTAAAACATTCATCCCGTCTTCTTTCCGGATGTCTGACACCATGGTTCTCCCCCTGATCCTAAGAGTAGCTGAGGCAGAGACTCACTGAAAGATCTAGGCGGGGATATCCCATCATGCACAGGCTCTCTCCATTCTCTGACCTGGGAACAACTCTCAGCAGGATTCCACATCTAGGAGGCCTCGGAACTCAGCGGGATTTTCTGAGACACACCAACTGGCTGCTCCCTCTCCGCCGCTGTTGAGGGTCGTTATCTTGATTATCCAGATCACCTAGAAAGTATCCGTATCCAGAATGAATAAGATCAACTCTCTGCTCCTCTGACAGCAGAAGGAGCAGGACCGTAAGGAACCAAAGAGCGTGGAAGGAAACGATGTGACAGGAAAGCTCAGAGAACGGCCACAGGGGGTCGTCAGCAGGCCTTCCAACCTGAATCATGAATAATTAATGAAGCGCAAATCAAAGGGGACTCGAGTTTCAGCAGGAGCAATTCATCCAACGGGAGATCGCCGGAGGGCCAACAAGATTGAGTGACTGGGAGCCGGGTGCAGTGTCAAAGGGGACGCGACTGGTTCCAAAGCTCGAGAAGACCATGGGGTCACTTGGGCTACATGAGAAAACGCCCCAGTGTGCTGGTTCATCATTCCGACTCCTGCCTGTCTCTTCCCGTCCAAGGAACATGGACCCTAAGTCGTGCAGGTGCGGATGACCATGGGCAGAATTAGGGGCCGTGGCACAAAAGTTCACCGACACGGGAGTTCCACAGAAGGTGCGGTGGATCTTCGCAAATCCAGAGACATGGCAATGGGACCCAGGGAATTAGAGCCTCACAGGCGTCCGGGAGACTTTTCAGGCATAATGCCTGGAGTCGCAAGAGGAGCTGAAAAAGGAGCCAGGCACTGAAGGACAAAGCGTTGTTGACTTTCCTCATCTGTGTTTCCCAGTGCGGTCCAATTCACGGTTGTTTCCAAGCGCCTCCTGGGGGAGAAAACACATGAGGGTGCGGTCAGGGTTCTCTGCTGACAGACTTACCTTGGGGAAGAAAGAGAAGCTCTGAAGATGGATCATGGCCGTGACTGCATGTCAAGGAGAGTCTCCTTGATGACACTGAGGCCTACGTCGAGATAGACAAAATGTGGTCCAATTAAAAGGTGTCTATTTTACCACATTTTTTAAAACAAAACAAAACAAAACAACAAAAAAGATGGAAAAGAAGACAGGGGTACAGGCACCAGTGTTACATGTCTGACGGGGAACATCTATTGTTCAAAGCTTGCAGCTGTACAAGTAGGTTTTA
Organism: Homo sapiens; assembly: GCF_000001405.40. NCBI lineage: Eukaryota > Metazoa > Chordata > Mammalia > Primates > Hominidae > Homo > Homo sapiens. The sequence goes on from NW_018654717.1 coordinate 658,332, forward strand.
GAATGTCTGTCAGCAGTGGACATGATCTTAGAGTGGGCTGTGCAGATAGACCTTTCCAGGTCATGTAATTGGATTAAGTTAATTGCAATTAAGGTACAGGTAACTGATTAGGTTAGGGTACGTTCCATGTCAGGTGACCAGAGGCAGTATAAAAGGCAGCCTGGAAAGCGGAGGTCCCTCTCCGCCCCTTCCTCCGTCGTCCTGGATGCTGCATCGCTTCCAGCCGGGCTGCTGCAGCACCTGCCCATCTCAGCGCCAGCCTGGGAAAGAAAGTAGACGTGTAATTTCAGGTTAGTTTCGCTGAACAATTGTTTGTTTCACGCAATCCCTGAGGGGTTTTTGCGGGGGGTGTGGGGGAGGAAGAGACAAAGGAGGCCGAAAGAAACCGATCACACTGGGGCTTGCTGGTGGGGTAGGATGTGTTCTCGTTACTAGTAATTCTTGGAACAGAAAACGAGACAACATATCCGTCTCCACGTGTGGGAGAAGACCAAGATGGGAATGCGAAAAGAAATGTACTGCAGCATGCTGAATTGGTGGGTAAACGGAAAAAGGACTTTGGAAAAAAGGGGGGTTTGCCCTTCAGCCGTGTAAGACGTCGATACGATACGGCACTTCTTCCCCGTTTGTTCAGATGAATTCGTGTGGTATGCGTAAAATACCAGGAAAATAAATAAAGAGGGGCTGGAGCTAAAGCCAAAAGATAGAACAGGAAAGACCATCACCTGCTAGTGCGGTAGAGAGGAAGGTAACTTCTCTGTATGAATTTGTGTTTGGAAGTTGCCTAATGAAATGGCAAGAGTAGCGATTCAAGTTGTCACAGGAAGCATCCCTTATCCGTGACTTCAAGCAGACCTGCCAAAGGGTGGCACACGCCATGCCCTGTGTCTTCGATCATTCTGTCCGTCAAGGGAGATAGAATCACCGTGTCTTCTACCGGAGTGAATCGTGAGAGACCTAAGTCCAGTCTCCAGAATCAGTTGTTTGTTTGGGGTTGAAAGCTCAACCCCCCATACCTAGGCCACGGGCCCTGTGGCAGGTGGGGTTTACTCTTGGACTAGGTAGTCATGGCAGAGGAACACACAATATCCGAGGATGCGCACAGCACATTGTGTTCTACAGATTTGACCGACTGGTGGTGAGGTCTCCTCATGACCACACAGGCAGGGAGTTAGCAGGTGGCTTCCTGTGGGTGTGTGAATATCCAACGTGCTTAACCATCGACATGTGTGTGTTTGTGTGTGTTTCAGGTGGCCCAACAGTCCACCCCTGAAAAAGGCGGTCATAAAACCCCCAGGAGACGAAGATGATGGCACGTCGGGACCCCAAATCTTGGGCCAAGAGACTGGTGAGAGCCCAGACCCTCCAGAAGCAGCGGAGGGCCCCAGTTGGGCCAAGGTCTCCCCCGCCCGATGAAGAAGATCCCAGGGTAAGTCTAGCCCTGGATCTCTTGGGTATCGGGGTGGGGGTGGGGACGGGGGGAGGCGGTGTCCCACGGTCCTCAGAGACTGGGTTGGATTCCAAAGAGTTCTGTCACCACCAGCCAGGTTGCTTTTCCCATCCAAGGTGGGCGTGGCTTGGGACCTTCTCCCCGGCCCGATAGGTCCCTTGAGAGACTCTTGGGGGCAACCTCCCTTTCTACTTCGAGTCCTGTGTAGCCACGTTTGGCTGCGTTGTTGACATCGGCTTCACCATCGTGCCCCTTGGAACCTTGAGTCCTTCCTTTCAGAGTTCCTCCGTCACAAGGGCTTTGCGAGGGAACATCGTATCCGAACTCTCCCAGCACTTAACGGCCCCCATGCCGGTGTCCCCTCTTCGGAATCCTTATTCAGCTCTGAATTCACAATCCGTCCCAATGTTGACGTGGGATCGCTGCCTGTGGCTTCAGCTCACTCACTGACATCACTTCCTTTCCACCCACAGCTCAAGTGCAAAAACTGCGGGGCCTTTGGCCACACGGCCAGAAGTACCAGGTGCCCCATGAAGTGCTGGAAGGCAGCCCTGGTTCCAGCGACCTTGGGGAAAAAGGAAGGGAAGGAAAACCTGAAACCATGGAAGCCCCGGGCTGAAGCCAACCCGGGGCCCTTGAACAAGGATAAGGGAGAGAAGGAAGAGAGACCAAGGTGAGCAGTGGGAGGGGTTTTCACCACTCTTAGGGTGCTGCCTCCTAAGGAGATGGTGTCTCTGCACCTGCACACCGTGTGCCTTTCCGTCTCCGGGCCAGGGAAGGAGCGCTGCAGAGAAATAGGCCGGAGCTCCGTGTCCTCCGGGGTTCCACACCCAGGAGCTCCTTGGGCTCTGGGAGATTCAGGGACGGGGAGAGGCGGGGGCGCTTCGTGCAGGTTCCCCACGACAGCGGGAAAAGCGATGGAATCCAAATCACAGTCCTTAGTCGGGAAGCCTAGAGGGCCACCTGGAGGATGGGAAGGTTGGCACGTGAGGGAAGGTGCAGAGGCGGAAAGGGCACCAGATGTCCATTTCTGTATCACAAAACACGGAATGGGGCTGGGCCCCAGACGGGGTTCTCCCTGTCTCCTGGGGAAAACCAGGGGGCACCGCCTGACCTTTTTCTGTTCTGCAGGCAACAAGACCCGCAGAGGAAGGCTCTCCTCCACATGTTTTCCGGGAAACCTCCAGAGAAGCCGCTGCCGAATGGAAAAGGATCCACGGAATCTTCTGAGCATCTGAGGGTGAGTGTCACCCCGGGCCCCTGGTCCTTTTCTCCTCTAGGTCACCCTGGTTGATTTCCTTTCAGCTTCCCGTCTGTGGGAGGAAATCGGGGAACCCCTCTTTCTTGCCTTCTTGGGGTCAGGGACTCCACAATCCTTCCAGGTCAATTGGATTCCAGGCGAAGGCATCTGAAGATGCCGTATTTCCTGTGGCTTTCTTTCTGTCCAATTATGGCAAGCCTGCCAACAACACGTTCCTAGCGGCATGAGGAAATTAGTCCCTCAGAGGCCCCAAACGTGGAGAAGGCTAAACCCAGGAACATGCATGTGTTCAGAGAAGACGTCCCGAGTACCCTTGAGCCACCAACCTGCCTCGGGAAGGGCATTAGTCCGTTCCACTTCATGGAAGGCTGAGTGGAGGCGCTTTGATCTAGTTAATGCCCAAGACGCGATCTTTTGAACAATGGTGTGCTTAGATCAGCTACACATAGCTCGAGAGCGCACCTTTCATGTGTCTTGTCCTGATCAGCACTCAGGTGGAGGGATCTGTCCCTACTTCCAAGGACCGCCTGTCGATACTGTACTAAGAATTTCATGGCGTGTGCACCTTGTCTTTGGATATGTTTGATTTTCACGTTGGCTCCATGCCGTGGAACTTCTAACCTGTGTTGTTTCCTCTCTTTCAGGTTGCAAGCGGGCCAATGCCGGTCCACACAACCAGTAAGAGGCCGCGCGTGGACCCTGTCCTCGCTGATCGCTCAGCTACCGAAATGTCTGGCAGGGGCTCCGTCTTGGCTTCACTGTCTCCCCTCAGAAAAGCCAGCCTGAGCTCCTCCTCAAGTCTTGGACCAAAGGAAAGACAGACAGGGGCTGCGGCCGACATCCCTCAGCCTGCATTCAGGCACCAGGGCCCCGAGCCTCTCCTCGTGGTGAAGCCGACACACAGCAGCCCTGAGGGTGGCTGCCGAGAAGTTCCCCAGGCTGCCTCCAAAACCCACGGCCTGCTCCAGGCCGTCAGACCCCAGGCACAAGACAAACGTCCTGCGGTGACCTCACAGCCCTGCCCGCCAGCCGCCACACACAGCTTGGGCCTAGGCTCCAATCTCAGCTTCGGGCCAGGAGCCAAGAGACCTGCCCAGGCTCCGATTCAGGCTTGCCTGAACTTCCCCAAGAAACCGAGACTGGGTCCCTTCCAGATCCCCGAAAGCGCCATCCAGGGAGGTGAGCTGCGGGCCCCGGAGAATCTCCAACCTCCGCCAGCCGCAACCGAACTTGGACCAAGTACGTCGCCCCAGATGGGCAGGAGGACACCGGCCCAGGTGCCCAGCGTCGACCGGCAGCCTCCGCACAGCACACCTTGCCTGCCTACTGCCCAGGCCTGCACCATGTCCCATCACCCAGCGGCCGGCCATGATGGGGCCCAGCCTCTCAGAGTGCTCTTCCGGAGACTGGAAAACGGACGCTGGAGCTCCAGCCTCCTGGCCGCCCCCTCATTTCACTCTCCTGAGAAGCCGGGAGCCTTCCTCGCTCAGAGCCCTCATGTGTCAGAGAAGTCTGAGGCTCCCTGTGTTCGTGTCCCACCGAGCGTCCTCTATGAGGACCTTCAGGTTTCCTCCTCCTCAGAGGACAGCGATTCTGACCTGGAGTGAGACTGCAGGTGGCAGGGGCTCCTTGGCCTCCAGCTCCCGTGACTTGGAGGGGACTGTGGGACTGAGGAGCGCAGAGCAGAGAGCACACTCTGTGCGGTGACTCCGAAGCTCCCCGGCTGTGGCGCTTCTGTGGATGTGGGAGCCCAGGCCAGGCAGGGAGCAGATGCAGGGACTCTGCCTCATTGAATTCTGGTGAGGGACGTTGTAGTTGGCGTGGTTCTCCCGAAACGCGCCAGGAAAAGCTTCCGTGCCAGAGATTCGTTGCCTCAGAAACTGCGTGACGCGCAGGAGTCAGACTTCCGCTGGGACGTCAATAGGAAACTGGGGAATTACTGTGTATTTGCTGTCTAGATGACTGAATAAGGGAAAAGTTAGGGAACCCTGAGAGGTGCAGCCCTTCCGCTGTGCCCCGCCCTGAGAGCAGTGTTTCGGACGCTGGGAAGCGTGCTGTGCGAAGCGCTCTCGGGGTCTTTCCTCAGCCTCGAAAACTGGGCTCTGGAATGCCTTTGTACATATGTGTGTTTAATGTGTTTTGAAGTGAATAAAATTCTCAAAAAGATGACATATTGTCTTTTGACTCTCATTCCGTGTTTGTGTGTAACTGATTTTCCAAGTGAAGGGGTGGCCCGCCCCTCCACACCTGTGGGTGTTTCTAGTCGGGTGGGATGAGAGACGGAGAAAAGAAATCAGACACAGAGACAAAGTATAGGGAGACAACAGTGGGTCCAGGGGACAGGCACTCAGCACACCTAGGACCTGCACCGGCACCGGCCTCTGAGTTCCCTCAGTTTTTATTGATTATGATTTTCATTATTTCAGCACAAAGGAATGCAGTAGGGGAGCAGGGTGATAATAAGGGGAAGGTCAACAACAACAACAAAAAACAAACACGTGAGCAAAAGAATCCATATCATTATTAAGTTCAAGGGAAGGTACTATGCCTGGACGTGCACGTAGGCCAGATTTATGTTTCTCTCCACACAAATATCTCAGCGGAGTAAAGAATAACAAGGCAGCATTACTGCCAACATGTCTCGCCTCCCGCCACAGGGCAGCTTTTCGCCGAGCTCAGAGTTGAACAAATGTACGATCGGGCTTTACACCGAGACATTCAGTTCCCAGGGGCAAGCAGGAGACAGTGGCCTTCCTCCATCTGAATTGCAAGAGGCGTTCCTCTTTGACTAATCCACCTCAGCACAGACCCATTGCGGGTGTCAGGCTGGGGGACATTCAGGACTTTCCCATCCCACGAGGCCATATTTCAGACTGTCACATGGGGAGAAACCTTGGACAATACCCTGCTTTCAAGGGCAGAGGTCCCTGTGGCTTTCCACGGTGCATTGCGCCCCTGGTTTATTGAGACTAGGGAATGGCAATGACTCCTACCAAGGATACTGCTCGTAAACATTTGGTTAACAAGGCGCGTCCTGCACAGCCCTAGATCCCTTAAACCTCGATTTTATACAACACAGGTTTTTGTGAGCTCCAAGTTGGGTCAAAGGAAGGGGCTGCGGCAAAGCTACAAATGATCAACATCTCAGCAAAGCAATTGTTTAAACTACAGGTCTTTTTCAAAATGGAGTCTCTTATGTCTTCCCCTTCTACATAGACACAGTGACAGTCTGATCTCTCTTTCTTTACCCTACATCCAAGGGCTTGAACATTTCTTGACTTGTTGGCAATCCAAATCGTTACGTCTCCGAAACAGAGTTGACTGAGGGGACCGCAGGGCTGGGCAGGACCTTTGACTTCCTATACATCCACAGGAGCAAGAAAACCTCAGCCCCACTCTACCAACACGCACCTAGTAAAATTCCGCCAACCGCATCTCACGCACGCTAACACGTGGGGAGCGTTGCTTGCACCACGAGTCCCCATTTGGCTCAACCGCCGATGCCAAGTGTGTGGTTCCAGTTGCGACGGCCCCCCGTGAAGTGGCTTCCGGATGTGCGAATGAACCAGGCAGCGTTTCACTGGCCAAATAGACCCCAGCAAAGCTGAAGTTAACTCCCACATTTGGGATGTACCTCAGAGGTAAAACATTCATCCCGTCTTCTTTCCGGATGTCTGACACCATGGTTCTCCCCCTGATCCTAAGAGTAGCTGAGGCAGAGACTCACTGAAAGATCTAGGCGGGGATATCCCATCATGCACAGGCTCTCTCCATTCTCTGACCTGGGAACAACTCTCAGCAGGATTCCACATCTAGGAGGCCTCGGAACTCAGTGGGATTTTCTGAGACACACCAACTGGCTGCTCCCTCTCCGCCGCTGTTGTGGGTCGTTATCTTGATTATCCAGATCAACTAGAAAGTATCCGTATCCAGAATGAATAAGATCAACTCTCTGCTCCTCTGACAGCAGAAGGAGCAGGACCATAAGGAACCAAAGAGCGTGGAAGGAAACGATGTGACAGGAAAGCTCAGAGAACGGCCACAGGGGGTCGTCAGCAGGCCTTCCAACCTGAATCATGAATAATTAATGAAGCGCAAATCAAAGGGGACTCGAGTTTCAGCAGGAGCAATTCATCCAACGGGAGATCGCCGGAGGGCCAACAAGATTGAGAGACTGGGAGCCGGGTGCAGTGTCAAAGGGGACGCGACTGGTTCCAAAGCTCGAGAAGACCATGGGGTCACTTGGGCTACATGAGAAAATGCCCCAGTGTGCTGGTTCATCATTCCGACTCCTGCCTGTCTCTTCCCGTCCAAGGAACATGGACCCTAAGTCGTGCAGGTGCGGATGACCATGGGCAGAATTAGGGGCCGTGGCACTAAAGTTCACCGACACGGGAGTTCCACAGAAGGTGCGGTGGATCTTCGCAAATCCAGAGACATGGCAATGGGACCCAGGGAATTAGAGCCTCACAGGCGTCCGGGAGACTTTTCAGGCATAATGCCTGGAGTCGCAAGAGGAGCTGAAAAAGGAGCCAGGCACTGAAGGACAAAGCGTTGTTGACTTTCCTCATCTGTGTTTCCCAGTGCGGTCCAATTCACGGTGGTTTCCAAGCGCCTCCTGGGGGAGAAAACACATGAGGGTGCGGTCAGGGTTCTCTGCTGACAGACTTACCTTGGGGAAGAAAGAGAAGCTCTGAAGATGGATCATGGCCGTGACTGCACGTCAAGGAGAGTCTCCTTGATGACACTGAGGCCTACGTCGAGATAGACAAAATGTGGTCCAATTAAAAGGTGTCTATTTTACCACATTTTTTAAAACAAAACAAAACTAAACGACAAAAAAGATGGAAAAGAAGACGGGTACAGGCACCAGTGTTACATGTCTGACGGGGAACATCTATTGTTCAAAGCTTGCAGCTGTACAAGTAGGTTTTAGAATGTCTGTCAGCAGTGGACAGGATCTTAGAGTGGGCTGTGCAGATAGACCTTTCCAGGTCATGTAATTGGATTAAGTTAATTGCAATTAAGGTACAGGTAACTGATTAGGTTAGGGTACGTTCCATGTCAGGTGACCAGAGGCAGTATAAAAGGCAGCCTGGAAAGCGGAGGTCCCTCTCTGCCCCTTCCTCCGTCGTCCTGGATGCTGCATCGCTTCCAGCCGGGCTGCTGCAGCACCTGCCCATCTCAGCGCCAGCCTGGGAAAGAAAGTAGACGTGTAATTTCAGGTTAGTTTCGCTGAACAATTGTTTGTTTCACGCAATCCCTGAGTGGTTTTGGCGGGGGGGGGGCGGGGGGAGGAAGAGACAAAGGAGGCCGAAAGAAACCGATCACACTGGGGCTTGCTGGTGGGGTAGGATGTGTTCTCGTTACTAGTAATTCTTGGAACAGAAAACGAGACAACATATCCGTCTCCACGTGTGGGAGAAGACCAAGATGGGAATGCGAAAAGAAATGTACTGCAGCATGCTGAATTGGTGGGTAAATGGAAAAAGGACTTTGGAAAAAAGGGGGGTTTGCCCTTCAGCCGTGTAAGACGTCGATACGATACGGCACTTCTTCCCCGTTTGTTCAGATGAATTCGTGTGGTGTGCGTAAAATACCAGGAAAATAAATAAAGAGGGGCTGGAGCTAAAGCCAAAAGATAGAACAGGAAAGACCATCACCTGCTAGTGCGGTAGAGAGGAAGGTAACTTCTCTGTATGAATTTGTGTTTGGAAGTTGCCTAATGAAATGGCAAGAGTAGCGATTCAAGTTGTCACAGGAAGCATCCCTTATCCGTGACTTCAAGCAGACCTGCCAAAGGGTGGCACACGCCATGCCCTGTGTCTTCGATCATTCTGTCCGTCAAGGGAGATAGAATCACCGTGTCTTCTACCGGAGTGAATCGTGAGAGACCTAAGTCCAGTCTCCAGAATCAGTTGTTTGTTTGGGGTTGAAAGCTCAACCCCCCATACCTAGGCCACGGGCCCTGTGGCAGGTGGGGTTTACTCTTGGACTAGGTAGTCATGGCAGAGGAACACACAATATCCGAGGATGCGCACAGCACATTGTGTTCTACAGATTTGACCGACTGGTGGTGAGGTCTCCTCATGACCACACAGGCAGGGAGTTAGCAGGTGGCTTCCTGTGGGTGTGTGAATATCCAACGTGCTTAACCATCGACATGTGTGTGTTTGTGTGTGTTTCAGGTGGCCCAACAGTCCACCCCTGAAAAAGGCGGTCATAAAACCCCCAGGAGACGAAGATGATGGCACGTCGGGACCCCAAATCTTGGGCCAAGAGACTGGTGAGAGCCCAGACCCTCCAGAAGCAGCGGAGGGCCCCAGTTGGGCCAAGGTCTCCCCCGCCCGATGAAGAAGATCCCAGGGTAAGTCTAGCCCTGGATCTCTTGGGTATCGGGGTGGGGGTGGGGACGGGGGGAGGCGGTGTCCCACGGTCCTCAGAGACTGGGTTGGATTCCAAAGAGTTCTGTCACCACCAGCCAGGTTGCTTTTCCCATCCAAGGTGGGCGTGGCTTGGGACCTTCTCCCCGGCCCGATAGGTCCCTTGAGAGACTCTTGGGGGCAACCTCCCTTTCTACTTCGAGTCCTGTGTAGCCACGTTTGGCTGCGTTGTTGACATCGGCTTCACCATCGTGCCCCTTGGAACCTTGAGTCCTTCCTTTCAGAGTTCCTCCGTCACAAGGGCTTTGCGAGGGAACATCGTATCCGAACTCTCCCAGCACTTAACGGCCCCCATGCCGGTGTCCCCTCTTTGGAATCCTTATTCAGCTCTGAATTCACAATCCGTCCCAATGTTGACGTGGGATCGCTGCCTGTGGCTTCAGCTCACTCACTGACATCACTTCCTTTCCACCCACAGCTCAAGTGCAAAAACTGCGGGGCCTTTGGCCACACGGCCAGAAGTACCAGGTGCCCCATGAAGTGCTGGAAGGCAGCCCTGGTTCCAGCGACCTTGGGGAAAAAGGAAGGGAAGGAAAACCTGAAACCATGGAAGCCCCGGGGTGAAGCCAACCCGGGGCCCTTGAACAAGGATAAGGGAGAGAAGGAAGAGAGACCAAGGTGAGCAGTGGGAGGGGTTTTCACCACTCTTAGGGTGCTGCCTCCTAAGGAGATGGTGTCTCTGCACCTGCACACCGTGTGCCTTTCCGTCTCCGGGCCAGGGAAGGAGCGCTGCAGAGAAATAGGCCGGAGCTCCGTGTCCTCCGGGGTTCCACACCCAGGAGCTCCTTGGGCTCTGGGAGATTCAGGGACGGGGAGAGGCGGGGGCGCTTCGTGCAGGTTCCCCACGACAGCGGGAAAAGCGATGGAATCCAAATCACAGTCCTTAGTCGGGAAGCCTAGAGGGCCACCTGGAGGATGGGAAGGTTGGCACGTGAGGGAAGGTGCAGAGGCGGAAAGGGCACCAGATGTCCATTTCTGTATCACAAAACACGGAATGGGGCTGGGCCCCAGACGGGGTTCTCCCTGTCTCCTGGGGAAAACCAGGGGGCACCGCCTGACCTTTTTCTGTTCTGCAGGCAACAAGACCCGCAGAGGAAGGCTCTCCTCCACATGTTTTCCGGGAAACCTCCAGAGAAGCCGCTGCCGAATGGAAAAGGATCCACGGAATCTTCCGAGCATCTGAGGGTGAGTGTCACCCCGGGCCCCTGGTCCTTTTCTCCTCTAGGTCACCCTGGTTGATTTCCTTTCAGCTTCCCGTCTGCGGGAGGAAATCGGGGAACCCCTCTTTCTTGCCTTCTTGGGGTCAGGGACTCCACAATCCTTCCAGGTCAATTGGATTCCAGGCGAAGGCATCTGAAGATGCCGTATTTCCTGTGGCTTTCTTTCTGTCCAATTATGGCAAGCCTGCCAACAACACGTTCCTAGCGGCATGAGGAAATTAGTCCCTCAGAGGCCCCAAACGTGGAGAAGGCTAAACCCAGGAACATGCATGTGTTCAGAGAAGACGTCCCGAGTACCCTTGAGCCACCAACCTGCCTCGGGAAGGGCATTAGTCCGTTCCACTTCATGGAAGGCTGAGTGGAGGCGCTTTGATCCAGTTAATGCCCAAGACGCGATCTTTTGAACAATGGTGTGCTTAGATCAGCTACACATAGCTCGAGAGCGCACCTTTCATGTGTCTTGTCCTGATCAGCACTCAGGTGGAGGGATCTGTCCCTACTTCCAAGGACCGCCTGTCGATACTGTACTAAGAATTTCATGGCGTGTGCACCTTGTCTTTGGATATGTTTGATTTTCACGTTGGCTCCATGCCGTGGAACTTCTAACCTGTGTTGTTTCCTCTCTTTCAGGTTGCAAGCGGGCCAATGCCGGTCCACACAACCAGTAAGAGGCCGCGCGTGGACCCTGTCCTCGCTGATCGCTCAGCTACCGAAATGTCTGGCAGGGGCTCCGTCTTGGCTTCACTGTCTCCCCTCAGAAAAGCCAGCCTGAGCTCCTCCTCAAGTCTTGGACCAAAGGAAAGACAGACAGGGGCTGCGGCCGACATCCCTCAGCCTGCATTCAGGCACCAGGGCCCCGAGCCTCTCCTCGTGGTGAAGCCGACACACAGCAGCCCTGAGGGTGGCTGCCGAGAAGTTCCCCAGGCTGCCTCCAAAACCCACGGCCTGCTCCAGGTCGTCAGACCCCAGGCACAAGACAAACGTCCTGCGGTGACCTCACAGCCCTGCCCGCCAGCCGCCACACACAGCTTGGGCCTAGGCTCCAATCTCAGCTTCGGGCCAGGAGCCAAGAGACCTGCCCAGGCTCCGATTCAGGCTTGCCTGAACTTCCCCAAGAAACCGAGACTGGGTCCCTTCCAGATCCCCGAAAGCGCCATCCAGGGAGGTGAGCTGCGGGCCCCGGAGAATCTCCAACCTCCGCCAGCCGCAACCGAACTTGGACCAAGTACGTCGCCCCAGATGGGCAGGAGGACACCGGCCCAGGTGCCCAGCGTCGACCGGCAGCCTCCGCACAGCACACCTTGCCTGCCTACTGCCCAGGCCTGCACCATGTCCCATCACCCAGCGGCCGGCCATGATGGGGCCCAGCCTCTCAGAGTGCTCTTCCGGAGACTGGAAAACGGACGCTGGAGCTCCAGCCTCCTGGCCGCCCCCTCATTTCACTCTCCTGAGAAGCCGGGAGCCTTCCTCGCTCAGAGCCCTCATGTGTCAGAGAAGTCTGAGGCTCCCTGTGTTCGTGTCCCACCGAGCGTCCTCTATGAGGACCTTCAGGTTTCCTCCTCCTCAGAGGACAGCGATTCTGACCTGGAGTGAGACTGCAGGTGGCAGGGGCTCCTTGGCCTCCAGCTCCCGTGACTTGGAGGGGACTGTGGGACTGAGGAGCGCAGAGCAGAGAGCACACTCTGTGCGGTGACTCCGAAGCTCCCCGGCTGTGGCGCTTCTGTGGATGTGGGAGCCCAGGCCAGGCAGGGAGCAGATGCAGGGACTCTGCCTCATTGAATTCTGGTGAGGGACGTTGTAGTTGGCGTGGTTCTCCCGAAACGCGCCAGGAAAAGCTTCCGTGCCAGAGATTCGTTGCCTCAGAAACTGCGTGACGCGCAGGAGTCAGACTTCCGCTGGGACGTCAATAAGAAACTGGGGAATTACTGTGTATTTGCTCTCTAGATGACTGAATAAGGGAAAAGTTAGGGAACGCTGAGAGGTGCAGCCCTTCCGCTGTGCCCCGCCCTGAGAACAGTGTTTCGGACGCTGGGAAGCGTGCTGTGCAAAGCGCTCTCGGGGTCTTTCCTCAGCCTCGAAAACTGGGCTCTGGAATGCCTTTGTACATATGTGTGTTTAATTGGTTTTGAAGTGAATAAAATTCTCAAAAAGATGACATATTGTCTTTTGACTCTCATTCCGTGTTTGTGTGTAACTGATTTTCCAAGTGAAGGGGTGGCCTGCCCCTCCACACCTGTGGGTGTTTCTAGTCGGGTGGGATGAGAGACGGAGAAAAGAAATCAGACACAGAGACAAAGTATAGGGAGACAACAGTGGGTCCAGGGGACCGGCACTCAGCACACCAAGGACCTGCACCGGCACCGGCCTCTGAGTTCCCTCAGTTTTTATTGATTATGATTTTCATTATTTCAGCACAAAGGAATGTAGTAGGGGAGCAGGGTGATAATAAGGGGAAGGTCAACAAAAAAAAAAAACAAAAAAAAAAAAAACCACGTGAGCAAAAGAATCCATATCATTATTAAGTTCAAGGGAAGGTACTATGCCTGGACGTGCACGTAGGCCAGATTTATGTTTCTCTCCACACAAATATCTCAGCGGAGTAAAGAATAACAAGGCAGCATTACTGCCAGCATGTCTCGCCTCCCGCCACAGGGCAGCTTTTCGCCGAGCTCAGAGTTGAACAAATGTACGATCGGGCTTTACACGGAGACATTCAGTTCCCAGGGGCAAGCAGGAGACAGTGGCCTTCCTCCATCTGAACTGCAAGAGGCTTTCCTCTTTGACTAATCCACCTCAGCACAGACCCATTGCGGGTGTCAGGCTGGGGGACAGTCAGGTCTTTCCCATCCCACGAGGCCATATTTCAGACTGACACATGGGGAGAAACCTTGGACAATACCCTGCTTTCAAGGGCAGAGGTCCCTGTGGCTTTCCACGGTGCATTGCACCCCTGGTTTATTGAGACTAGAGAATGGCAATGACTTCTACCAAGTATACTGCTCGTAAACATTTGGTTAACAAGGCGCGTCCTGCACAGCCCTAGATCCCTTAAACCTCGATTTTATACAGCACAGGTTTTGGTGAGCTCCAAGTTGGGTCAAAGGAAGGGGCTGCGGCAAAGCTACAAATGATCAACATCTCAGCAAAGCAATTGTTTAAACTACAGGTCTTTTCCAAAATGGAGTCTCTTGTGTCTTCCCCTTCTACATAGACACAGTGGCAGTCTGATCTCTCTTTCTTTACCCTACATCCAAGGGCTTGAACATATCTTGACTTGTTGGCAATCCAAATCGTTACGTCTCCGAAACAGAGTTGACTGAGGGGACCGCAGGGCTGGGCAGGACCTTTGACTTCCTATACATCCACAGGAGCAAGAAAACCTCAGCCCCACTCTACCAACACGCACCTAGTAAAATTCCGCCAACCGAATCTCACGCACGCTAACACGTGGGGAGCGTTGCTTGCACCACGAGTCCCCATTTGGCTCAACCGCCGATGCCAAGTGTGTGGTTCCAGTTGCGACGGCCCCCCGTGAAGTGGCTTCCGGATGTGCGAAGGAACCAGGCAGCGTTTCACTGGCCAAATAGACCCCAGCAAAGCTGAAGTTAACTCCCACATTTGGGATGTACTTCAGAGGTAAAACATTCATCCCATCTTCTTTCCGGATGTCTGACACCATGGTTCTCCCCCTGATCCTAAGAGTTGCTGAGGTAGAGACTCACTGAAAGATCTAGGCGGGGATATCCCATCATGCACAGGCTCTCTCCATTCTCTGACCTGGGAACAACTCTCAGCAGGATTCCACATCTAGGAGGCCTCGGAACTCAGTGGGATTTTCTGAGACACACCAACTGGCTGCTCCCTTTCCGCCGCTGTTGAGGGTCGTTATCTTGATTATCCAGATCACCTAGAAAGTATCCGTATCCAGAATGAATAAGATCAACTCTCTGCTCCTCTGACAGCAGAAGGAGCAGGACCATAAGGAACCAAAGAGTGTGGAAGGAAACGATGTGACAGGAAAGCTCAGAGAACGGCCACAGGGGGTCGTCAGCAGGCCTTCGAACCTGAATCATGAATAATTAATGAAGCGCAAATCAAAGGGGACTCGAGTTTCAGCAGGAGCAATTCATCCAACGGGAGATCGCCGGAGGGCCAACAAGATTGAGAGACTGGGAGCCGGGTGCAGTGTCAAAGGGGACGCGACTGGTTCCAAAGCTCGAGAAGACCATGGGGTCACTTGGGCTACATGAGAAAACGCCCCAGTGTGCTGGTTCATCATTCCGACTCCTGCCTGTCTCTTCCGGTTCAGGGAACATAGACCCTCACTTGTGTTATCCAGTTGTCGTTCTTTTTTTAGATACTTATGCAGTGATACACTACTGTAACTATTTTTTAAATTTATATTTAGGCCTCTCCTCATAAGATACATTAATCAAGAGCCTTTCCATTGTGTTTCAAAACACAGTAGCATCTCACTCTACACACCGGACATGCCTGGTTACTGTTTTATCCAAAATGTTTGAAATCAGCATTGTGATTGCCTTTTTTTTTCTACACGAAGGAGATAGAAACTTGTCTGTCCTCCTCAAAGTTATGGCCCTGCCTTTATAAAAAAAATGCTGCCCAAATCATGAAATTTAGTGTACAGGTATATGAAATACAAACCAAAAATTGAAAACAAAACTTAGGAATGGCAAGTGGTAATGTAAACTTGATGAGCCAGAGCAGAAGCGTGTCTCACTTGGAAGCAATCACAGCAGTCACCACTATTTCATCCTATAATTTCAGTATTTATTGAAAAGCATTGGCCTGGGGAGTGTGGGGAACCTGAACAAAGACAAGGACTGGGTCACAGCACGGAGAAAATGGTGAAAATCTCAGGGCATACATACAGTGTCAAGCTTAGGAATTATTATCTATACATCAGACCAATGACTACATGGACACCAGCAATCAAGGGGCTGTGTTAGCCCTGGGAGTGAGCAGAGTTCTTCAGGTGAATTTTCACGCCACTGAAAGCATGCTGAAAGCAGAACCCTCACGTTGAGGAGTAAGGGATTTGATTGAGTGTGGTTGCATTTAAGAGGTTGAATATGGAAGAGAAATTCTAAGGGACACTGTGTGCCAAGTGAAATGGGAGCACTTTATTTACACACCTTGCAGTTCTTCGTCTCCCTGCAGCATCTGGGATCCTCTGCTAGTGAGCACAATGGATCATGATGGGAAACAGAGAAGGGGAAGCAAGAGGTTCCTGGAACTACTCTCCCTCCACATTTTAGGGCATGCACTGACTAAGGATTTGGCCAATCTCTGATCTATCAATGTAAGTGGTGGATCTTGGCTACATCCCTTCTTGAAAACACATCTTCGTGCTCTGGTTGGAGAACTATGGTGAACCCTGTGGCAGACCTGAGTGCTGGACTTGGTGAAGGGTGCATAGGTCTGAGGGAGGAGTTGGGCAAAGTCTCCATCCTATACAGGCTGAAGCTGAGATTGGCTGGTCTAGGGAATCCCACTGGACTAGGTGTGGTTGGTAAAGGGTAGGGCACAGAGGAGAAAGTATGCAATGCGCAGTAGGATTATTGAAAGAGAAGCGCTGAGCCAAGCAACATGGTTTTCTTCGGATCTCATCAAGGGCTGGTGACATACGGGTTCTGCCTCCCCCTCTTCTGTAGGTGAGCGCGGCACATTGTCTCTTTCATGTCTGAGGTGTCTCTGTCTTGAACATGGAACTCCAAGGTGAAGTCATCCACAGAGTGCTAGATGTAATCGATCTGCAGAGGGAACTGCAGGCCATCCAGTGACCTCAGGACATGCTCAGGCACAACCACAAATACGCTGTTACCCAGGGTCAGGGCAGGGCTGTCTGTGGGGACAGGATGAGGACATACTCTTCCAGTCTCAGTGTGAGTTCTGTCCCTTGTTCCGGGACCACGATGATGAACGTCTCTGTGCTGGAATTCTGCTGCTGCTGTGGAACGACAGCCCTCAGTCCACTGCCTTCAAAAAAGACTGCAAATGATGCTCCTGGGGAGGGAGCTGGAGCAGCTTCACCCTCTACAACTTTAAAATACAAATTTCCTCCTAGAAGTGGCAGTCATGCTGACCCTGCTGAATGCACCACCACTGGATGTGTCTTGTGGCCTGGAGATTATGCAACATAGTCCAATCTTTGCTATCCATGAACATAGGGAGTTACCTGGGGTGATTCCAGGCCTGGAATGAATTCATGTGAGGAATTCTTTGAAGTAAGGGTGTTTCTGCATCTGTGGTGAGACCACAGTGAGGGAGGTTAAGGCTCCCCACCTTTTTTTCTTCTTTCTTTCTTTCCAGACACAGGAGATAATCAACAAAGACCAGGCTCCCTTTTAAATCCAATAAGAAACATTTTACAACCTACTCCCTCTCAAGTCTACTATCTGAAGGTTCCTCTGCACAGTAAAACTTGGCCTCCCCACCTCTTTATCTTAACCTAAACATTTCCTTTCAATAGATCCCTGGTCTTAGATAAACTCATCCAATTATCAACCAGATAATTTTTAAATCTATCTATAAGCTGGAAGCCCCCCTCCTTCAAGTTGTCCCACTTTTCTGGATCAAATCAACGTATTTCTTAAATGCACTTAGTTGAAGTCATGTCTCCCTAAAATGCATAAAACCAAGCTGCACCCTGATCACCTTGGACACACGTTCTCAGAACCTCCTGAGGGCTGGGTCACACGACATGGTCAATCATATTTGGCTCAGAATAAATATCTCCAAATATTTTGCAGAGTATGACTCTTTTCCTCAACAAGGTCATGATGATTAGGGTCAAAATTCACCGATATGAAGGACAGCCCCAATTTCTTGACTCAGAGAAATAAAGCAAGAGAAAACACATGGAGGAGGAGGAGGAGGAGGAGGAGAAGAACCTGGAGCTCCCGCCTGCCCCTGGG
This sequence comes from Homo sapiens, assembly GCF_000001405.40. Taxonomy (NCBI): domain Eukaryota; kingdom Metazoa; phylum Chordata; class Mammalia; order Primates; family Hominidae; genus Homo; species Homo sapiens. The sequence continues at coordinate 675,644 of NW_018654717.1, forward strand.
TGAGTCCTGGAGGTGGAAGGAGAGGTACTTGATCCTGAGTTGGCCCCTGCTCCACCTGAAACAGAACCCTGGAGTGCCACTCCCTGAATGCGGCCCAGCTCTACCCAGGTTAGACACTCCCTTGCCCTAGAGCCTGGGTCCTCCCTGGCCCCCGCTACCACTGCTTCCTCAGAGCCCAGGCCCAGTGCACCACATCTGCCTCTGCACGGCTCTGGGAGGGCTGCACCAAGGACAATCTAGTCTCAGAGGGGACTTCCTGGACACAGGCGGGTCCTGACACCCTGAGGGAACAGAGGAGAATGGCCTTCACAGGGGCTGCTGTCTTGGGGCTCACAGAAGCGGCCTCTCCAGCGACCAGACTCAGAACCTACCCAGAGGCCCAGGCTGGTGAGGATGCCCTGGCTGGGCCTTTCATGTGGATGAAGGCAGTTCCCACCTCAGCCAACGTCTAAAACCCCGAGGAGAATCAAACCTGAAAGAGTCCCTGTCCTCCTTCCCAGAGGGGAAAGGCAGTTCCTGAAACCTCAGTAGAAGAGAAAATGCTGTGAGGGTTCAAGGGACCAAGGACGCCCTTCCCAGGCCAGCAAGGCCAGAGTAGGAGGAAGCTGCACCCACCTCCAGGGGACATGTGAGGTTTTAGAGGCTCAGGCAAGTCAAGGGCAAACGCCCTGTACTCCCCGCAGGGTCATGAGCACTCCCCACCTACTGGAGTTGGGCTCCAGAAGGCCAGGACATTATCCCTGCATCTCCCCTGCCTCCAGGACTCAGGCCTGAGCTCCCAGGTTGGCCAGGAAAAGCTAGTGGTAGCTCTAGCTGGCCATGGACATACAGGCTGGGACATGCAGGCCAACAAAGAGGTGCTGGGCCCTCAAGAGAACTTCTAGACTTCCTAGACACTCCAGAGACACAGAGACGTCCAGGCAGGACAGGGAGAGCCTGGAAGCAGCTGTGAGCAAGTGCAGGTGCCCGTCCCAACACACAGAGCTAAGCTCTGTTCAACCATTTGCTAAGCCAGACCCATCCCAGGGCCCAGAGGTGCAAACAGTGACCCCACTCAGGACTTGGAAGGAGGAGCACAGGAAAAGCCCCAAATTGGCCAAAAAAACTGTCAGAAATGTGGCAGTTATTTCATAAGTACATGAATAATAAACCCAAACAATGGAAAACAAAACTAAACAAAGGCAAATGTGAATGGAAACGTGATGAGTGAGAGCAGGAGAGTGTCTCAGTTGGAAGCAAGCACAGCAGTCACCACTACTTCATTCAATGACGTCAAGATTTATTCAAAAGCATTGGCCTGGGGAGTGTAGGGAACCTGGACTAAGACAAGGAATGGGGCACAGCTTGGAGAAAAAGGGGAGAGTCTCAGGGCAGAAATAGAGCATCAGCCTTAGGAATTATTTATTGTGGCATCAGACCAATGACTACAAGGACATCAGCATGCAAGGGGCGGTGTTAGCCCCCGGGAGTGAGCAGCTGTCTTCAGATGAACTTTCAGACCACGTCATGCTGGAAGCAGAACTCTCACATGGAGCAGTCAGGGATTTGATTGAGTGTGGTTGGATGTATGTGCTTAAATAGGAAGAGAAAGTCTAAGGGACAGTGTGTGTGAAGTGAAATGTGAATGTTTTATTTGAACTCCCTGCAGTTCTCCCCCTCCCTGCAGCATCTGGGACCCTCCGCTGTTGAAGACAGTGGTTGATGATGGGGAACAGCAAAGGGCAAGCAAGTGGTCAAATTACTTTCTCTCCACATTTCAGAGAATGCACTGACTAAGGATCTGGACAATCTCTGACCTATCAATGCAGGGGGTGGCTCTTGGGTTAAATCACTTCCTAAAGAGACATCTCCGTGCCCTGCTGGGAGGCCTATGGTGAACCCTGTGATAGACCTGGGGACCAGGACTTGGTGAAGGGGGCATAGGTCTGAGGGAGGAGGTGCACAAGAGCTCCATACCATGCAGGCTGAAACTGGAGTCGGCTGGTCTAGGGCGTCCCACAGGACTAGGTGTGGGTGGTAGAGGGTAGCATTGGGGGAAGGCTGCCCGACAGCGTGGAATGCACAATGGGGTTACTAGGAAAGAAGGGCTGATCCCAGCCATGTGGTTTGCTTGGGGTATCATCAAGGGCTGCTGATACAGGGGTGCTGCCTTCCCTTCTTCTGCAGGTGAAAAAGGCACATTCTCTCTTCTCATGTCTGAGATGTCTCCATCTTGAGCATGGAACTCCAAGCTGAAGTCATCAACGGAAGGTATGATGTACTGGATCTGCACAGGGGACTGCAGGCCATCTTCTGACCTCAGGACATGCTCAGGGACAATCACAAGGACTGTGTTCTCCAGGGTCAGCTGCAGCACTGTCTCTGGGGCCAAGATGAGGATGACCTCTTCCAGGCTCAACCTCACTTCTGTCCCTTGTTCCAGGACTATCATGAGCTCCTCAGTGCCAGAATCCTGCTGATTCTGTGGAAAGACAGTCCTCAGTATTCTGCCCTCCAAAAAGGCTGCAAATGATGCTCATGGGGAGGGAGATGCCAGGAGCTTCACCCTTTACAACTTTAAAATACAAACTCCCTCCCAGAATTGGTGCTCATGCCAATCCACCTAAATATACATCCACTGGATGTCCCTTGAACCTGAAGATTGTGCAGCACTGTCCAATCTTTGCTATGCAAGGACACAGGAACTTACCTGGGGAAGTTCCAGGGACTGGTATGAATTCAGGTGTGGAGCTCCTGAAATTGAGGGTTTTTTTGCACCTGCAGAGAGACCACAGTGAGGGAGGTTAAGGCTCTCTTCCAGCAAGAGTCTCTTGCATTTCAGAATGTGACCTTCAGAAATCCACCACCCAGCACTGGCCAGCCTCAGGACACCAGCCCCCAACAGTCAAGCACGACTTTCCACTCACCCTGCAGAAAGCACCCTCTCCATTTATGGTATCATGAGACATGACACTGACTTCCAGGCATGGGAATCTTAAAAAATATTAGGGAAAGTGCCTTACCTGTACTGGGACCCTGCTCCACTTGGCGACGTTTGGGTGGATTCATTTGTGTGGTAGCCAAACTGCAGGACAGAAAGGGACCCATCAATCTTCCACATAGTGACACAAAGTCCAATTCTCACAAGCCCCAAACTTCATTAGTCATCCGGCACACATTGCTGCTGTGGCCCAAAATCACATGCACTTGTGTTCAGCTCCAAATCCTACCTGCATCCAGAAAGTCCTAACACTCATATCCCACCCTCTCCTTTTCTAGAGGCTTTTCCTATCGGTGCATGTGTGTGATAAGACATGGCGATCACAGGAAACAGTTTGCTTTTTCAGGAGCTCATCCACATGAGAAGGAGGGACATCAAATTTGGCCCGAGGACTTTAGGAGAAGATGCTGATTTTCCGGGTATCTAACCCCTGTGTCTATGCAGTTACAGTGTGAATGGAGTGATAAATGACATGAAATGTTCCATTTTCTAGTGAGCACAAGGAAAAAATTTAGATCATGCCCACAGTTTACCTGTCTCCACACAAGAGGCAACTTCTGTTTACCCAGAGGACAGAGATTAACAATGGGAAGAAACATGAGATGAGCCCCCTGACAGGCTGCAGAAACCCCCCATGCTGGCTGCATCCTGTGGCCTCCACTGTGGGTCTCATGTCTCCCCAATGTGTTCTAAATTTATAACATTCAATGTCATGGCAGGCCAGGGTGTCTTCTCTGCCCTAGTTTGGCCCTTTAGCATACATTCACACACACACACACACATACAGTCACACACAGTCACATGTCAACCTCCTGGCAACCCAAAGTAGCCACATACTCCAACATACCTGGTCTCTCCTTCATTGTCATTCTGCGGTTCTGTCTGGGAATCTCTGGGGCTTCTTAAGCGCCGGTAACCATACATGGTAAAAGTTCTCTGGACTTGCTTGTGTCAAAAAAATCTCAATCTTTGGCCTATTTTCTGTAAATCTATATAGTTCGTGCCTTGATCTTTTACTCTACCTGGAGAAAAATTATCAGCCTCTAGCACAGCACAGCCAGAGCATGGAAGAGTGTGTCCTGGCCTGGGACCGGTCAAATGGTGCTTTGGTAGAGTGAGCTCTTGGGGAAATCCTCCAAGGGTCTTATAAGAGGTGGAGCCATGGGATTTGTCAAAATGGATGAATGTGATTGGCTAGTGGTGCTGATTAAACAACATGAAGGGCCAGCATGGGAGTGGTTTTATCAAAACTCAGTCAATATGAGTGTGACCCAGTCAGAATTAGCCTAATTCAATCAAAATTAATTCAAGATCTCTACTCTGATTCACCATATAATTGTGACATAAAATAACAGTATTTTAAACTAGCAATATTTACTTTCTATTGTAGTCTGTTCATTAATTTGGTAGGACAGTTATTTTCTGTAAAGTTCATGTGTACGTCGTTTCTTAGTAAACATAAAGGATTGGGTCTAGGAAACTTTAAATATGCCACAATTTGTATATACTCAAGTCCCTTGTATAAAACGGCGTAGAATTTGAATATAACATAATCACATTAATTTATATAATTTAAATGATCTCTAGATTACTTACAATACTTAATGCAATGCCCAGACGTCACGTCATTTATGTGAACTCAAAAAGAATGTGATGCATGGAAAATTTAAAGTTTCTTTGAAGAAACTTGTGCAAATCTTTTGTGAATATTTTCTATTCAAGATTAGTTGGATCCATGAATATGGAACCTATGGATGTGGAGGGCTGACAGTATTTTTAAATAAAAAAAAATACGTTATTTTAAGTGAATTAAGTTTTAAAATGAATCTCCTGGGGAAAGTTATCCAAACAGAAGAAGCGAATACTATAAGACAAGCTGGGGAAAATACAAAAAGAACCTTTACTTAATTTCTAATATATCATTGTGTATTAATCTGTCTGTTAATTTATTTCTTGCCTGTATCCCCGCTGGACTAATTTCAGAATTGTAATGCAAGTTTTGCTTTCAACATTACTTATTAATTACAAATCCATCATTCTTATTGGCAAAGTCACCTAAACTTCTTGCAGGTGGCCAGACACCATATGCCTGAACTCAGAATTAGTCATTTTAAGATTAAAAATTATTTGACAGTATAAAGAATAATAGATGGTATTGGGGGAAAACAGTAATCCAGTAATCACTAGAACTGAACTAGAAGGAAAATCTGTGAGGGTGCACCATTACTGAGCGTGCCATCTCTAACAGGCCCCTGAGCTCAGGGCTTCATCCTCTCTCTAGAACTTGTATAAATTTGTTTGTGGATTCTCTTTGCATTTAGCTGATAATTTCATCAGTTTTATTAGGTGAAGTATAGACCCTGTTTCCCTTAAATGTTAAAAAAAAATTGAATCTAATTAGCAGATGCCTTTTGCACTGAAGCTTTCTTCTCCAGTTAGATAAATCATTTAGATGAATAAAAGGAAAACAGGAAGATTCCTTTAATTTTGCCAATGTCTTAAAAGCCTCCAAGGGGAACATTAGTGCCTTTATCCAGAGAACTCTCTGCTTTGGGGATTTTGATAATTTCTGAGGAGAACAGCAGGTAATTAGCTGAATATCAGCTGCAGTTATAAAATTGGATTAATTGCCTACATTCTTTCTGGCTGCGGGGTTCAGGTTGAGATATTCAAGAAATAGCCTCTATTGATGATTCTGGAGTATGTATATTTTACAGTCAAGAAAGAGAAAGGCTCCTCATGGTGAGTTTCTGTGTGTCACGTCTAGCTGAAAACCTATGGACTGCAAACCAGTACAAGAATAAAAATATGAGGGACGTGCCAAATATATATTCTACCTTTATAATCGCTTTGATTATAAACCAAATGTTTTAATAGATAAATTAATAAATTTGCAGCATAAATGTCTCAGGATATATCCTGCAGCACAGAATAATAACTTATTTTTGAAGAAATATTTAAGCAATATGTTTTCATTTGGGGTAGAAACTATTTTTCACAAAAGTGTAGCTTTCCCCTTGCATGTGTAATGAAAATCACTTTTAAATCTGCAGTGCTAGGGTAAAATTAAAGACGTGGCTCTTGCCGTTTTAATAGCAACAATTAAAGGATGCATTAGTGCCCCTCCCTTTCATTGTCTCACTATTTTTCAGTGAATTTGGCACTGTAGGAAAGATGAGCCCCTCACAATGTGGAAATGCAGGGATGCAGAGTGCGGGGTTTCCCTGCAGGGGCCCCTTTCTCGCGAGCTGCGCGACAGTGCGCCGCCGTGCCCCGGCCACATACTCCTTCCTCTGCAGGGTCCCCGTATTCTGTAGATTTTCCTCACAATTCTTCTTGTGTTTCTCCTCATAATGAATCCTGACAGAGGTTGCGAGGAAGGCACATTACGGCCTGCTATGGTTATCAATGAAAATCCCTAAGGAATACGTAGATTTGTAAAATAATTCTTGCTAATATATCCCAACAGACAGTGCAGAAGAAAACACGTAGGAACAGCCCAGAACATTAAGTCTTTAGTGCTGTTTCAGAAAAATATCCGGGAGACGCGCAGGGAATCTCACTCCTCATCAGGTAGGGCTGTGAACAGCAGCGTTTTCCTTAAGATGGATGCAGCCCCATTTGCCCCAAAGCCAGGGCGGCGCCTCCTCCTCCCTGGCCTGAGGAAGGGAAGTTCCCTTCTTCCTTGGCGATCTGGCCCCGCTTCCGCAAGCAGAATGCGCATGCGCCCCGCACGACCAGAAAGCGAGTTCCATTGCCCTCTGCCGGCTATGGGCTTGCAGCGCGGGACTCTTGGCCTTCACTGTTTAGCGGTTGACCTGCGTCTGTATCGCTGAAATTCCGGTTTTATCAGTACCTTCCTTTTGGAAGATCAAATGCAAATGGAGCACGGTATCTTTTTTCTTTTTCTTTTTTTTTTATGAAAGAGGGTGGAAATAAAGAAGCAAAGTCCAAAGACCGTATAAAATAGTCTGTTGATTCCCTGTATGTGGAGGAAAGAGGAGCTCGAATAAGAGAAACATTCTGTGTGATGCTTTAATGCCAGAGATCTGCCACTATGCATTTGTCAAATACAATACAATTTTACAGCACAAATAGTACATCTTAGTGGGTCAGGATTACAGCAAATGACATCTAAAATTTGGAGAACATTACATATTTAATTAAATAGGTCAAAGTATAAACAATGTGAGGCCTGCCTGGACACAGTCTCTGCCTGTCCTTCCAGATTGTCATGGGCTTGAATTGATGTCTCCTCATCCTCACACAGGAATTGACATAAACCCTGGCTTTAACGTAAAAACAGTTGGGCAGATTTGTAAACATTATGATGTTTCACTTTCACCCATGAATTAGCCAATTTAATTGGCCTCAGTAAAGTCTATGATTTTGGGATTGTGCAGTTTGGTAAAAGCTCAAAGTCCTCTCAGTATATTTCCTGGGACCACTTCTCCTTGATATTTAGATTCAGTACTGAGATTTGTTGAAGCACAATATGTATCCAAGCCCGAGTCAAAGCAGAGGATGCCTGCTGGTCAGAAGATTCATTTTGCTTGTGGAAAAGTCCATTGCATTTGATATAAAAGGGCTTGCATGGTGACTGAGAAGTTAGGGTGTTTTAGTTTGCTGGTGCTTTATCTGCTAGGCTATAGTAAGGGGAGCAATGCTGTGTCCTTCTCTGTGTCATAACGCAATTACTCACTTGAATGAAAAGTGGGATGTCATGAGATGAATTCCTTTTCCCTCTTTGGGAGGCTTTAGGAACAAAATCTCAAGAGTTTTCTGAGGGATACAAGAGCAGGGCTGCCTGACTCTCTGCCCCGGGAGCTGTTCATGGGCAGAGACGAGGGCTGGGGTCATCCAATGGTTTATACAAGGTGTCTTTGATATTACTCCCATTTCCCTGCTAAATCTGTGTAATGGCTCATTGAGAAACCCGGCATGAAGATCCCTGTTTTGACAACTCCAGGGATGGATGGAGACAAATATTTTTGTTGGAAGTTAGAATTAGGGGACATGGGCTGTGCGGCAAAAATAAAAAACTCTTGAAGAAGGCAGGGACTCGAAGAAAGGGGTGGAATTTCTGCCCACATGCCAAAGAGTGCAGAAGGAATTCTAAGTGTTAGAGCAGCATCAGTAAAACTAGATCTTGTACAACATATTACATTTTTCAGGAACAGGCTATATTGTTTCAATATTTGCAAGTATTGTTCTCTTAAAAAACTTGAGGAGCTGCTTAGACCTCTGGAGAGAAAAATTGAGACATGTAAGAGGGCAGGAGTGACACAGTGGTGACACACTCTGGAGTCCTGCCTACAAGCAGCACCCTTTGACCCACTCCACAAAAGCTCTATTCCACAGCTCAATTCCTCCTTAAAAAAAAGGTGAGAAAAAAATCTAAAACTTAGGAGAAAACAAGGAGAATGACCCACTTTCAAGCACTTCTTAGATTTTACGACAACTCTACTAGCCAGACTTTATGTAAAATGGAAGTAACGTGGTCTTTGTGCACATTTAAAAAAAAAAAAAAAAAAAAAAAAAGCCCTAAGGTCGACCTGCAAGTTATAGATTTCCTAAGGTCTCTTTTTCTCTCTTTTCTTTTCTGCCTGCTTTATATCAGCTGTTACATTATGACTGAGATAAAAGCCACTGTTTGGATATAACAGGGTTTTGTTTGTCTGTTTGTTCGTTTTTCAAGCCAGTTTCATATCATTCCTAAAGTTCTCAACCAAAAGCTACAGGATTTTCTTTTCTGTGCAAATATGTGCATGTATATATTTAAAAGGCTTTTATGATTTCTATAATTTTATGTTATGTAGCAGTTACATCCATTTTAATTTCTGTCTAGCACAACAGACTATTTCGCTGTGTTCCTCAGATGTAAGTTTCCTATCTGATTTTCACCTATGAATTGTTTCCTTTGATATGCAGAGTAAGGCTATTTAGCTGACAGCTACCTAAGGTAGTCAAACAGGTTATCAAGAATTTGAAAACCTAAGACAGGAAAAAATAGGATCTTATGAATCTATAAGATGTACATCTATTGGCATGCCTAATACATCTATGTATTTATGTGTTGTGTACACAATGTTTCACTATTAAAAATATATACAAGAGCTCTAATTGGCTTTAAAAATAAAAGCACATAAATCAGATACTTAATCAAATAAAAGACTACACAAATGCTTTTTAAGGTCACTTGACTTAAAATATTTAATAAATGAGCTGGCTTTAAAATTATGGGTAAAGTAAAATTAGAAATGTCGTAAAAATTGTTAGCATTTTTGTTTTGTGTTTATTGATCAAGTAATTCCATGCTTAATCCTGCAGAATAATATAAGATTAACCATAAGGGTTATAAAATTATGAAAGCCAGACCAAGACAAAATGATCTTTGCTTGTGTAATTTTAGACAAGAAAGACATGGAATATTCTTTTAATGAAATCCTAAATTATTTGTAAAAATACTCTTATATTTAACTTTAGGTTTCCTATGTAAGTAAACACCTAAAATGCACAGCTATAAAAAAGGGTAACAGGGAAATAACTTACAGAAGGACTGTTACAGTTTTGGTCAATAATCTAGGTAAACTATTGAATAATGTAATCAGGAAAATGTGATGGAATAAATGCTCGTAAACAAACTTGTCATATAATTTAGGATCTAAGGTTATTCATAAATATTGAGTATACAGGTAATTCAAAACTTAAAAATTATAAAAAATTTTTAAGTGTTCTTATTAAAATGTAAATATCTTTGTGTAACTGACAGCCTACTTAAATGTTATGTATAAAAAGAACCAGAAAAAAAGAAATGTAAAAAAATTTAAAGTGGTACCTTTTTATAGAGAAGGGATAAAGGAAAATAATTTTATATCAGAAAGAATCTTGTGTAGTAAATTTTTGCCCTAGAATAAAATGACTGGGTCATTCAAGAAAGAGGAATATTTAGGAAAAAACAGAAAGTCTAAACATGTTTTGAGTGGTCTATGTAAGTCATAACAGGATTAGTAAAAATATATTTTTTTAAAGGGGTTGTATAATTCAGTTGGCTACCATTAAAAAGGAATTATAATAGTCTTTCTAGGGATGGATCTTCGATATTTAAAAATATACACTAATGTAAAACTGAAATAATTGGTTAAAACAAGATTTTTATTAAAAATATTAACTTATTACTAATGCAAAAAGTTATTAAATTTTAAATTCTAGAATCTGTCTCTTTGAAATTCTTCAGATAAAATAGGTCAAAACTTCAGCTCTTCCTCTTTGAAAGGGCCATGGATGATAGCTCTCTCCTTCACCTTTTGTTGGCTCCTGTAACTTTTATTAATTATCTAAAGTAAGAAAGGGAATTTTTTTAAAAAAACAGTCAAATGAAATATCCTTTGGACCTGCCTTTTTATTCCGCATGAGTGTTATATCTCTATCTTTATATGTGTCATGTGGAAGTGGTATTTAACTCCCAAACTACATGAAAGAGCTCTAGACAAGTAACTTTTCTTAAAGAAATGTAGCTGCTTGTTAGACTGGTACAAGCTATCTCAAATGCCCTTTTAATTTTCATAACCTTAAGAATCTTTGGTAAAATTAATGTGGTAAATTCCATCTCAAAACTCTCCAGTAATTTAAAAGCTTCAAGTCATGTTAAAATCTCAGGTTAGGTTATTTTTCACTGGAAATTTGGATTGCTGAAAGTTAAAATAGCAAGAGCATAAAATTTGTTTTTGGTGAATTTTATAAAGCATAAAAATGTTGACTTTGCTTAAAAAAGAAAATATATTTTTCCTCTAGCTAGAAAACTATTTAAGAGTTGCTTTAAAATGAAAGGAAAAATTATACGGATATAACTAAATAAAAAGAGTAATTAAGCTAGGGCAACAAAAGTTAACTCTGAGACCCGTGGCTACCAAAATGATAGTCAATCAATGTGGGGGAAGAGCAAAACTAACTATTTAGAACCAGAGGGTATACTGTAAAGAATTGTTCCATTTTGTAGTTTAGTATCATCAGCTTCTTTAAAAAATCCTTACTATGATGGATTGAGAAAAAACACTTTAAGGACAAGATTCTTAATTTTAAATGTTACACGATTTAAGAGCTTGTTTGGGTTAATGCAGGACCCACAGTTCACTATTGAACAACCACTAACATGTGATCCAAATACCCAGGAGGTTATTCCTAAGAGAATAATCAGCATAATATACCCAGAAAATGCCACCATAAAGTCTGTTTTCTCTGAGTAGGGGACTACCTAACTCTCCCAATAAAATACCAAGTGAAACACCCCAGATGGAGCAGTTAATATGCTTCTTATGTGAACCATGTTGGACTGGCTTAATAATGACTGGGATATGCTCCCACCAAACTGTCTGTTACCCAGGTTATGTTAAATTTGGGTGCTAAGAGGGCCCCTTTTACATGGATGCTCCTCCCACAAAATCATGAGAGTGTTTGAGGAGTCGTATCAAATTTGCTGCCCCTTAGAGGTCTTATAGATGCAACTCCCTGCTGAGAAACCAAACCCTTTTTCAATAGAAAAGGTAAAATGATTTGGGGGTATTAAAAAAAAATTCTGGGACCAGAACATATAAACATACAGGTTAATAGAGTTATGAAATTTAAAATGTTTAAACAGGTTTTATGTAAGGTAGTTGTAACCTCCTTTACTACCTGGGAGAGGTTTCCCCTTTCTAGTAGTATAAAACTGAAGGCATATAAATCTGCTCTTTTGAGAAATGTTAATTGGACATGCCAAATGGGAACTAGTAAGACTGCCTAAGCCCACAAAGTATAGGGTAGAAGCTGGAGTGCTAGTCGGGACAAATCCTGCACTTCATAGCCCTTTGTGTAACATTTATTGGGGCTGATGGCAAAAAAAAAAAAAAAACTGTGAGTTCTTCCTGATGACAAAGATAGAACAAGGGAATTTCTAGCTCAGGGACATTTAGTACCTTACTATGGAATGCTAACTGAACCAACTTCTATGATAGTGGAAATAATGTTGCCCCAAAAGAGTTTCGTGATAAAATAAAAATGGTTTACATAGAATCTTGCTACATGGGGATATAAGGAGGAGATACTAATAAGCAGGCAGCCTCATTCCTAGGACTAATTCTAACTCTGTGAGGAGCTGCTAGATTGCATAGTGCCTGATAGACAGCTCTCAGGAGCGGTTTGGCTTGTGCATGACATTTCCAAGATGATAAACAAACATCTTGTGTGAAAGCCACTGCTCTTGTTAAAGGAGGGTCCAGACAATCTTTTTCTTTAATTCATTTTGATGAAGTTTGTTTTTGTAAGCAAATTATCTTTCTGAGTTCTCCAAAATTCAGATCCTAATTTTATGACAATATGGTTGTTTGCATAAGTTTCAATAAGAGTCTTTAAAACAATTAGAGACTTGAACTAAAGTGGTATATTTTTAGGTAAGGTGCCAGCAAAGCCAACTTAAAATGAGTCTATGTGGCCAATCAATTCTTGCTGCATTTTAAGCAAATAATCCGGCCAACCATGATAAGACTAAAACTTACTTGGCACACAAACTGGTCTTACTATAATCTCTAAAAAAAATGCAGATAGAACAATTGTTTAAAAGGAAAAGCTTAAGGATTAGTACTAGATTTCAGTCCTAACTCTTTTTAAGTGCAGATTAAATCATTATTTCTTTGCTATAATAATCCTCTAGAGAGTACCAGATCATAATTTATCTCCATATTTTTAGCTGGTTCCCTAATGAAGTAGGTTCCTTTTTCCATTCTGACACACAAATAATCTTTTGATTGTGAAACTATAAATGTTATTTACCTCTCCTTGTTTTACTTCCAAGGAAACCAAAATTACGGTATTCTGAAGACTAGAGATATGAATCCCCCTCAGCTGACATCCCACTGGGTTCAGATCTGTATTTCACCGCGAATCTTCTGCTGCTAAAACTATACAAGCACCCTCTCTCTAGGCTCAGGGACTGTCTTGGAAGAGGCAGGCACATGAGATTGTAAGAGCTAGTTTTGAGGCATGAACTTAGGTCCATGTCAAACTCTCCAAATCAAGGAGGGGTACAAAGATGGTACAGCCGGCAAAACAAGGGACATTTCCTTCTAGACTATAGTGTGTCACTTTTGCATCCACCCCAACCATAAACAATTTTCTGCTTCTCATAGATTTAAAAGAAAATATTTACTGATAGGATAAAGATGCCTTATGACAAAGCCTCTTGGTACAATACTCCCAAGTATAAATTGCACATATAGTTTCAAATTGTGCTAATGCCATTAGTATACAATGGCAACAGCAATCCTGATGAATCCAGCAAAATTCGCCACCCAGAAATTAAAACTTGACCTCACTGGAAAAGTTGGAGCTGGCCTAGGTATATTGGTGTAAGCTGAGTTCATAGCTAACGAGGAGAGGCATCTCTTAGAGAAAAGTTTTCTGTCAAAAATAGCCCACATAGAAGGAATGTTATTCCAGGAAGATGGAAAAGGATGGGAAGCTCCTTTAAAAAATAATGCAACACTCATCAAATGGATAGGAGAAACCAAACAAAACATAAAAACATACTCTCAAACCCGAAGGTGGCAATGAGCATGTTCTGTAACCCAACAGGGGCTCATGTCTATTTCATTACAAACACAATCTAAGGTGGCTATGAAGCAATGGCCTATACTCATCTGTGCCGAGGCACAATCCAAACACCTGTGGAAAATACACGGCCCCCCAAACATATGGAAAATTTCGGATGGTAAATGTGACCTCAAACATGGTATTCTCAGAGCATAGGCACCAAAGTTAAATGAGGCTCAAAGGTATTCTGTGGTTCAACTGGCAGGCATTGTAAACAATACAGAAATACTCCCCTGGGGAAATAGGTGGACTATTTCAGCTCATGATAACACATGGCGTCCCATCTCCTTTTCAGATTGTGAAAACAGAAAAGGGGAATGGTTATGCCCTCAGTCCACTTAGAACCCTAATTTTCCCCAACTTAGCCCCTAATATCCACTCCCATAGCACATAACATTTGTTATATGGGAAAGGGCCATTTCTGTGGGAAAGGACAACAAAATGAAAGTATAGAATCATATGACTTCTCCTTTAAAGAACATTGTTTTCTCTCCCAAACACATACCAGTATATAGTGCAATACAAGTGGTGTGAAAAATAGGTGTGTCTACTGTTAACAAATCCTGTAACAATTTAGATATAGAACACCAGGCATTTGTTGCACTTGATTTATACCCTCGTCAGGATGTTATACCTATGGAGACCAATTGGCCCGAAGTAAACGAAGCTGCACCCTTACTACCTTGGGCACATGTTCTGAGGACCTCCTGAGGGCTCTTCAATATATTGCAGAGTTTGACTGCTTTACTCAACAAGGTACTGGGGATTAGGGTAGAAATACACCGATGTGAAGGACGGCGCCATTTCTCAACTCACAGAAATAAAAGAAGAGAAAACACCTGGAGAAGGAGGAGGAGAAGGGGGAGGGGAAAGGCGAGAGGAGGGGGAAGGGAAGGGGAGGGGAGGAGTGGAGGAGGAGGAGGAGGAGGAGAAGGAGGAGGAGGAGGAGGAGGAGGAGGAGCAGCTGCTGAGCCTGGAGCTCCCGCCAGCCCCTGGGTGAGTCCTTGAGGTGGAAGAAGAGGGACTTGGTCCTGAGCCTGCCCCGGATCCACCCGCACCAGAACCCTAGAATCCCAGTTTCTGGATGGGACCCAGTCCCACCCAGGCCAGACACTCCCTTGACCCGGAGCCCGGGCCCTGCCTGGCCTCTGCTGCCACCTCTCATGACAGAGTCCAGGGCCCCCGCGCCACCTCCGCATCAGCAGGGCTCTGGGAGGGCGGGGCCAAAGACGCCCAATGGGACTTCCCGTCCGTAGGGGGATCCTGACGCCCTAAGGGCGCAGAAAGGCGCCCCCTGCACTGGGGCGGCCATCTTCGCTCTCGCAGAGGAAGGGGCCTCTCCAGCGCCCAGACTCAAAACCTCCCCGGAGGCCCGGGCTGGTGAGGACGCCCTGGCTGGGCCTCTCATGTGGACGAAGGCTGCTTCCGCCCCAGCCGAGATACAAAACTCTGAGGAGAATCAAACCTGAAAAGGTGCCTGTCCTCCTTCCCAGAGGGGAAAGGCAGTTCCTGAAACCTCAGTAGAAGAGAAAACGCTGTGAGGGCTCGGGGGACCAAGGACACTCTTCCCAGGCCAGCAAGGCCAGAGTAGGAGAAAGCTGCACCCACCTCCAGGGAACATGTGAGGTTTTAGAGGGTCAGGCAAGTCAAGGGCAAACGCCCTGTACTCCCCCCGGGGTCATGAGCACTCCCCACCTACTGGGGTTGGGCTCAGGGAGGCCAGGACATTATCCCCGCATCTCCCCTGCCTCCAGGACCCAGGTTGACTAGGAAAAGGTGGTGGTGGCTCTAGCTGGCCATGGATGCACAGGCTGGGACATGCAGGCCAACAAAGAGGTGCTGGGCCCTCAAGGGGACTGCTAGATTTCCTAGACACTCCAGAGACACAGGGACACCCAGGCAGGACAGGGAGAGCCTGGGAGCAGCTGTGAACAAGCGCAGGTGCCCATCCGAACACACAGAGCCAAGCTCTGTTCAATCACTTGCTAAGCCAGACCCATCCCAGGGCCCAGAGGTGCAAACAGTGACCCCACTCAGGACTTGGAAGGAGGAGCACAGGAAAAGCCCCAAATTGGCCAAAAAAACTGTCAGAAATGTGGCAGTTATTTCATAAGCACGTGAATAATAAACCCAAACAATGGAAAACAAAACTAAACAAAGGCAAGTGTGAATGGAAACGTGATGAGTGAGAGCAGGAGACTGTCTCAGTTGGAAGCAAGCACAGCAGTCACCACTACTTCATTCAATGACGTCAAGATTTATTCAAAAGCATTGGCCTGGGGAGTGTAGGGAACCTGGACTAAAACAAGGAATGGGGCACAGCTTGGAGAAAAAGGGGAGAGTCTCAGGGCAGAAATAGAGCACCAGCCTTAGGAATTATTTATTGTGGCATCAGACCAATGACTACAAGGACATCAGCATGCAAGGGGCGGTGTTAGCCCTGGGAGTGAGCAGCTGTCTTCAGATGAATTTTCAGGCCACATCATGCTGGAAGCAGAACTCTCACATGGAGCAGTCAGGGATTCGATTGAGTGTGGTTGGATGTATGTGGTTAAATAGGAAGAGAAAGTCTAAGGGACATTGTGTGTGAAGTGAAATGTGAATGTTTTATTTGAACTCCCTGCGGTTCTCCCCCTCCCTGCAGCATCTGGAGCCCTCTGCTGTTGAAGACAGTGGGTGTTGATGGGAAACAGCAAAGGGGAAGCAAGCGGTCCTTGGAATTACTTTCTCTCCACATTTCAGGGAATGCACTGACTAAGGACTTGGACAATCTCTGACCTATCAATGCAGGGGGTGACTCTTGGTTAAATCACTTCCTAAAGAGACATCTCTGTGCCCTGCTGGGAGGCCTATGGTGAACCCTGTGATAGATCTGGGGACCAGGAGTTGGTGAAGGGGGCATACGGCTGAGGGAGGAGGTGCACAGTAGCTCCATACCATGCAGGCTGAAACTGGAGTTGGCTGGTCTAGGGCGTCCCATGGGACTAGATGTGGGTGGTAGAGGGTAGCGTTGGGGGAAGGCTGCCAGACAGCATGGAATGCACAATGGGGTTACTAGAAGAAAAGGGCTGATCCCAGCTTTGTGGTTTGCTGGGGATATCATCAAGGGCTGGTGATATAGGGGTGCTGCCTCCCCTTCTTCTGCAGGTGAAAGAGGCACATTCTCTCCTTTCATGTCTGAGATGTCTCCATCTTGAGCATGGCACTCCAAGCTGAAGTCATCAATGGAAGGCATGATGTACTGGATCTGCACAGGGGACTGCAGGCCATCTTGTGACCTCAGGATATGCCAGGAACAATCACAAGGACTGTGTTCTCCACGGTCAGCTGCAGCGCTGTCTCTGGGGCCAAGATGAGGATGACCTCTTCCAGGCTCAACCTCACTTCTGTCCCTTGTTCTAGGACTATGATGAGCTCCTCATTGCTGGAATCCTGCTGCTCCCGTGAAAAGATGGCCGTCAGTATTCTCCAAAAAGGCTGCAAATGATGCTGATGCGGAGGGAGTTGCCAGGAGCTTCACCCTCTACAAGTTTAAAATACACTCCCTCCCAGAATTGACTCTCGTGCTGACCCACCTAAATGTACATCCACTGGATGTCTCTTGAGCCTGAAGAGTGTGCAGCACTGTCCAATCTTTGCCATACAAGGACATACGAACTTACCTGGGGAGGTTTCTGGGACGGGCATGAATTCTGGTGTGGAGCTCCTGGAATTGAGGGTGTTTTGCAATCTTTGCCATGCAATGACATAATAACTTACCTGGGGAGGTTCCAGGGACTGGCCTGAATTCAGTGTGGAGCTCCTGGAATTGAGGGTGTTTTTGCACCTGCAGAGAGATCACAGTGAGGGAGGTTAAGGCTCTTCCAGCAAGAGTCTCTTGGATTTCAGAATATGACCTTCAGAAATCCACAACCCAGCACAGGCCAGCCTCAGGACACCAGCCCCCATCAATCAAGCATGACTTTCCACTCATCCTGCAGAAAGCACCCTCTCCTTTTATAAGATTGTGAGACATGACACTGACCTCCAGGCAGGGAGATCTTAAGAAATATCAGGGAAATTGCCTTACCTATACTGGTACCCTGCTCCACTTGGTGACGTTTGGGTGGATTCATTTGCGTGGTAGCCAAGCTGCAGGACAGAAAGGGATCCGTTAGTCTTCCACACAGAGTCTAATTCTCACAAGCCCAAAACTCCATTTATCATCCAGCACACATTCTTTCTGTGTCCCTCAGTCAAGTGCACTTGTGTTGGGCTCCAAATCCTACCTGCATCCAGTAAGTCCTAATGCTCATCTCCCCTCCTCAACTTTTCTAATGGCTTTTCCTATCGGTGAATGTGTGTGATAAGGGATGGTGACCACAGGAAACAGTTTGCTTTCTCAGGAGCTCATCCATCTGAGAAGGGACATCTAATTTGGTCTGAGGATTTTCAGGGAAGACGTTGTTATTTCAGGTATCTGAGCACCGTGTCTGTGCAGTTACAGTGTGAATGGAGTGAGAGATGATGGGAAATGTTTCATTTTCTAATGAGCACAGGGAAGAAATTTAGATCATGCCCACAGTTTACCTGTCTCCGCACAAGAGGTGACTTTCATTTAGAGAGGGAACATAGATCGACAGTGGGAGGAAACCTGAGATGAGCCCCCTGACAGGTCCAGAAACCCCCCATGCTGGCAGGATCCTATGGCCTCCACTGTGGGTCTCATGTCTCCGGCAGGTGTTCTAAATTTATAACGTTCAATGTCATGGCAGGCCAGGGTGCTTTCTCTGCCCTAGTTTGACCCTTTATCACACATTCACACCACACACACACACAAATGCACACAGTCACACATAGTCACATGGCAACCTCCTGGCAACCCAAGGTAAACACACACTAACATACCTGCTCTCTCCTTCATTGTCATTCTGCGATTCTGTCCAGGAATCACTAAGGCTTCTTTGGCGCCAGTAACCATACATGGTAAAGGTTCTCTAGACTCACTTGTATCAGAAAATTTCAATCTTCATCTTATTTTCTTATAAATCTATACAGTCTATGACTTGATCTTTTACTTTTCCTGAAGAAGATGATCAGCTCGGCACATCCAGAACATGGAATAGTGTGCCCTGGCCTGGGACAGGTTGAATGACGCTATGGTAGAATGAAATCTTGGGCAAATCCCAAAAGTTTTATAATAGAGAGAGCTGTGGGATTTATCAAAATGGATGAACACGATTGGCTAGTGTTGCTGATTAAGTAGTAGGACCTGCATGGGAGTGCTTTTATCAAAACTCAAGTGATATGGGTGTGCCCCTGTTAGAATTAGCCTAATCTAATCAAAATCAGTCTAATGTAACCTCTACTCTGATTCACCATAGAAATGTGATATAAAATATCAGCATTTTAAAATAGTGCTATTTACATTCTATTGTATACTATTCATTAATTAGGAAAGACAATTATTTTCTGTAAGTTTCATGTGCATAATCATTTCTGGGTAAACATAAAGGATTGGTTCTAGGAAACTTTGAAGGTAACAATATTTGTGGATGCTCCACTTCCTTGTATAAAGTGGTAGAGAATTTAGATGTAACTTACTCATATTAATTCATATAGCTTAAATTATCTCTAGATTACTTATAATACCTAATACAATGCCCAGACCTTACATTACTTACGTGTTCTCAACAAAGAATTTGGTGAAGGGAAAATTCAAATTTTTTTTTGTCGGGGGGTGGAAATTGTGTAAATATTTTCTGAATATTTTCTATTCAAGTTTAGTTGAATCCATGGAGCTGGAACCCATGGATGTGGAGGGCTGACAGTATTTTTTTTTTTTTGAGATGGAGTCTCACTCTGTCTCCCAGGCAGGAATGCAGTAGTACGATCTCGGCTCACTGCAAGCTCCACCCGCTGGGTTCAAGTGATTTTCCTGCCTCAGAGTACCGAGTAGCTGTGATTACAGGCATGTGCCACCACGCTTGTCTAATTTTTGTATTTTTAGTAGAGACGGGGTTTCACCGTGCTGGCCAGGCTGGTCTCAAACTCCTGACCTCAAGTGATCCATCTACCTCGGCCTCCCAAAGTGCTGGGATTACAGACGTGAGCCACCGCTTCTGGTGACAGTATTTTTAAATAATAAAATAATATGTATTTTAAGTGAAAGAACTTTTAAAATGAATCTCCTGGGGAAAGTTATCCAAACATAATAGGCTCATATCATAAGATGAGCTGGGAAAAATACCAAAAGGACCTTTACTTAATTTCTAATATATCACTATGTGCTAATCTGTCTGTTGGCTTATTTCTTGCCTGTATCCCCCACTGGAATGGTTTCAGAATTATAATGCAAGTTTCCCTTTCAACATTACTTATTAATTAAAAATCCATGATTTCCATGGACAAAGTCACCTAAACTTCCATCAGGAGGCCAGACACCAAATGCCCAAACTCAGAGTTAATCATTTTATGATTAAAAATTATTTGACAACATAAAAAAGGTTGGATGGTAATGGGGAGAAAAGATGACCAGTAAATACCAAAATTGAACTAAATGGAAATTCTGTGAGGCTGCACCATTACTGAATGTGCCGTCACTAACAGGCCCTTGAGCTCAGGATGTCATTCTCTCCCTAGAAATTGTATAAATTTGTTTGTAGATTCTTTCCATTTAGCTGATATCCTCCTCAGTCTTATTAGGTGAAGTACAGGCCCTGCTAACTTCTTAAAAGCGCCCACGGCGGACCTTAGTGTCTTTATTCAGAGGTCTGTCTGCTTTGTGGATTTCGGTCTTTTCTGAGCAGAACAGCAGATACTTTGCTGAAGATCAGATGTAGTTTGTTTGTTTGTTTTTCAGACGGAGTTGTGTTCTGTTGCCCAGGCTGGAGTGAGGTGGTGCAGTCTGGCTCACTACAACCTCTGCCTCCCAGGTTCAAGCGATTCTCCTGTCTCAGCCTCTCGAGTAGCTGGGATTAGAGGTGTGCACCACCATGCCCGGCTACTTTTTGTATTTTGGTTAGAGACGGGGTTCCACCATGTTGGCCAGGCTGGTCTCAAACTCCTGACCTCAAGTGATCTGCCCATGTCCGCCTCACAAAATGTTGGGATTACCGGCATGAGTCATGGTGCCCAACCAGATGTAGTTTTAAAGTTGGGTTACTTGGCCGGGCACGGTGGCTCATGCCTATAATCCCAGCACTTTGGGAGGCCGAGGCAGGCGGATCAGGAGGTCAGAAATTTGAGACCAGCCTGGCCAACATAGTGAAACCCCATCTCAACTAAAAATACAAAAAATTAGCTGGGTGTGGTGGCGGGCACCTGTAATCCCAGCTACTCGGGAGGCTGAGACAGGAGAATAGCTTGAACCCGGGAGGCGGAGGTTGCAGTGAGCGAAGATCACGACATTGCACTCCAGCCTGGTGACAGTGCGAGACTGTGTTTAAAAAAAAAAAAACGGGTTACTTCTCTACATTCTCTCTGGTTGTGGGGATCAGGTTAAGATATTCAAGAAACAGCTTACACTGAGGGTTCTGGAGTATGCATATTTTATGGTCAAGAAAGAGGCCCCTCATTGTGAGTTTGTGTGTGTCAATTCTAGCTGAAAACCTAGTAGAAGAAGAAAAATATGAGGGACTTGCCAAATATTCTACCTTTATAATCGCTTTGGCTATAAACAAAATGTGTTTTAACCAATAAATTAATAAAGTTATAGCTTAAAAATCTCAGGATATATCCTGCAACACAGAATAATGACTTATTTTTGAAGAAATATTTAAGCAATATATTTTCATTTGGGGTCCAAACTTGTTCACAAGTGTACCTCTTCCCCTTGCCTTTGAAATTAAAACCATTTTTTACATCTGCAGTGCTGTGATGAAGAGAAAGATGTGGTTCTGAATGCTTTATCGTCAACAACTGAATGTTGAATTAATGTCCCTCTCTTTCATTGTCTATTTTTCAGTGACTTTAGCACTGTAGGAAAGATGAGCCCCTCACAATGTGGAAATGCACGGAGGCAGAGCGCGGGTTTCCCTGCAAGGGCCCCTTTCCCACGGGCTGCACTGAAATTGTGTGGCCCTGCCCTGACCCGACCCCTTCCTCTGCAGGGTCCCCGTATTCTGTAGATTTTCCTCACAATTCTTCTTGTTTCTCCTCACAATCAATCCTCAATGAGGTCACAGGGAGGACATGTTACAGCCTGCTTCTATTATCTATCAGAAAGCCCTCCCTAACCCCAAATTTATACATTTGTAAAATAATGCTAAAGTATCCCAACAGAAAATACAGAATAAAACACGTGGCAACAGCCCTGAAAATGAAGTCTTTATGGCTGTTTCAGAAAAATATCCGGGATACTCTGCAGCGAATCTCCCTTCTCAGCAGTTAGGGCTGCGGACAGGAAGTTTTCCTCCTGATGGACATCGCCTTAGTTGCCCCAAAGCCAGGGCGGCGCCTCCTCCCTGACCAGAGGAAAGGAAACTCACGTACTTCCTGGAGACCCAGCCCCGCCTCCGCAGGCAGAAAGCGCATGCGCCCCGGAGGGCGGGACGGCGTGTTCCCTCGCCCTCTGCCGGCCATGGGGTTGCAGCGCAAGAGGCTTGGCTTCTACCGCTTAGCGATGGACCTAAGTCTCTGAATGGCTGAAATTCTGGTTTAGATTATTCAGTACCTTTCTTTTGGAGGATCAAATGAAAATAGAGCACGGTATCATTTGCTTTGATGGAAGATAACTGAAATAAAGAAGCAACGTCCAAGGACCATATACAAAAGGCGATTGATTCCCTGTATGTGGACGGAAGAGGAGCTTGAATAAGAGAAGGGTTCTGTGATACTTTAATGCTGGAAAACTGCTGCTATGCATTTGTCAAATCCCATACAATTTTACTGCATAAATAGTACATCTTAATGTGGCTCAGGACTACAGCTTATGTCATATAAGATTTGGGGGAAAATTACTATTTAATTAAATAGGTTAAACTGTGAACAATAATGTGAGCCCTGCCTGGACCAGATGGCTTGCCAAGCAGATGGCCATCCTCATCCTCACACAGTACTTGACAAAAACCCTGGCTTCAGTGTAGAATCACTTGTGGAGAATTTTTAGGATGTACCACTTCCACCCATGAATTAGCCCATTTAATTGGCCTCAGTAAGTCCATGGTTTCAGGATTTTGCAGTTTGCTAAAAGTTCAATGTCATCCCAATTTATTTCCTGGAACCATTTCTCCTTGAAGTTTACATTCAGTACTGAGATTTGCTAAAAGCCAATGCATTTCCAAGTTCTAGAGTCAAATCAGACGACGCCTCCTTGGTCAGAACTTTTATTTTGCTTGCGGAAAAGTATATTGAATCAAATATAAGAAGGGTTTGCATGGTGGCTGAGTGGTTAAGGTGCTTTATCTGCTAGTCCATAGTAAGGGGAGCACAACTGTGTCCTCTGTGTCATAACTCAGGACTCATGAATAAAACGTGGAGTGTCAGGAGATGAACTTCTACTCCCACCTAGGGGAGCTTCAAGGAGAACGTCTCAAGGGCTTTCTGAGGGAAAGAAGAGCAGGGATGCCTAATTCTCTGGCCCCAGGCAGTTGTTCATGGGCAGAGACAAGGGCTGGGGTAATTCAATGGTTTATACTGGGTGTTTTTGATACTGCCCCCATTTCCCTGTTAAATCTGTGTAATGGATCACTGAGAAACCTGGCACCTGGGGCTGAAGATCCCTGTTGTGTCAACTCCAGGGATGGATCCAGAGAAGTGGTTTTGGTGGAAGTTGGAATGAAGGGAGTTTGGCTGTGGGAAGAAAAAAAAGCTGTTGATGATGGGGAAACGGGAAGAGAAGGATGAAATCTCTACTCACATGCTAAGGATAGCTTATGCAAATCTATGTGTCAGACCTGCATAAATAAAACTAGAACTTTAACAACATATTAGATTTTTCAGCAACAGGTTTTATTGTTTCAATATTTGCAAGTATTTTTCTATTAAAAAATAATAAAGTTGCTTACATAATTTTGTATTCAAAATTCCCAGGTCACATAACTGTTATACATTTACACTTCACATTTTTAATGAGTAGATACATTCTCTAAATTATGAATTATTTGCTCAATTGTGTGTTAGTTTTTTCTTTTTATTCTCCATGACTCCGTTTTCTGACCTGAAATCTGCAGTATTTGGTAATCCACAAGATGATCAGTTGCCCTTGTAAAGACTTTCCTTTCCTATTTCCTTCTTAAGAAAGCATTTTTTACTGAGTTTTTTTGGTAACATACCAACGGTGGTACCTGGCTGAATGTTGGTTCACAGTGAGTAGAGACCAAGGCTTCTCTCAAATGGAGTCCCAAATTCTTTACAGAGCTAGGAATTCTCTACTCTGAAAGTCCTGTGTGTTTTAAGTTAGAGCTTTTGCAAACTATTTATTATATTGACAGTTTTCATTCTCATGTCATTCTCATGTCATTTATATTCATTTATAGCACCAAGTGTCCCCTCCTACTTGGAGAGATAATTTTGTTCTGTAGTTAGTTTAAAAAGTCTTGACTCTCCCCTCATCAAGCTGCCTTGTCATTCTGTACTTGGGTCTTGGGGCAGGCAAGGTCAGTAGGAGATGCCAGTAGAGAGTAACCACCACTAGCTTCACAAGAATGATGTGCTGTGACGAATTGTGATAGGGTTTTTCCTTCTCTTTGCCCTAAAGATTCTATACCATATTTCATGCTCTGGAGCAAGAGCAACTTCTTTCTCATGGTTTTAATCACAATAATCTGATTTCAAGCATTTAATTCCTTTTTTTCCAGAACAACTCATTGAATTATCAAAAATATGAAATTAAGGATACCTACTTATTGGCTTGAACTAGCTCTGAGCAATTTAGTAATCATGAACAGAATGGCTCTGCTAGAACAAAATTCCTGATCACTTCAGCCCATCCTTGAAAATTTGCAGAGAGAGGTCAAGGGAACATACACTTCCCTGAAAATTGTATTTTACAGACCCAGTTAAAAGGCCATGTAAGGAAATAATGGAGACAGTAGAAGAATAGACTTACTGATTAAACTAGGTTTTGACTGTTAATATAAAAAAACCAATACCCTTTCCAAGAGCACATTGAAATAGTGTAAAATACTAAGTACTAAAAGATATTTCCAAAATATAATAAAGACTAAAAATCTAAAGAGGCCTCATCATCTGAATCTGAAACAAAAGAGAATATTATTAAGACTTTTTAAAAAAAACCCTAATGAATTGGGGATCTCTTTCCTTTACTCCTCTGCTGTGGTTGGTCAGAATCCCCTTTCTATTCTGTCCTCCACCTCTCTCCTGATTCTCTTTGTCTGTGTCATCTATCCCACTATTTCTTGCCCACGTAACTTTCACTATTTTTTTCAACACCTTCTACAAAGCTTCTAGAACTCTTTCACTATCACTGCTTTTCAAAATCCATCAGAGACAGCTTCCCAATACTCAACGTTACCTTCTTTTTCAACCTCACTCTCCCTAGCTCCCTGGCTCTCTGGTTCTCTTTTGGCCTCTCTTTTTCTCCTTATGCCCTGGCTTCACATCTACATTCACAAGAAGAGAATGAAGAAGCCCCCTTCCCAATAAGAGCACGCCTTACACTGGGACTCCAAAATCTAAGCACACCCTGACAGGCACAGCCAGTGGAATGAGATCTGGGACAGAAGATCACAGGGCGTCACAGGACTGTGGCCGGTGATGTCCAAGCCGAGGGGGTTCAGGGGCCTCCCCGAGTCTGTGACTAAGGAAAGGCCTGAGGGCAGCAGGGCAGTGTCCCAAGAGACGCGAGGATGAAGGAGGGGTGCGGGCAGGGTGGAGGGCCTTAGAAGACTACTGATGTCTAAGAAATCCCAAAGCCAGCGGGAGGTTGTGGCCTTCCTCCTCCTGGCTTTGCCCACAAAGGGCCGCGAGGGGTGAGAATCCACTTCCGAGTGGGGACTTAGACGGGGCACTGGGTGGGGAGGGGAGAGGGTGAAAAGACAAAAGACACAAAAGCATGGCGGGGCACCAACCTCCCAGTGTCTGACAGCGACGTAGGGCTACTGCGGCTGAGACACGTAGGTGCGGGGATTGTGACGTCGGCAGTGACACCAGACGCCAGATCCTAGGTGTGGAGGATGGTGACACGGAGTTGTGAACAGAAAATATCAAAGTCCACTCCAGGAAAGGGGCCTTTCATCCGGAAAACCTGCATCCGGGTCCGCCGGAACCTGCGGTCTCAGGATGGGGTAGTGGGCCAGAAAGAGGGCAGAGCCAGTGTGGACCAGGCCTCAGCATCCCTGCTCTGTCCCCAGGGCGTATCGGGATCTGTCCCCACTTCCGGCCAGTGCAGCCTTGGTCTCCGCGTTTGCCACAACGCGAGTGTTTTACGTGCAGTGGGGCTAGGCTGCTTCCACCAGTTGCAAGTTGAGTGTTTCCGACATTTTATGGTCAGGGTAGTCAGACCACTTACAGTGGTTGATGACCCGGTTCATTCTGCACAAATTAAAAACAGTTTAGGAGGCTGGGTGCGGTGGCTCGCACCTGGAATCCCAGCACTTTGGGAGGCTGAGGTGGGCGGAGTTTGAGACGAGCCTGGGCAACAGAGCGAGACCTTGTTTCTACAAAAATACAAAAACTTAGCCAGGTGTGGTGGTGGGTGCCTGTGGCCCCAGCTCCTCCAGAGGCTGAAGCATGAGAATCACTCGAGCCCAGGAGGTCGAGGCTGCAGTGAGCCGTGATGGGGCCACTGCACTCCAGGCGGAGCAACAGAACGAGACCCCGTCTCAAACCAAACCAAACAAAACAATAACAACAAAAGTTTATGGCAGAAGTTCTTCTTCCTCTCTAGCGTGAGTGGGTGGAGCTGCACATCTTGAGTGGAGCAGGTCGTGGCGCCTTCACGACCCAGGGACCCCTGGCTGGAGGTGGCTGGACCAGGACCCCCACCAGCCCAGTCAGAACGGGCCATTTATTGTCAGAACTACAATGTGAATTGCCACAGTTGGCCGGTGGGGAGCGTGGAAATTCACACCAAGGATGAGGAATGTAGGTTCCTTTTCTACTCCTCAATCACCCGGGAGGCAGGGACAAAAGCAAGGGCTCTGTTCCAGGGACTTTTTGGGCCAGGACCTGAGCTGGGCCCAGGAGGCCCGAATCATTGCTTTAAAAGAACAAAAGTTACTGTGTATATTAATAAATTCCTTTATCCATCTTTATATTTAATGTGTTCTTTTCACATTTCTTAAGATGAATCATAAATCTGAATTCCTTTGAGACAAACGTGGATGACATCCCCTAATTTTCTTAGGTAATCGTTTTAGAATATATTGTAATTTCACATATTTCAGTGTTCTCAGCGCTGTTTGAAAAAATATTTTTAATTTAAAATATGGGATAGTTTAATGTTTTGTTTTCTGTTTCAGAGTATTTTGTGTCAACTATGGGTATTGAGGCATGTAAAATGCGTACCTTTTAGGAAATACATGATTTTGTTTAGAACTAATGAAAAATTAAATGTTCAATATTTCCATGGACATTTACCAAGGGATGTCTACTCTCACACAAGAACATTTTTTAAAATAGCAAAACTGCATTTTCAATTTTCAATAGGCCCATTAATATCCTTAATAAATGTTAAAGTGAAATATGTAAGTTAGCATTTCATTTTCTACATTTCCTGATTTTCCTTTTTCTTAAGTGCATGCTAGCTGGATTTTGGAAAGACCAAATCCCAACTGTTCACACTGCAAAGATTTCTCAAAGATTATTTCCAAATGAGGGTACCCTTCTGGTTTTCCCATAACTAATACCAGTTTCTTTAAATTTTAAGTTTTTTTTTAAAAAAAATCAATATTTTGATTCAAAACGGACTTAAAACTTGAATAGCTTCCCTTAGGTAATTGAACAGAAAGAACACTGGGATTCATCAGGGTACTTGGGGGATCAGCCCTGCTCACTGCTTCTCCAGATTTCCAGAGCTAAGTTTGTTAAGTTTGTTTCCCCTGAGCTGAGCTCATACCTCCCATAACTGCTGGGAAGTGGACACAGATTAAGGAGCCAGGATTGTATGCAATTTCAGTTGAAGAAATTCATACATCTGAGCCTTCCCATTTAGTTTTTCTGCAGCTCCCTCTCTCTTCACATAGGAGCCAAGTAATGTAGCTCTGCCTGTATGTACCGTTCAGACACTTCGACCTTCTCTACCAAATATTTTGTTTTTTGGTTTCTACAAAATATGAGTTTGGGGAGTCTTCAAATAGACTGAATTGATTCCTCTTGAGTCTGCACGGGACACACATTGTCTACATTTGGAAGCCCCTTACGAGAAACTAACCCACTAAATGAATGTCTGGGTAAATTAAGGTCTGCTCACTGTGTCTCTGAGTCTCTGATTCCATGCCTAGAAAATGGATCTGATAAAAGACGAGGAGTGGGCTGGGCGCGTTGGCTCAGTCCTGTAATCCCAGCACTTTGGGAGGCCGAGGCGGGTGGATCACGAGGTCAGGAGATCGAGATCATCCTGGCTAACGCGGTGAAACCCCGTCTGTACTAAAAGTACAAAAAAATTAGCCGGGCGTAGTGGCGGGTGCCTGTAGTCCCAGCTACTCAGGAGGCTGAGGCAGGAGAATGGCGTGAGCCAGAAGGCGGAGCTTGCATGAGCCAAGATTGTGCCACTGCACTCCAGCCTGGGTGACAGAGCAAGACTCCGTCTCAAGAAAAAAAAAAAAAAAAAAAAAAAAAAAAAGCTGAGAAGTGAAGTGAAAAAAATGACAATACATTGAAGCATAATTTTTAAAATTATGATTTATGATTACTATCTAAAACAAGATTTTCCTGTCCTACCTTAGAAAATTTCCTTAGCTTTTCCAGAAGAAACTACAACTCTACCAAAGCACAATGGTTGTAGGAAGGCTGTTTGATTGGGTCACTAAGAAGTCCTGATGAGAAGATGGTCCATCTAAAATGCAATGCAGTGTATATAAGGCAACATGTGTCCACATCACTTCCTGGGCATAACCAGCCCTACCTCCTCAGAGGGGATCTGATCCTAATGCACATGCATTTCCTTGGACAAAGGTAGGGAGTCTGATTCAGAGCTGCTCCAAAGCCTGTCCATGCAGAAGACTTTATACCTGTAGTTCTTGTTCCTACCTTGAATGTGAAGGAGTACACTCAGTTTCAGAGTGAGAGTTTTGATCTCTGTAAGTTCTATTTGAAAAGACCAGCGGTTGACCAAAAAAAAAAAAGAAAAAAAAAAAGAGGTACAGCCAAGGATTGGAATAAAGTCATAGGAACAGAGTCAAGCCCAGAAGAGCAGCAGTATTGAAGGACAATGGGTTAGGTTGCTAAGATTGATGGTGATCCTTATAAGTCAGCCTGTTACACTGTTTGCCTTGGGTCAACAGAGCTTTGTCATAGCTCTCTCTTGTAAGTTTCTTAAAATCACTAAAGAGGCTTGCTTGAACTCAGGTGTCTGAGATCAGCCTGAGCAGTATAGTAACACCTCATCTCTACTAAAATAAAAAAATTTAGCCAGACATGGGGGCATGTGCCTGTAATCCCAGCTATGATGGTGCCACTGCACTCCAGACTGGGAAACAGAATGAGACCCTGTCTCAAAAAAAAAAAAAAAAAAAAAAATCAGGAAAGTGCCCCATTTTCTACTACTCAGATCCTGTTGAGTTTCAGTGATGAAGGAGAGGTGGATCCAGACACCTGGAGCACCTCTTACTGCAGTTCATCTAAGTCAGCCTTTACCTGGCCCGCTCTGCTGTTCACACAGCCGGAAGGGCTTGTGCACGGGTTAGAAGACTACAGTTCTCTCTGTCATCAGTTTTCCTGGTTTCTCATACAGCCCCTTCTCCACATATAGATAGTGGAGATTTTGCCCAGGGGATTCCCTCAAGGTCTCAGTTTCATTAAACTTGTCAAGGCTTCCACAGATTGTTTTGCCACCTAGTGAGACTTGTTTCGAAAAAAAAAAAAAAAAAAGTGAAATGGGAAAAAAATTAAGTGGCAAATGAGAATGATAATAGTCCTCACAGGTGAAGGTGTCCATAGAGACAGAAGATAGGTGGCTTCATTTTGGTCAGCAGCTCACCTGGGCCAGTGGAATGTCTTTGTTTGGATGAAAAGGACCTTTCTATACCTCGACATAGACAATCAGGGACAGAAGTGCACCATATGAGCAGAATGGCTTTCATAAGAGAACAGAGAGTCCTTAACATTTTCGGTTCAGTTCCCCAGAAGAATGAAAGTGAGCAGTTTTGAATGGAAATAATTGTCAAATGGGAACATAAACTACAAATATATTGGCAACAAAGGAAGTTTAGCAGCAATACTCCTTCAGTTTCAGTTAAAGTGATTTACGCTAAGTTGATAAACCAGTTGGTTTAAATGGTCACAGGACATTTTGTCTGTGAAACCTCTCTGGACCCCAGTGACTCCAGTCGTAATTAGTCTAAATGCACATGTTCTAAACTCCCACAGGTCTCGGATCAGGATGTAGAACTTAACACATGGAATGTTCATTTGCTGTACATGTGTCTGTCTACCCAATAAAGTTTGAGCTTCTGTTCCTGGGGTTGAGCAAGGTGAACCACTTGGTCATGCCCTCTCCATACCTCCTTTACAAATGGAAAAGTGCAACACAGTGATATGCCACTGGACATGAAGGCAGCAATCCTGGATTTGAGCCTGAATCTATTTCTGCAACTAACTGGAGGTGTGTGACAGAGATCAATGGATCTCAGATGCTTCTGTGTTCAGTGATCAACAGGTCTCAAATGTCACTGTGCAGGAGACTTAATTGGAAAAGTCATTTTACAAATTTAGATTCTGAAGAGATCCCCATTTGAAAGTGTTAGAGTGGGGCATAGAGCTCTAATTATAAGTATTCTAGGCTAGTTACACTGACTATAATTAACCAATATAGTTCTGGAAGCAGGGACTTAAGTGATCTCTAAGGCTACTTCTAGTTCTAATATTTGAGTGTTCTAAGGATTCGTAGACATCTGAATATAAATCTTAGACTAATTTTTATGGTTTTTCAATTCACATGGGTGTGTGTATGCTCGTGTGTGTGCTCATACATCATGAAAAAGTAGAACTATTCCTTTACTTCATGCAAAGTTCAATCCACAAATTATAAGTAAATTTTAGATAATTGGCAGTGAGGGTGAATTTGTTAACACCAAGTTTGACAGAGTAAGAGCAGAGGCTGAAGATAATAAGACACTGATCTAGAACAACATCAGTGAGGAGAAAGAGGGAAGGAGATAATTGCATTAAGATTTACAGGGATTAATAAGCAATTTATGCAGATTAATGTCATGAGTAAATTGTGTGACTTATTCAGAAAAGTAAGCATTCCTGAGTAAACCTCTACTTTTAACCTGAATGTCAAGTAAACGATAGTAATATTTTCTAAGATTTAGAATATTAAATGAAGGCCAGATTTGGAAGCAAACCAATAAATTGCAATAAAGACATTACCTTTGAAGTGCCTATCAGAAATCCACTTAGAGTAGCTCAGTAAACTTAAATTGGATACACAAGTAATGGAAGGTTGAAAAGGCACAGAGATAACCATACAAAAGGGATATCGCCTTTTAACATATAGGAACAAAGGAGTAAAGTTACTCTCATGGGCTAGCGCCCAAAATTATCTTACTTGTACGCAGCTAGAGCTTGAACCTATGAGGAGGAGACACAGTACCAGGTGCCCATGTCTCCTAGTGGGTTACACCACATCAGTCACGCTTAAAATTTGAAGGGAGCAATGCTCAATGACTGATGTGCAGGCAAATGAGGCAGAGGCACTTGATAGCCAGTGTTCAGACTTCTGAGGAGGAGACATGGTCCAACAGGTGCTTGGATAGACAAGGTGCATAGAAAAGCAGATTGTAGCTCAGCCGGTCCTCTTAGAACCAAGGAGGTAGAGCTAGGATGCTGCTGGTCCTTTTCTGGCATATTTGTGGGGCTGCTGAGAAAGTGGAAAGAATATAAAGCCTGAAGCCTGGAGCCAACCATCTGCTGCTATTGGAATGGGGCTGACAAAAACGGCATAGAACAGATGCCTTCACTCTTGGTCTTGTTTTCCACTCTCCTGCTAATACCTTTCATTAAAGGTGCTAACAAGAAGCTAACTGGCCAAGCAGTATAACAAATGCTGTTTTCAGAGTCCCAGCACAGCACCACAGAGCAGAGTAAAGAAATCATAAAAGTAAAGAAGTAACACCATGTCATTAGTCCATAAAGAGTGGGAACCATGAGAATGGAGGAGATTGTTTGGAGATAACACGTATAATAAGAAGAGAATGAAACATAGGTGAAAGCAATCCTAGCCAAGAGAATATGAGGAACAGTCAGCAAAGAAGACTGAGAATGTGTGGAGAAGACAAAGAGAAATGTCCAGCAGACAAACATTCTCACGGCCAGAAGAGAGAGAAATTAAGGTGCAGGAGATAGATCACCTTGTAAAATGTTTCAGAAAGGGCCTGAAGGATGAATACTGGCCATAGGTCACTGGAGTTGGCCCTGGTAATTTATTAAGAGAAAAACTACTATTAACTGACTAAGGAGGTACCTGGTACCTTTATAAAGAGAAATTCCAATAGTATGATGAGAGCTAAAATAATCTTCTTCTTCTTCTTCTTCTTTTTTCTTCTTCTCCTTCTTCTTCTTTTGAAACAGGGTCTCTTTTTTTTTTTTTTTTTTTTGAGACAGAGTCTCCCTCTGTCACTCAGGCTGGAGTGCAATGGCATGATCAGGCTCACTGCAGCCTCAACTTCCAGGGCTCAGCCCCCAAGCAATTGGGGCTATGGGTGTGAGCCACTATACCGGGCTTTTCTTTTCTTTTTTTTTTTTTTTGAGACGTAGACTTGCTCTTGTCACCCAGGCTGGAGTGCAATGGCATGATCTTGGCTCACTGCAACCTCTGCCTCCCGGGTTCAAGCGATTCCCCTGTCTCAGACTCCCAAGGAGCTGGGATTACAGATGCATGCCACCACGCCTGGCTGCTTTTTGTATTTTTAGTAGAGACGGGGTTTCACCAGGTTGGTCAAGCTGGTCTCAAACTCCCGACCTTGTGATTTGCCCACCTCGGCCCCCCAAA
This sequence comes from Homo sapiens, assembly GCF_000001405.40. Taxonomy (NCBI): domain Eukaryota; kingdom Metazoa; phylum Chordata; class Mammalia; order Primates; family Hominidae; genus Homo; species Homo sapiens. The sequence goes on from NW_018654717.1 coordinate 708,346, forward strand.
GTGCTGGGATTACAGGCGTGAGCCACTGTGCCCAGCCTAAATTTTTAAATTTTTGTAGAGATGGGGTCTCCCTATGTTGCCCAGGCTGGTCTCGAACTCCTGGGCTCAAAGGATCCTCCTGTCTTGGCCTCCCAAAGTGCTGAAATTGCAGGCATGAGCCTCCATGCCTGGCTTTAAGAGATTTCTATAGGTTGAGAAGGAAACAGGGTATAAAAACACTGGAGACAGGAAATGTATGCTATATTTCAAGTCATTTGACTGACAGAGAAAGAAGAGGAAAAATAAAAAATGAAGAAACGAGAAAGTCTAAACACACTTAGATTCTCAAAGGCAGTTAGTTTTATCTGAGACAATGTTTAAGGAATTTCTAGGGAAAATGCAGAACAGAAAAATCCTCTGATTGAAACAGATAACTTTACATATTTTCCTCCAGCATAGTTTTCAGAATAAGAAAATTAGCACCATGAAGACAAGTGGCAATACCAGAAGATCTTTCAAAACACATTTTATTTTTTATTTTAAAACATTTTACACGTTGTCTTGTTCCAGATTTTTTTTCCTCTTTTATTTACATCTCTACAGGAAGCCAGCTTAACTGAATAGAGAAGGACATTTTCTAGAGCAGCGCAGAGGGATTTTACTTCTTCTGTTCTGGGATGGTGTACTATAAATCTTCTACGATGAAATGGTCTGTGATATATGCTTTCTTCTGCTGGAAAGCTGGGACTCCAAATTTTGGCAAATTAGGGAAAAGGTAAGCCTCAGTTTGCCATTGTTATGCTCTGAAAGGGCAGGGTTTGCAGGATTACAAAAGAGATTCTTAGAAAGTGTCTTTTTTTCTTTCTATGGTTTTTTTTTTTTCAGTTTGTTTCAATTTCTTCCTCCATTTAACTGTTCACCTGAACCCGCTGAGAAACGTTCCATCTTTAGGACTGCCTTTTGTTGTTCTATTATCTTCCAGCCTGCTATTTTGTGGACATGCTAAGCAGACAAGTCCAGAAAGCCCGAAGTTGGAATATAAATGTGACTAAGTCAGTAACTGTATAATCTTCTTCAGTCTCACTCTCCTCATTTGTAATAAGGGCACTGAATTCGATGACCTTTGGGGAACTTACTGCTTCAGAAACCCATGATTTGATCAATTCTCACTGCAAATGGCCAGAATGAAGATGTTGCTCAAGCTACAGCCAACTTGAATTTTGATATGGGTGCATTTCATTCTAAAACTTGATGTTTTAGATCGAACAGGTAAATGAACAAGAATCTAAACAGTTCCTACCTATAAAAGAGAGAAAGGAGTACATGACAGTGATACTGCTGAAGCAGCCACAATGAGCATCTAGCAGGTATTCCGTTTACTGAGAGGTTCAATCTGCTCACATTATAGATACCAGAATCCTGGCACAGAGGGCCCAATGTCCTACATCTGTTTAAAGCCAGAGCTATGACTTTAGAACTCAATTCACCTGAGTGCCAGTCCAACCATTCCATTCCATCTGTTTTATCTGTGTATTCAATGGCTCACTTTTATATAAAGTAAAAGAAATCATTAATAGGCCCTGTGTCAGGAACTGAGAGTGCAAAGGTCAACAAGATATAGTGTCTGCCTGGAAGAAGTTCACAGCCTAGGAAGGGTATCTCCTTGTAGCACTGGGAACTGGACAGACATGGCTTCAGATAATCCAACCTTTGCAGATCAAAGAGAGATGGTCCAGAGAGATTTATCCCACTGATATCGCAGCCAGAGAATCTTCACCTCTTTGTTTCTTGCAGCTGGTGCTTAGTTTTTAATGTTTCTTTCTGTTTTTGCAGCAAAATGGTGCTAATTCAGCTCTACAGCCCCCAATCTTTACTTCAAAGGTAAGACATTCGGCTTCACAGTGACCTTCCATTCTCTTACTAATTAGTGCTCTATGAATTGCTGTCCTGGCTAAGTAAAGAAAGCAATTTGTCTTCAGTTATCTAGTAATTAGTAACTGTAAGATAAAATTACATCGCCCAGGCCAAATTCAGACTTCCTCATTACCATAACTCCTAGAGACACAGACTATAAACCTAGAAATTAGAAAAATCAGATGTTATCTGAACAGTCATGTCTGAGCTCAGACCCCTGGTACAATATAATCAATGTCCTTATTAAATAGCCAATTGGAAAAAAACAGAAAAGATTTTCATATGTCAAAATCATATCTAGCTTGTACAGAAACAGAATGTTTCTTCCAAGGAAGATGACAAAATACTTTCTAATTCCAATGAACGATCCTTACCAACAGATTTTTTTTCCCCTGTATCCAAATAGTCTCTGATTTATAGCAAAAGTTAAAGATTGTTCTGTTACATTATAGGCAGGCCAATAGTAGATCATATGCCCTGGCATATGATTTTGGAGTCTCACAGTTTTAGGTAGAAAGATAAACAACATGATGCTAGTCCTTCTCAATTTACTGTGCAAAGAACACCAATGGAATCGTGTATTTAGCTCTGGCAAGCAAATTTAGAGAGACATAGGCAATGTGTGTTCATTCATAACAGAGATTAGGTTGAAGAGGAAAAAATATGTCAAAACAGGAATCTTTTTTAATTGGTAAGATACATTCTTAGGAAACAATAGTGGAAGAAGTAGCAGTTCTTCTCAAAAGGAGTAATGTTTATTCCTGGAAATAACAACTTTGGGGGAGAAACAGTACATATTAGCTGCCATATATCTGAAATATTATCATGTGGAATATATTTTGTTAGTGCCAAGTTAAGGCAAAGACTAATGGAAAGAAATTGCAGGGGCTTAGATTTCTGCTCAAATTAAGGAGAAATTTTTGAATAGTCCAAAGTTGAACTTGGGATACTGTGAACTACAGATCACTTAAATTTATCAGGCAACTGGACAATCAGTTGAGACACACACGCACACACATACACACACACACACATATATATATATATACATGTATAGGGTGTTCAATACTGAATCAGGACAGAGAACAAAAAAATAAGTAGAAGAACAAATGACCAACAATGGTAAACTCTAACATAGCATAGAGTATGTGCCTGCCACTGCTCAAGCAGTTATACAGAGAGATTGTTAAACTGTCCCAAAGCAGTCAGTTTTACCTTCAGACTTTTAGTCATAGAACCTCTGGGTTTAGCTGGACACATGAATACTTAGCTAATCACATCAGCTCCTAGCTTCCTATTTCTATATGTCCACATGAACAAATTTGGAAAAATGAAAAAGGAGTGGAATGATGTGAGCTGCTTCTATGTAATCTTAATCAGGTTCTATACTTTCTAACCCTGCCTGTTAGAATATCCTTGGAACCAAATAAAATGGTCAACTGTTTAGGATGGCAGGGTTGACCTTCAGCCCAAATCACAACATAACTTGGTGAAAAAGAACCCTCTACCCGCACCTAGTCAACTTAGCTATTTTTGGACTTTTACATGAAAGAGAAATAAGGTTTTGTCTTTCTTCAGTCATTCTATCATTAAGATTCTTTATTATAACAAGTTAGTTTCTAATTAATATAACAAGTTTATTCATCTTCAAAACAATGCTATTATTATTATCATTTATAGAATGGCAAGTAAAACACAGGGTGCATACAGCTTATAAAGATTAGCACTGAGATCCAAACTCATATAGTTTGGCCTAATAACCTATGTTTATTACCTTTTGTGGGGAAAAGCAAGAGAGATCAGATTGTTACTGTGTCTGTGTAGAAAGAAGTAGACATAGGAGACTCCATTTTGTTATGTACTAAGAAAAATTCTTCTGCCTTGAGATTCTGTGACCTTACCCCCAACCCCGTGCTCTCTGAAATGTGTGCTGTGTCAACTCAGAGTTAAATGGATTAAGGGCGGTGCAGGATGTGCTTTGTTAAACAGATGCTTGAAGGCAGCATGCTCCTTAAGAGTCATCACCACTCCCTAATCTCAAGTACCCAGGGACACAAAAACTGCGGAAGGCCGCAGGGACCTCTGCCTAGGAAAGCCAGGTATTGTCCAAGGTTTCTCCCCATGTGATAGTCTGAAATATGGCCTCGTGGGAAGGGAAAGACATGACCGTCCCCCAGCCCGATACCCGTAAAGGGTCTGTGCTGAGGAGGATTAGTAAAAGAGGAAGGAATGCCTCTTGCAGTTGAGACAAGAGGAAGGCATCTGTCTCCTGCCTGTCCCTGGGCAATGGAATGTCTCGGTATAAAACCCGATTGTATGCTCCATCTACTGAGATAGGGAAAAACCGCCTTAGGGCTGGAGGTGGGACCTGCGGGCAGCAATACTGCTTTGTAAAGCACTGAGATGTTTATGTGTATGCATATCTAAAAGCACAGCACTTAATCCTTTACATTGTCTATGATGCAAAGACCTTTGTTCACGTGTTTGTCTGCTGACCCTCTCCCCACAATTGTCTTGTGACCCTGACACATCCCCCTCTTTGAGAAACACCCACAGATGATCAATAAATACGAAGGGAACTCAGAGGCTGGCGGGATCCTCCATATGCTGAACGCTGGTTCCCCGGGTCCCCTTATTTCTTTCTCTATACTTTGTCTCTGTGTCTTTTTCTTTTCCAAATCTCTCGTCCCACCTTACAAGAAACACCCACAGGTGTGTAGGGGCAACCCACCCCTACATCTGGTGCCCAAAGTGGAGGCTTTTCTCTAGGGTGAAGGTACGCTCGAGCGTGGTCATTGAGGACAAGTCGACGAGAGATCCCGAGTACGTCTACAGTCAGCCTTACGGTAAGCTTGTGCGCTCGGAAGAAGCTAGGGTGATAATGGGGCAAACTAAAAGTAAAATTAAAAGTAAATATGCCTCTTATCTCAGCTTTATTAAAATTCTTTTAAAAAGAGGGGGAGTTAAAGTATCTACAAAAAATCTAATCAAGCTATTTCAAATAATAGAACAATTTTGCCCATGGTTTCCAGAACAAGGAACTTTAGATCTAAAAGATTGGAAAAGAATTGGTAAGGAACTATAACAAGCAGGTAGGAAGGGTAATATCATTCCACTTACAGTATGGAATGATTGGGCCATTATTAAAGCAGCTTTAGAACCATTTCAAACAGAAGAAGATAGCATTTCAGTTTCTGATGCCCCTGGAAGCTGTTTAATAGATTGTAATGAAAACACAAGGAAAAAATCCCAGAAAGAAACGGAAAGTTTACATTGCGAATATGTAGCAGAGCCGGTAATGGCTCAGTCAACGCAAAATGTTGACTATAATCAATTACAGGAGGTGATATATCCTGAAACGTTAAAATTAGAAGGAAAAGGTCCAGAATTAGTGGGGCCATCAGAGTCTAAACCACGAGGCACAAGTCCTCTTCCAGCAGGTCAGGTGCCCGTAACATTACAACCTCAAAAGCAGGTTAAAGAAAATAAGACCCAACCGCCAGTAGCCTATCAATACTGGCCTCCGGCTGAACTTCAGTATCGGCCACCCCCAGAAAGTCAGTATGGATATCCAGGAATGCCCCCAGCACCACAGGGCAGGGAGCCATACCCTCAGCCGCCCACTAGGAGACTTAATCCTACGGCACCACCTAGTAGACAGGGTAGTGAATTACATGAAATTATTGATAAATCAAGAAAGGAAGGAGATACTGAGGCATGGCAATTCCCAGTAACGTTAGAACCGATGCCACCTGGAGAAGGAGCCCAAGAGGGAGAGCCTCCCACAGTTGAGGCCAGATACAAGTCTTTTTCGATAAAAATGCTAAAAGATATGAAAGAGGGAGTAAAACAGTATGGACCCAACTCCCCTTATATGAGGACATTATTAGATTCCATTGCTCATGGACATAGACTCATTCCTTATGATTGGGAGATTCTGGCAAAATCGTCTCTCTCACCCTCTCAATTTTTACAATTTAAGACTTGGTGGATTGATGGGGTACAAGAACAGGTCCGAAGAAATAGGGCTGCCAATCCTCCAGTTAACATAGATGCAGATCAACTATTAGGAATAGGTCAAAATTGGAGTACTATTAGTCAACAAGCATTAATGCAAAATGAGGCCATTGAGCAAGTTAGAGCTATCTGCCTTAGAGCCTGGGAAAAAATCCAAGACCCAGGAAGTACCTGCCCCTCATTTAATACAGTAAGACAAGGTTCAAAAGAGCCCTATCCTGATTTTGTGGCAAGGCTCCAAGATGTTGCTCAAAAGTCAATTGCCGATGAAAAAGCCCGTAAGGTCATAGTGGAGTTGATGGCATATGAAAACGCCAATCCTGAGTGTCAATCAGCCATTAAGCCATTAAAAGGAAAGGTTCCTGCAGGATCAGATGTAATCTCAGAATATGTAAAAGCCTGTGATGGAATCGGAGGAGCTATGCATAAAGCTATGCTTATGGCTCAAGCAATAACAGGAGTTGTTTTAGGAGGACAAGTTAGAACATTTGGAGGAAAATGTTATAATTGTGGTCAAATTGGTCACTTAAAAAAGAATTGCCCAGTCTTAAACAAACAGAATATAACTATTCAAGCAACTACAACAGGTAGAGAGCCACCTGACTTATGTCCAAGATGTAAAAAAGGAAAACATTGGGCTAGTCAATGTCGTTCTAAATTTGATAAAAATGGGCAACCATTGTCGGGAAACGAGCAAAGGGGCCAGCCTCAGGCCCCACAACAAACTGGGGCATTCCCAATTCAGCCATTTGTTCCTCAGGGTTTTCAGGACAACAACCCCCACTGTCCCAAGTGTTTCAGGGAATAAGCCAGTTACCACAATACAACAATTGTCCCCCGCCACAAGCGGCAGTGCAGCAGTAGATTTATGTACTATACAAGCAGTCTCTCTGCTTCCAGGGGAGCCCCCACAAAAAATCCCTACAGGGGTATATGGCCCACTGCCTGAGGGGACTGTAGGACTAATCTTGGGAAGATCAAGTCTAAATCTAAAAGGAGTTCAAATTCATACTAGTGTGGTTGATTCAGACTATAAAGGCGAAATTCAATTGGTTATTAGCTCTTCAATTCCTTGGAGTGCCAGTCCAAGAGACAGGATTGCTCAATTATTACTCCTGCCATATATTAAGGGTGGAAATAGTGAAATAAAAAGAATAGGAGGGCTTGGAAGCACTGATCCAACAGGAAAGGCTGCATATTGGGCAAGTCAGGTCTCAGAGAACAGACCTGTGTGTAAGGCCATTATTCAAGGAAAACAGTTTGAAGGATTGGTAGACACTGGAGCAGATGTCTCTATCATTGCTTTAAATCAGTGGCCAAAAAATTGGCCTAAACAAAAGGCTGTTATAGGACTTGTCGGCATAGGCACAGCCTCAGAAGTGTATCAAAGTATGGAGATTTTACATTGCTTAGGGCCAGATAATCAAGAAAGTACTGTTCAGCCAATGATTACTTCAATTCCTCTTAATCTGTGGGGTCGAGATTTATTACAACAATGGGGTGCGGAAATCACCATGCCCGCTCCATTATATAGCCCCACGAGTCAAAAAATCATGACCAAGAGGGGATATATACCAGGAAAGGGACTAGGGAAAAATGAAGATGGCATTAAAATTCCATTTGAGGCTAAAATAAATCAAAAAAGAGAAGGAATAGGGTATCCTTTTTAGGGGTGGCCACTATAGAGCCTCCGAAACCCATACCATTAACTTGGAAAACAGAAAAACTGGTGTGGGTAAATCAGTGGCCGCTACCAAAACAAAAACTGGAGGCTTTACATTTATTAGCAAATGAACAGTTAGAAAAGGGTCATATTGAGCCTTCGTTCTCACCTTGGAATTCTCCTGTGTTTGTAATTCAGAAGAAATCAGGCAAATGGCGTATGTTAACTGACTTAAGGGCTGTAAACGCCGTAATTCAACCCATGGGGCCTCTCCAACCCGGGTTGCCCTCTCCAGCCATGATCCCAAAAGATTGGCCTTTAATTATAATTGATCTAAAGGATTGCTTTTTTACCATCCCTCTGGCAGAGCAGGATTGCGAAAAATTTGCCTTTACTATACCAGCCATAAATAATAAAGAACCAGCCACCAGGTTTCAGTGGAAAGTGTTACCTCAGGGAATGCTTAATAGTCCAACTATTTGTCAGACTTTTGTAGGTCGAGCTCTTCAACCAGTTAGAAAAAAGTTTTCAGACTGTTATATTATTCATTATATTGATGATATTTTATGTGCTGCAGAAACGAAAGATAAATTAATTGACTGTTATACATTTCTGCAAGCAGAGGTTGCCAGTGCTGGACTGGCAATAGCATCTGATAAGATCCAAACCTCTACTCCTTTTCATTATTTAGGGATGCAGATAGAAAATAGAAAAATTAAGCCACAAAAAATAGAAATAAGAAAAGACACATTAAAAACACTAAATGATTTTCAAAAATTACTAGGAGATATTAATTGGATTCAGCCAACTCTAGGCATTCCTACTTATGCCATGTCAAATTTGTTCTCTATCTTAAGAGGAGACTCAGACTTAAATAGTAAAAGAATATTAACCCCAGAGGCAACAAAAGAAATTAAATTAGTGGAAGAAAAAATTCAGTCAGCACAAATAAATAGAATAGATCCCTTAGCCCCACTCCAACTTTTGATTTTTGCCACTGCACATTCTCCAACAGGTATCATTATTCAAAATACTGATCTTGTGGAGTGGTCATTCCTTCCTCACAGTACAGTTAAGACTTTTACACTGTACTTGGATCAAATAGCTACATTAATCGGTCAGACAAGATTACGAATAATAAAATTATGTGGAAATGACCCAGACAAAATAGTTGTCCCTTTAACCAAGGAACAAGTTAGACAAGCCTTTATCAATTCTGGTGCATGGCAGATTGGTCTTGCTAATTTTGTGGGAATTATTGATAATCATTACCCAAAAACAAAGATCTTCCAGTTCTTAAAACTGACTACTTGGATTCTACCTAAAATTACCAGACGTGAACCTTTAGAAAATGCTCTAACAGTATTTACTGATGGTTCCAGCAATGGAAAAGCAGCTTACACAGGGCCGAAAGAACGAGTAATCAAAACTCCATATCAATCAGCTCAAAGAGCAGAGTTGGTTGCAGTCATTACAGTGTTACAAGATTTTGACCAACCTATCAATATTATATCAGATTCTGCATATGTAGTACAGGCTACAAGGGTTGTTGAGACAGCTCTAATTAAATATAGCATGGATGATCAGTTAAACCAGCTATTCAATTTATTACAACAAACTGTAAGAAAAAGAAATTTCCCATTTTATATTACTCATATTCGAGCACACACTAATTTACCAGGGCCTTTGACTAAAGCAAATGAACAAGCTGACTTACTGGTATCATCTGCACTCATAAAAGCACAAGAACTTCATGCTTTGACTCATGTAAATGCAGCAGGATTAAAAAACAAATTTGATGTCACATGGAAACAGGCAAAAGATATTGTACAACATTGCACCCAGTGTCAAGTCTTACACCTGCCCACTCAAGAGGCAGGAGTTAATCCCAGAGGTCTGTGTCCTAATGCATTATGGCAAATGGATGTCACGCATGTACCTTCATTTGGAAGATTATCATATGTTCATGTAACAGTTGATACTTATTCACATTTCATATGGGCAACTTGCCAAACAGGAGAAAGTACTTCCCATGTTAAAAAACATTTATTGTCTTGTTTTGCTGTAATGGGAGTTCCAGAAAAAATCAAAACTGACAATGGACCAGGATATTGTAGTAAAGCTTTCCAAAAATTCTTAAGTCAGTGGAAAATTTCACATACAACAGGAATTCCTTATAATTCCCAAGGACAGGCCATAGTTGAAAGAACTAATAGAACACTCAAAACTCAATTAGTTAAACAAAAAGAAGGGGGAGACAGTAAGGAGTGTACCACTCCTCAGATGCAACTTAATCTAGCACTCTATACTTTAAATTTTTTAAACATTTATAGAAATCAGACTACTACTTCTGCAGAACAACATCTTACTGGTAAAAAGAACAGCCCACATGAAGGAAAACTAATTTGGTGGAAAGATAATAAAAATAAGACATGGGAAATAGGGAAGGTGATAACGTGGGGGAGAGGTTTTGCTTGTGTTTCACCAGGAGAAAATCAGCTTCCTGTTTGGATACCCACTAGACATTTGAAGTTCTACAATGAACCCATCAGAGATGCAAAGAAAAGCACCTCCGCGGAGACGGAGACACCGCAATCGAGCACCGTTGACTCACAAGATGAACAAAATGGTGACGTCAGAAGAACAGATGAAGTTGCCATCCACCAAGAAGGCAGAGCCGCCGACTTGGGCACAACTAAAGAAGCTGACGCAGTTAGCTACAAAATATCTAGAGAACACAAAGGTGACACAAACCCCAGAGAGTATGCTGCTTGCAGCCTTGATGATTGTATCAATGGTGGTAAGTCTCCCTATGCCTGCAGGAGCAGCTGTAGCTAACTATACCAACTGGGCCTATGTGCCTTTCCCGCCCTTAATTCGGGCAGTCACATGGATGGATAATCCTATAGAAGTATATGTTAATGATAGTGTATGGGTACCTGGCCCCATAGATGATCGCTGCCCTGCCAAACCTGAGGAAGAAGGGATGATGATAAATATTTCCATTGGGTATCGTTATCCTCCTATTTGCCTAGGGAGAGCACCAGGATGTTTAATGCCTGCAGTCCAAAATTGGTTGGTAGAAGTACCTACTGTCAGTCCCATCAGTAGATTCACTTATCACATGGTAAGCGGGATGTCACTCAGGCCACGGGTAAATTATTTACAAGACTTTTCTTATCAAAGATCATTAAAATTTAGACCTAAAGGGAAACCTTGCCCCAAGGAAATTCCCAAAGAATCAAAAAATACAGAAGTTTTAGTTTGGGAAGAATGTGTGGCCAATAGTGCGGTGATATTACAAAACAATGAATTTGGAACTATTATAGATTGGGCACCTCGAGGTCAATTCTACCACAATTGCTCAGGACAAACTCAGTCGTGTCCAAGTGCACAAGTGAGTCCAGCTGTTGATAGCGACTTAACAGAAAGTTTAGACAAACATAAGCATAAAAAATTGCAGTCTTTCTACCCTTGGGAATGGGGAGAAAAAAGAATCTCTACCCCAAGACCAAAAATAGTAAGTCCTGTTTCTGGTCCTGAACATCCAGAATTATGGAGGCTTACTGTGGCCTCACACCACATTAGAATTTGGTCTGGAAATCAAACTTTAGAAACAAGAGATCGTAAGCCATTTTATACTGTCGACCTAAATTCCAGTCTAACACTTCCTTTACAAAGTTGCGTAAAGCCCCCTTATATGCTAGTTGTAGGAAATATAGTTATTAAACCAGACTCCCAGACTATAACCTGTGAAAATTGTAGATTGCTTACTTGCATTGATTCAACTTTTAATTGGCAACACCGTATTCTGCTGGTGAGAGCAAGAGAGGGCGTGTGGATCCCTGTGTCCATGGACCGACCATGGGAGGCCTCACCATCCGTCCATATTTTGACTGAAGTATTAAAAGGTGTTTTAAATAGATCCAAAAGATTCATTTTTACTTTAATTGCAGTGATTATGGGATTAATTGCAGTCACAGCTACGGCTGCTGTAGCAGGAGTTGCATTGCACTCTTCTGTTCAGTCAGTAAACTTTGTTAATGATGGGCAAAAGAATTCTACAAGATTGTGGAATTCACAATCTAGTATTGATCAAAAATTGGCAAATCAAATTAATGATCTTAGACAAACTGTCATTTGGATGGGAGACAGACTCATGAGCTTAGAACATCGTTTCCAGTTACAGTGTGACTGGAATACGTCAGATTTTTGTATTACACCCCAAATTTATAATGACTCTGAGCATCACTGGGACATGGTTAGACGCCATCTACAGGGAAGAGAAGATAATCTCACTTTAGACATTTCCAAATTAAAAGAACAAATTTTCGAAGCATCAAAAGCCCATTTAAATTTGGTGCCAGGAACTGAGGCAATTGCAGGAGTTGCTGATGGCCTCGCAAATCTTAACCCTGTCACTTGGGTTAAGACCATTGGAAGTACTACAATTATAAATCTCATATTAATCCTTGTGTGCCTGTTTTGTCTGTTGTTAGTCTGCAGGTGTACTCAACAGCTCCGAAGAGACAGCGACCATCGAGAACGGGCCATGATGACGATGGCGGTTTTGTCGAAAAGAAAAGGGGGAAATGTGGGGAAAAGCAAGAGAGATCAGATTGTTACTGTGTCTGTGTAGAAAGAAGTAGACATGGGAGACTCCATTTTGTTATGTGCTAAGAAAAATTCTTCTGCCTTGAGATTCTTTTAATCTATGACCTTACCCCCAACCCCGTGCTCTCTGAAACGTGTGCTGTGTCAACTCAGGGTTGAATGGATTAAGGGCGGTGCAGGATGTGCTTTGTTAAACAGATGCTTGAAGGCAGCATGCTCCTTAAGAGTCATCACCACTCCCTAATCTCAAGTACCCAGGGACACAAAAACTGCGGAAGGCCGCAGGGACCTCTGCCTAGGAAAGCCAGGTATTGTCCAAGGTTTCTCCCCATGTGATAGTCTGAAATATGGCCTCGTGGGAAGGGAAAGACCTGACCGTCCCCCAGCCCGACACCCGTAAAGGGTCTGTGCTGAGGAGGATTAGTAAAAGAGGAAGGAATGCCTCTTGCAGTTGAGACAAGAGGAAGGCATCTGTCTCCTGCCTGTCCCTGGGCAATGGAATGTCTCGGTATAAAACCTGATTGTATGCTCCATCTACTGAGATAGGGAAAAACCGCCTTAGGGCTGGAGGTGGGACCTGCGGGCAGCAATACTGCTTTGTAAAGCACTGAGATGTTTATGTGTATGCATATCCAAAAGCACAGCACTTAATCCTTTACATTGTCTATGATGCAAAGACCTTTGTTCACGTGTTTGTCTGCTGACCCTCTCCCCACAATTGTCTTGTGACCCTGACACATCCCCCTCTTTGAGAAACACCCACAGATGATCAATAAATACTAAGGGAACTCAGAGGCTGGCGGGATCCTCCATATGCTGAATGCTGGTTCCCCGGGTCCCCTTATTTCTTTCTCTATACTTTGTCTCTGTGTCTTTTTCTTTTCCAAATCTCTCGTCCCACCTTACGAGAAACACCCACAGGTGGGTAGGGGCAACCCACCCCTACACCTTTTATATTGATCATTAAATTCACTTCTAACTCTGAGATTCTATGTGATTATGGTGATGGTGGTGGTTCTAATTTGTGCCCAAACTATGCTTATTATTGTAATTCAAATACATCTGAGATGAGTTTTGTGGACAGGGAGCTATTAGGCATCCACATCTATAGACTGATCTGAATAAATTGGAGTACTGATTAAAGTGGATGGAGAAGACAATTTTAAATGAGTTTATCTATTCTGGAGCATTGTCTGACATCTGCAAAAAGATGCTGAGGGCAGAAAATCGGGAACTGATTTTACAACTGAGACTTTCATGGAGTCACTGAAACTTTCATGGGGACATTGTTCCCTGGCTCTGTTCTTTAGTTCTAGTCTTGCCTATTTCCAAATGTGCAAAACAAATACTACTTCCCAGGAAGCCTTTCTGCATTTCCTAGTTAGAACCAAGTTTCCACATCTATGACTTCTCTTTATAATTTGCATCTTTTATGGCACTTGTGAAAACTGTTTCATATTAAAGTTATTTGTGAATTTTCCTGTCTCATTGATATACTTACTTATACATGTTAAATGTATTGAAAGCTTATTTACCACTACAAGCAACCTATTTTCGAACAACATAGAAGGAATAGACTAATAACTTCAAGCAAATTAAGGTCAATGTCCATGCTTTATATTTTTACCTCTTCGTTTTACCTACCTTTATCATAGTGGACAGAACAATTTCTTACAAGTGGTTAGCACACATTCAATATCTATTGGTTTTCTAGGACTACTGAGGACAGAATGTGTAATAAAGGAATGTAGAAATTCAGGAGCCATGAAGGAACAGACAGGGGGCTTCATGATGCATGGAGAACCTCTAATAGGAAAAGCTTCACAACAGAAGGAACGAAGGATAGTTGAGGAGGTATGGACATAAACATTTCTTAGGAACAGAGTCGTGGTTGTATGAAGCAAAGAGAATCTCAAAGACGCAAAGACTTAAGAGAATAGTAAGCAAGATGTTAGTTTAGTGGTTTTAATGGCATAATTTCCAACCAGTGTGTGAAAGCCAAAAAGTCTAAAATAATGTATGGATAAGAGATTTGGACCGACGACTCAGACATGAAAAAAAATTAGCTGTCTAAGAATCTAGTAACATAACTTTAGTTTAATTTAGACTACAAAGGCTGTACTTCCCTAACTTAACAAATATGTTTGGCATTTCCTTGGATAATCTTTTCTTTCTTTTTTTTTTTTTTTTTTCATTTTAAAGAAATCACTTTAGAATATGCTGGCCAGGCGCGGTGGCTCATGCCTGTAATCCCAGGGCTCTGGGAGGCCGAGGAGGGCGGATCACGAAGTCAGGACATCAAGACCATCCTGGCTAACACGGTGAAACCCCGTCTCTACTAAAAATACAAAAAAATTAGCCAGGCGTGGTGGCGGGTGCGTGTAGTCCCAGCTACTCGGGAGGCTGAGGCAGGAGAATGGCATGAACCTGGGAGGCAGAGCTTGCAGTGAGCCAAGATCGCACCACTGCACTCCAGCCTGGGCGACAGCGCGAGACTCCGTCTCAAAAAAAAAAAAAAAAAAAAAAAAAAGAATATGCTGAACCTGCGTTGCAGATTACAAAGGAGGAAAGAGATCTAAAAGTACAAAGATGTCTGAATTCCTTGGCAGAGCTGTTAGGGAAGTTGACTGGAAACTATTATGGATGGAGATGGTCCCGGTCAATGTGGTCCCATTGTTTTGTGTCGGAGCTCAGGAAAAGATTTTCAGTGACTGGTTTGCCTTGGAACCTTCAACTTTGTAAAAGTTGAGCTTTCATCTCAAAAGACAGATCCTGAGCAGACTGTCATCTCTACTTCTAGAAGAATTTCCCTCTTACCTTGGAAAATTTGAGCAAGAAGAATGAGAGCAGCCAAAATAAAGACAAATATTTTCATGGCTCCAGGCATCAGTGGAGAGCTGATGAAGGAAGTGCAGTAGCTGGAATCAAGCTCTTTTATCAAGGGGCATTGATTAAAATATGTTCTACTGCCCTGAAGGGACTGGAAGTCATCCTCGGTTTGTAATGTTCATTGGGAACATACTATTTTCCATGCTCCACTGACTAATGTGTGGGCTGATGGATCAGATTTTAACTAAACCACATTTGTGGGAGACAAACGCAGAGAACCCTGCCTTTCTGCCTGGAATATTCTATTCTGTGTCTCTGCTTAGACTTCTCTCATTTTTCCTTCAAGTCTTATCTCAAGTATTACCATGTCTATAAGATATATAGCCACCACGCTTTTCCTAGTACATGATTTTACATAAAACCTATTCTTAAAATAATAATTAAAACAAACACACAAAAACCTTTAATTTTAAATTCAGGAGTACGTGTGCAGGTTTTTTTTTTTTTTTTTTTTTTTGACAGGGTCTCGCTGTATTGCATGGAGTGCTGTTGCTTAAGGAGAAAAGGGTTAATCCATTGAAAATACATAAAAACCATTAACATGTTTTTATATTATTTGATTTAATTAAAGGGAGAAATAGACACTTCTATATTCATAGTAGAAAATTTTTACACCACTCTCTCAGCAACTGATAGAACACAGGGAAAAATTAGCAAAGTCATGCATGATCTGAACAATACCACCATTCCACTGACTGCATTGATATTTATAGAACACATCATAAGACAACTGCAAAATACACATTTTTTTCAAGTACATATGATACATTCATAAAAATGAACCATATGCTAGGCCATAAAACAAATATTGATGTGTTTAAGCACATTTAAATACTTCAGAGTGTATTTCTCACCACAAGGGGATTAAATTGGCAATCTATAAAATAAGCTATTTAGGATATTTTCAAATATGTGGAGATAAAGCAACATCATTCTAGATTGTGTTTGTATCAAAGAATAAATAATGAGAATAATTGGAAAGCATTTCTGTATATCGAATTTTGTGGAGCACAACAAAACAATGACTTTGAAAGAAATTTGTATCCAAATACTTATTGTAGAAAAGAAGAAATGTTTAAATCTATGACTTAAAATTATGCTCTAAGAACCTTAGAAAAGGGAACAATGTAAGCCCAAGTATGCAGAATAAGTGAAAAAGAAGTTATCACTACAGATCCAAGAAACATTAAACTAATATAAAAATGTTGTCAACAGGTATATGCCAAAACATTTCACAACTTACATAAAATAAAAGAATTCTCTCAAAAATTTAACTTACCAAAATTGGCACAAGAATTAGCAGAAAATATAAGTATTTCTGTATGTCTTAAAGAAAGTAAGTGTGTTATTAAATGAAGAATGGCTTCTGCTTAAGATGTAGAAATACGTAAAGAAAATCATCCCACATGAAACAAGTACACAGCAAAACACACGGCAGACTGCAAATATTCAGTTTCTTGAACTCATTGGAAAGCTAAGGTCACAAATCAGCCACCTACCTAGAAATATAAGAAAAGACAGGAACCTCCAAAAAATAAAGACCATGAGTGCTTGCTTACCTGAAGCAGATTACCCCCAGAATATGATTTAAAAGATTTCAGGTAAAGTCTGTAGAGAATTGCTAAGAGCAAGCATAAACTAGAGAAACAATATAAATGTCTGGGGTCACAGACAAAAGAGAAGTTCACAGCAACTTCTAATGTCTTCTCCATAGACTCAGCAGGTGCTTACAAAAAAGATTAGAGTATTTCATGATGTAAGTCGGCTGAGGGGAACAGTAGCCACTGTGAGAAAGAACGAAAGCTTGCAAGAATCTTTCTCTTTTATGGAAAAGAAAGTCTTAATTTCTTAATTAAGAAACTGAGGGAAGAACAACAGTTGTTTGTACGGCACTGGTGAATGAACAATCTAAAAAAATGCAAAACAAAATATTAAAGCTAGGAGAACGAGGAGAAGGGAGCACATTAAAAAAGAAAAACAAAGAACATCCTCTACCTTTGTCAACAGAGAAGGCATACATGCCTCCTGCCTGTAGAAAGATGACAGAATAACTGCAGCAAACTTCTCATCAAAAAATATGCAAGCCAGGACAGGTGTGGTGGTTCACGCCTGTAATCCCAGCACTTTGGGAGGCCAAGGTGGGCAGATCACTTGAGCCAGGAGTTTAGTTCGAAACTAGCCTGGGCAACATAATGAGACCCCTATCTCTACAAAACATACGAAAATTAACTGGACATGGTGGCAGGCACCTGTGGTCCCAGCCACTCAGGAGGCTGAGGTGGGAGGATCACTTGAGCCCCAGAGGCAGAGGATGGGGTGAGCCGAGATCATACCACTGCACTGCAGCCTGAGCTTCAGAGTGAGACCCTGTCTGAAAAAAAAATCGAGGCAAAATAAAATAGAGTAACATCTTTACAATGTTCCAGTGGAGCCATTTGGCCCTGGGTTTTACTATGTGGGATTTTTGTTAGTGTTATTACTGTCAATTCATGCACTTTATTTGTTATAGGTCCATTTTAGACTTTCTATTTCTTCTTGAATTAGGTTTGATATGTATGCATTTCTAGGCATTTATTCATCTAGATTATCAAAATTGTTGCCATAAAATTGTTTATAGTATTCCTTAATAATATTAAAAAATACTTTTGTAAGATCTTTTGTAAAACTTCTCTTTCACTCATGATTTTAGTAATATGAGTATTCTCTTTTTTTCTTAGTCAGTCTAGTTAGAGGCTTGCCAATTTTGTTGATCATTTCAAAAAATAAATTTTTGTTGTGTTGATTTATTCTATTGTTTTCTTAGTCTCTATTTCATTTATTTCCGTGCTAATATTTATTATTTTCTTCCTTGTGCTTGCTTTGGGTTTAGTTGGCTCTTCCTTAATTTTCTTGAGATGGAAGATAATTTACTGATTTTAAATCTATCTTCTTTATAAATACAGGCATTTACAACCATACATTTTCCTGTAAGCATTGTTTTAGCTGCATCTCACAGTTTTGGTAAGTTGCTGTTGTGTTGTATATTTTAAAGTGTTTGGGGGCTCCCTTTAAAATATTTTCTACATTCCCTTATGTTTTCTGCTTTGACCCATCATTTATTCACATTTATGCTGTTTAATTTCCACATAGTTGTGACTTTCCCAAATTTCTTTCTATTATCCCATTTTGTTCAGAGAACATACTTTGTATGATTCCTATCCTTTTAAATGTATTGAGGAGCTTGTATTTAAATCTAACATACAGTCTATTCTAAAGAATATTTCATGTGAACAGAAGAAGAATGTGTATTTTGCTGTAATTGGTGCAGTGTTCCACGCTTTGAGGTCATTGTGTTACAGTGCTATTCAAATCTTGTATTTCCTTGCTAATCTTTTTTCTAGTTGTTTTGTCTATTATTAAAAGTGGTATATTAAAGTCTCCTGCTATTACTGTTGACTTCTCTATTTCTCCCTTCAATTCTGTCAATTTTCTCTTCATGTATTTTGGCACTCTGTTGTTAGGTGCATGTTTTTATACTTGTTATATTATCGTGATAGATTAACTTGCTAACATTACAAAATGCCCTTCTTCATCTTTAGTACCAATTTTGTCTTAAAGTTTGTTTTGTACACTATTGGTATAGCCACTACAGCTCTCTTTTGGTTATTGTTTGTATGGCAAATCTCTTTCCATCCTTTTACTTTCAGTCTCTTTGTTTCCATGAATCTAAAGTGTAAAGAAAGTGTTCCTGGACCAAACGGAGAGTTGGGCTGCTATTTCTCACAGCCCAATAACAAGATGCAAATAAACTCGGGAGGAAGAGAGTTTTTATTTCTGCAACCAGTTATAGGGAGAAGTCCTGGAAATTATCGCCAGACCAACTTAAAATTACAAAGTTTTCCAGAGCTTATATACCTTCCAAGCTATATGTTTATGTGTAAGTGTGCATTCATCTAAAGACATAAGTTATTAACTTCTTTTAATCTATAACTAAGGTCTGAGTCCCGAAGACCTTCCTCTGGAGCCTCAGTAAATGTACTTAATCTAAATGGGTCCAGGTGCTGGGGTTATTACCCTCACCTTGTCTCCTGCTAAATCACTGATATTTGGGGAGTTTCTTCAGACCTCCTATAAACTTGTTTAATCCTAAACGGGTCCTGTTAAGAACTCCTTCATTAGTTTGTCATGCTTTAAGGCCCAGGAAAGGCCTAAGCAAAACTCTTAGTGGGCTTTTGTTACATTCAAGCCTTTATATCAGGGCACTGGCTTTTTAAGCTTTTAATATTTAACTTAACCCCTCAGTGGGTACTAAAGCAGTTGTTATGGAGTCTTGCGTTAGTGAGACTTGGCCTGCCATGAAAGGGAACAATTTGTGACTAGGTGAGCACCTGTGGGAGGTGTCCTCTGCAGCTGCCATCTGGATGCTACATGAGGTCATTAGTGAGGTAATATCAGGGCACAGCTACTGGTCTACCACTTTGTATGACTCTGAGACACTCACATGAATCTTTCATTAAAAGAAACTTCAACTAGGTTCCAGAGCATTTTTTTAAGATAAAGCAATGCAGTATTTGGAATGAGTAAGTAGTATTCCAGTTTCATGGTGTTCTGTAAGCTAGCAGCTGCATTTGCACTGTGGAGACCTGGGGAGGAAGACCATCTGCCAGCAGAAAATTACTGTGAACTGGACTCTTAAGACCAAATACCCCACTTCCCACTTCCCTGGGGTAATTCCTGTGTAAATGAAGGAAACACTCTAGGCTTCTTGAGGGCTGTGTTTCAAATCTCTTTTGGAAAACAGTGGATCATATGTAAATAGAGTGAATCTAAAAATTGAACCAATCAAGCATTAAAAGGGTTCCCCCAATGGATAGTTCTATAGAAAGAATTTAATATGTACAGATAAAGTGTTGGAAAAGATGACAATGCAAAGCGGGAGCAATGAGGCAACCCTACTGATAGTCACAGCAGAAATCTCCCACTGCCCTAAGGTTTGAGGAAAAATGGAAGGATTTGTGTGAGCCTGGGAGCAGCACTGGCTGGCAGAAGCTAAACTTGCGGTGGGACTGCCAGGTGAGTGCAGAAGACAGAAAAGCAGCGGCCTTGCTGAGCATGAAAAGCCACTGCTGGAAAAGAGAGGGAGTCGGGGAGAAATTCACATTGTCCTTCCTTCTTCAATCTCCCATTCTCCTAGGAGACACATTGACCAAAACTAGCCAGAAGTCAGGAAGCCTGGAAAATGTAGTTTGCAACTAATAGTTCCCATTTTACTCAGCAAAGCAGAAAAAAACAAGGAACAGATTTGAGCACAAAGAGACAAATAATAGGCCCAAATGTTAAACAAAACATTGTTTAATCTCATACGTTAAAACTAAGTAACCAAGTTCAAGTCACTGGTCATAGGGCTGGTAATTTTGGCCTTTATTTTGTGAAGCTGGATTTTATTTCACAAGGCAAAATTAGACAGTCAACCATTTATGCATATTCTGTGTTGAACATTTTAAGTTAATCTCTAATCATTTTCTTTCACAGGTAAATACACCATAAGTACTAGAATCAATGAATGACAATATTTAGACAAACCAAGAAATAATGTGAATATAAAAATAATGTATTATATTTGATAGAATTATTATTCCATTAACATAGTTAGTACATATAGATGGATACATAAAACATGACAGCAATGTGCACAGCAGTTACTGGATCCTAGCTATGGCTCTGAAGAATTAACAGCCTCTTGAGCCTCAATATTTTCAAATATAAATGGCAGTAATAAAACCTACCTCATAAGGTAATCATGAGTCATATGAGAGAAGTATGGAAAATACTTCATAAATTGTAAGGTACTCTACATATACATAGTAGTGGTATCTGATTGAGCAGATACTAGGTACACACTCATGTCTTGATGTTTTTTAAAGGTCATCTCGCCCAGCATGGTGGCTCATGCCTATAATCCCAGCACTTTTGGAGGCCAAGGCGAGCAGATCACCTGAGGTCAGGAGATCGAGACCAGCCTTGCCAACATGGTGAAACCTCATCTCTAGTAAAAATACAAAAATTAGCCAGGCATGGCGGTATGCGCCTGTAGTCCCAGCTACTTGGGAGGCTGAAGCAGGAGAATTGCTTGAACCCGGGAGGTGGAGGTTGCAGTGAGCCAAGATCGAGCCACTGCACTCCAGCCTGGGCGACAGAGTGAGACTCCTTCTCAAAAAAAAAAAAAAGAAAAAAAGTCATCTTTAAAAAATAAGCAATAAAACGTAACAAAGGGAGAAAGAAATGAGAATGATTCTGAGACTCACTCACTGTGTGATTTGGATAAGCCACATAACTTCTCTTGAACTTCTTTGAATATCCAGGTCTGCTTCTAAGGCCAGAAGTGTGCTGGTCTGGTTTGTCAGATCCTCTGTCTGCAGCAGAGAAAGTTCAGCCTGCAATTTCCATCGGGCTTCTCATTCTCCAAGCACTCCTTCCTGCATTTTCCCCGACCAAGCTTGCACGACTCACAGACAGCAAACTCACCTGTGCCAAGAAAGAGCTGCTGAGGGAGCTTTCCAGGAAATGTCTAGAAATGGGGAACATGTCAAAGACCACCAAAAAAAAAGGGACAGTTCGTACGTATGATTACAAAGAATATTTTCAAGAATCAGCCCAGATTTTTCAAAAATAGTTTCTGCTTTTTGCAGTAGGGAGTTGGGGAGAGTTAATTTTTATGCAACAGATCATCGCAATTCCTACTCTCCAAGTGTTTATAATCTGGCAGGGATCAAAAGTAAACCACAGACAGACAAAGAGACATACATATTACAGAACTATAAAAATACATACCTGATATGACTGTGAAGTTTACTAGACAAAAAATGGGAGGGGTATATTGTGGTTTTTTAAAGATCCTTGAAGATCAACTCTAGTTTGGGCCTAGTAGCCGGCAGGTTAAGGTCCATATTCTCATTTGTCCAGTGGCCATTCTAGAAGCACCTGACTACATTTTTTAAATCAGTTTAGGGATCAAATGGAATATTATATGTAAATATTTTCATTATAATAATACCTACCACATAGGACTGTTTTGAGGATTACATGACAAAGTCCATGTAAAGTTTTTAGCAGGATGCCTGGTACAGAGCAAACACTCAAGGACTAGTAGCAACCTTCATATTTCTCACTTTGAAATTCTGTCTAAAACCATTTCAACTTTGTCTACAATATTTCTTTTAGTTTTGTTTACAATGTCCTTTCTTTCTGTATAAGATGACTTCAAAGAAAAAGAAAAGATCTGGGGGCTATTCGTTATGAATAGCTTTTCTGCAATGGTGCTGAGTTTTCACTGAGGCAACCTCACTCTTTAATTTGAGCTTCCTTCAACTAACCTCATGCATTTGTGACATATATTATTACCAGACTTAGCAGCAGAGCTTGCAAGAGATGGGCAGGCGTGTTCACAGAGCAGTGCTAATTGGCTGGTACAAGAATAAATCTAAGAACTTGGTTTAGTGAGCACCAACAGCTAATGGGAAAAGCCACTGAGTCCAAATCTCTATGGCCAAATTACAGTCCAGTCACAAAGATATTTTTCTGTGAAATCAAAAATATCCAAATATTATACTTGGAACAAGAGAAAGAGAAGGAGATAAGTTAGTGAACTGATTTTTCAGACAATTCTATTTCTGCCACTATCTCTGTCCCCTCTTTGCCTCCAGACATCAGAGAGACCTAACAGCGCCAGAGCTCCTAAGAGAAAAAATAATTATATACAAGAGATTTAACTTACCTGATGGAAATGGTTGGGAAAAATCAAGTCCTGCCTGGCACCCTAAATTCAAAACAAAATACATTTTGAAAATTAAAATCAACACAGGAATTAACACTGTATAAAACACTCCCAACTTCACATGTGACATAGCATAACAGGAGACAGTAGATCACAGAGTTGCAATCTTTATTCTGTTTCTCAAGGCCAGCATTCCAGGTAACCAGCAAAAACAAATTACAAAAAAAAAAAAATACACTATATGCTGTTTGCTCTTAGTAAATGTCACTGTAGGTCTAAGAAATTCCCATGACAGGTGCCATGAGAGCTTGACCATTAAGGTCAAACATGGAAGAATCAACAGGCTTTATAATCTGCCCAATCAAAATCCCATCCATTTTTACTTACCTGATGGCAGTTGAACCAAAATGAAGAACATAGCAAATAGAAAATAAAATGTCTTCCTGATCAGGGCCATCTTTTAGGGAAGACTCTTCGGAATAGAGATTGGGATTTCCTTGAGAAGACCCAAATGAGAGGCTCATTTTTATTTAAAAGTAATGGGGAGATGCTCTTGATCCGTGAAGTGAATCAATAAAACACAATTATATGCTCCATTTCCCAGGATAAAGGGATGATATCATGGATAATAACCCTTGGCATCCAGAAAGCCTTTTATTTTGGGGAGTCTAACTGGTGTAGTGGAAAGAACACCAGGCTAGAGGTTGAAAGAGCAGGGGCCATGTGAGTTTCCACCATACTAATGCAGGGGCCAGAAGATAGTGACCCCTTTCATCTCTTCCAGCTTCTGTTTTCTGGGAGAAAATAAGAACCCACTTGCAAATTCTGCCTGCCTCTAAAGGTGTTGTAAGAATCTAGTATGATTATAATGCAAAAGTGTTTTGAATATGTGGAATGCTTGGAAGGAGGCCTGGTACCATGTAAGAACTCAATAAATGTGGACTCTCACTTTTCTAGCTTTCATTTTTATTCTCTACAAGTATCACAGGGAGAAAAGGAGGGGTAGCAATCATTTTGTCAAGTTAGCTCTGAGTCCCCTTTCCTGTAAGATATCACCTCACGCACCAAAGCCATAATTACTGCATATTTTAAATTCATTAAGGACATGAATATTGGCCCAGATGGGTGGCTTATGTCTATTATCGTAGCTTTTGGGAGCCTAAGGCAGGTAGATTGCTTGAGCCCAGGTGTCTAGGGCAAGGCATGATGGTTACCAGCCCCTTGCTGCGCCAACAGTGCCATGGTACAGGTGAGCAGCATGGCAGGACCAAGCACGAAAAGCGTGCAGCATACAGCAAGATTCACATTTTTTAACAAATATATGCTTAGGTCAAGCCCTTTGCCAAGTTTACAAAGCTCAAAAAGACTGAATCTGGAATTCAGATTCCACCTCACTACGGTTCCTCAGCTCTTAACTGAAGCATTGAGATATTGTATAATTACTCCCATTTTACATATGAGTAAACCAAAGCTGTTCAGGAACACAGCCAGGATTAGAAACGAAACTACTGGACTCCAGATTTTTTTATTTTTTCTGTGTCTGCCCTACTCTGTCCTCCCTTCATCCCCACTTTCCTTCTTCAAAACTTTCCAGAATCAGAAATATGATGAGCTGTAGACTGAGTGACACCCACTGAGGTTGGGTGGGCTCTGTGCAGCAGAGCATGGAAATCCTCTCGTTTCTGCTAAGCCTCACTGATCAAGATGTTACTTGGTCTGGAGAAATGTATAAATGTGGGTGTTTGCGGCTCTTTCCTCATGGACACGGTGCTGATCTCTCAAGACCCACCCAGTCATGAGGACTTTCCTCTTTCTCTTTGCCGTGCTCTTCTTTCTGACCCCAGGTAAAATGGGCATCTTTACAGGGAAGGTGATCGGAGGTGGTGTCCCACAGACAGGGTCCCCTTCAGTGAATGCCTGGGCGTGATCAACCCATCTACTACAAGAGGTGATATCCCCCAACGCCTCTTCTGTAATTCCTTTGCATTTTACATTGTTATCTAGGAGGGGCTGTCACAGGTTTGAAAGAATAAAAGAAGGCCAGGAAAGATGCCTTTTGGCATCCCATCTCATGCTCACTAACAAAAACAAAAATTGAGAAAAAATTAAAAACAAGGATAGCAGTCTATGAACCTTTTAAAATGTAGTTATGGTAGAGATTGAGACAGGTAAGGAGAAGGGACAGGTAAGGATCTGAGCTTAGAGACACCTATGCACTCATGCCAGTCATGGCAACAGGTAAAGCAGCGTAACTTGGACTGCCATTTCTTGATCACATATCATCAAGCCAAGTACTGTGATGAGAGCTTCACATAAAATGCATCTAGTCTTCCAGTGCCAGCGCCTTTACGGAAAACTCTGTCTTACCCCTAATTTAATGGAAGTTAGAGAAAATCTTTTTGGGTTTGAAGGTCCATTTTACAAATTTTATTACAGATGCAGAAATTGTGCCTCAGATGGGCTCAGTGCTTCTCAGAGTCTTATAGATAACCAAAACAAAGCCAGGGTAGGAGCCCAACTGTCTTGCCACAGTAAGAGGCATTAAAGACACCCTTCCCATATCAAAACTCTCTTCATTTTCTCCTGCTCCTGGGAATCTCCAGTGGCTCCAATTGTATCCTCTTCAAAATTAAGGCTTAAGACCAGGCTCATGTGAGCCTCCAGAGAGCTGAAGAAAGGGATTCTCAGAGCCCACAGTAACTCCCAATTTGTGCCAGATACCAGTGATATACGATCCCAGGTATGATGCTCAACTTTTCACATCAGCTGCTCATAGCTCTGGTCTGTTTTGTGACAAGCCTGTGAGAGTAGATTCTGTGTCAAAACATGAGGATCTAGGACCCACAGTGACCTATGCCGTATTCAGGCCACTGGTTTTGATATGCACGTTCGAAACTGGCCAGAGGTATCTTTTTCAGATCACTCATACTTATTATATAATAAGTCAAAAAAAAGATGTTATATACTATAAAATTATCTGTTAGATAATACTATAATTATAAAAGTATAATTAGTTACTATAATTATTATGTAATTACAGATACTTATCTATAATTACATAATGCTTGTTATATAATTATTAGATAATCTAATAATTACCTATTAGATATACTAGAGTATAATACTATAATACAATAGTATTAGAGAAAATCTTTTTGGTTTAGTTTAGTATTATAGTATAGCATAGTATATACTATAATTATTTACTGATGTTACAGTATGGTATTGTACTAGTATTATATACTATATAGTATTGTACTAGTATATATTTTATATATATATATATACATATTTTTTTTTTTTTTTGAGATAGAGTCTCACTCTGTTCCCCGGGCTGGAGTGCAGTTTCACAATCTCAGCTCACTGCAACCTCTGCCACCGGGGTTCATGCGATTCTCCTGCCTCAGCCTCCTGAGTAGCTGGGATTACAGGCATGTGCCACCTTGCCTGGCTAATTTTTTGTATTTTTAGTAGAGACGGGGTTTCACCGTGTTGGTCAGCCTGGTCTCGAACTCCTGACCTCGTGATCCACCCTCCTCAGCCTCCCAAAGTGCTGGGATTATAGGTGTGAGACACTGCACCTGGCCAGATACTATATTATACTAGTATATTATTACTAGTAGTATTATATACTAGTATGTAATATAGTATATATACTAGTATAATACTCTAGTATATAGCATAGTATACATACTAGTATAATACTCTAGTATATAGCATAGTATACATACTAGTATAATACTCTAGTATATAGTATAGTGTATATACTAGTATAATACACAAGTATATAGTATAGTGTATATACTAGTATAATACACTAGTATATAGTATAGTGTATATACTAGTACATACACTAGTATACAGTATAGTGTATATACTAGTATAATACTCTAGCATATAGTATAGTGTATTATACTAGTATAATACACTAGTATATAGTATAGTGTATATACTAGTATAATACACTAGTATATAGTATAGTGTATATACTAGTATAATACACTAATATATAGTATAGTATATATACTATTATAATACTCTAGTATATAGTATATATACTAGTATAATACTCTAGTATATAGTATAGTATATATACTGGTATGATAATATAGTATATATACTATATTATTACTAGTAGTATTATATACTAGTACATAGTATAGTGTACATACTAGTATAATACACTAGTATATAGTATAGTATACTAGTATAATACACTGGTATATAGTATATATACTACTATAACACACTAGTATATAGTATAGTATATATACTAGTATAATACTATAGTATACACTATTATACCAGTATATACTATAATACTAGTATTTTTATAGTATATACTAATCTATACTATGATACTATACTAAACCAAAAAGATTTTATCTGAATACCACACTATAGTCTATGGTATAGTATTATATTAGTATCTGCCTTACAGTAGGGCAGAGAGAACATAGACCCCTGCCAGTGAGAGCCAGAGTTCATCGAGCTTTGAAATAGTGGAGTATTTTCACTTATGAACTGATGTGCTGATCCTGGATAATCATTAGTGCATATGCTGGCACTAATCCACCTGGCTGTAAGTTTTATGTAGATTTGAATTAGGCACCTTTATATGTTGACATTAAATGTATATACATTATAGTATAGACATTAAATGCAATCTCTGTACATCTGATGCCTTCATTATATATACACAAATTGGGCAGCTCTAAAATGTTGATCCTGATAAGACGTGCTGTCTGTCCTTAACTTGAAGCAGGCTGCTCTTGGGACTGCTACTGATAAAGCCCTAAGGTGGGAACTGGAATTCTCCACAAAATGAACTGAGAAAATCTTAGAAAAACATTCCCAACATGCTGCACCCTCCTTCTCTAAAGCACAAGTTTTCCGCAGTCGTTGCTTTGGTGAATATGGAGGAGAAATCAGGCTGAGCCTTCCAAGCAAGTTTCTATCTACCACAGTAAACTCATTCTCTTTTTATATCTTTATCCCTTCCTTTGCTCTAGTCTGGAGCTATCTCCTCAGTCTCAGCTCTTGCTCTACTCTCACCAAGTAGCAGCCTCTGAGAGTGCACTAGGAAAATTAGCAGCCTCTGGGAGTGTTTATGGGAACAAGTTGATAATTATCCCCAACAGATTTCGATTAAAGAACCATAGCTTAGGGACGTTTCCCAAAGCTCCTACACAGCTTGGTCTCAAATGCTGGAAGACAAATGTATTCTTTCCGGTATTTCACCCTGTGTGACTATGAGACTGAAATATCAGATAAAAATCAGGTCCCCTACCATCTCATCTACCGGTAGGATATGGCACTATGACAGCTTGTGAAAAAATCTTCACCAAGTAGTCATACAACCGTATCTGGTAAACATACATGTCTGAAAAGGGAATTAATCCAAATGGCTCCTTCCCTCGTGTAGCCAAGAATGCATTTTTTGATGAGAAATGCAACAAACTTAAAGGGACATGCAAGAACAATTGCGGGAAAAATGAAGAACTTATTGCTCTCTGCCAGAAGTCTCTGAAATGCTGTCGGACCATCCAGCCATGTGGGAGCATTATAGATTAATGCAGAAGATTTAGGTTTCCAGAGAAGCATACATAACCTAGCTTCTTTTTACTCTTGCCTCTGCTGTAGGCAGACACTTTAATAAAAATAAATGACTGTCTTTGCTCAGTTTGTCAAGTGTTTCATTTAGAAAGGAGAACAACACTGCCTGACCTTGATGCTCCCTCCATCCCGGTTTATTTTTCTATCATTCTGGAGTAGACAAATCGTCCCAAAGCCATCTGAAATTTTTCTTAAAAGAGGACTAGAAGAGACTAGAAATCAACAAATCTCTAGCTTGTGCTCAGTCTAGTAAGTTGGCGCTTACTAACCTATTGACATGAAAGAAGTAAACAAAAGAAAATAAAGAAAAGAGAGAGGGAGGTGGAAAGAAGATGAATAGGTAGAGAAATGAGCACACTTTTTTTTAATACAAAACAAAATTTTATTCTTTTTTTTCTTTTTCTTTTTATTATACTTTAAGTTCTAGGGTACATGTGCACAATGTGCAGGTTTGTTACATATGTACACATGTGCCATGTTGGTGTGCTGCACCCATTAACTCATCATTTACATTAGGTATATCTCCTAATGCTATCCCTCCCCCCTCCCCCCTTCCCCCTCCCCCCACCCCACAACAGGCCCCGGTGTGTGATGTTCCCCTTCCTGTGTCCAAGTGTTCTCATTGTTCAATTCCCACCTATGAGTGAGAACATGTGGTGTTTGGTTTTTTGTCCTTGAAACTGGAAACCATCATTCTCATCAAACTATCGCAAGAGCACACTTTTTAAAAATTTTTACCATCATGCCATATGCCCACATAAATGAGCATACATTTACATGAATAGCTACATGAACGACAAATTGATGGATAGGCGGTCCATTTATCAAAGACTTTTATGTGTCACACACACACCTGTCTAAATTAGTCATCATGACCCCATGTCTTTAATTGGGGCTAGTTAAATATTTTCTATAGACTTGTTCTCTACACGTAAGTCTGAGATAAAATTTGCTGACAGGCAAGGGAGTCATAATTACCTCTATGAGTCTCAGTAACTCTAGTGATTTAGACCCTCTTCCCCAAATCACTGCCTACGATTTTCCTAGGAACTGGCTGACAGTTTACCTTCTGATTCTAAGCCTCAAAATTACTGTTATGGTGGGAATGTGTTCTTCCAAAATTAATGCTGAAGCCTAATCCCCACTCTGGTGATTAACAGATGAGGCCTTTGAGGAGGTGATTAAGCCTCAAGGGCCCTGCCCTCATGAATGGAATTAGCACCCTTATAAAAGAGGTTGAAAGAAACTGCCTTGCTCCTTCCACCATGGGAGGACACAGCGTTTGTCTCTTCTGCCATGTGAAGGCTGAGCAACAAGGTGCTATCTTGAAAGCACAAACTGGGTCCTCAGGATATAGTAAATCTTTTGAGGTCTTCCAGCCCCTAAAACTGTAAGTAATAAATTTCTATTGTTTATAAATCACCCAGCATAAGGTATTTTATTATAGCAGCATGAATGGACTGAGACAATTACTTAGTTTAAGTAAGAATTTCCTATCATGTTTCCAGTGCTCAAGAGTTAGTTTTGGTTTCCTGCTGGCTCAGAAATCTTGCCTTACCTCCCCTTTAATTTTTCAAAGTCGATAGATTTAATTCTATTAGAATCAATAACCCTTTCATGAAAAG
The DNA here is from genome assembly GCF_000001405.40 of Homo sapiens. Lineage (NCBI taxonomy): Eukaryota > Metazoa > Chordata > Mammalia > Primates > Hominidae > Homo > Homo sapiens. Next base: position 738,416 of record NW_018654717.1, read on the forward strand.
GATGTTTTAGTTACACTTTCTAGTTTGAGGTAATTGTAGATTCCTCTACAGTTCCAAAAATAATAATAATAATGCAGAGAGATACCCAGATCTTTTACTCTATTTTCCTCAATAGTAACATCTTTGTAAAACCATAGTGCAATATCACAACCAGGTTATTGACACTGATGCATAACATTTCCATTATCAGGAGGACTTCTCATGTTACCCTTTCAGAGCCACTCTCTCTTCCCTCACACCTCCACCTCCGTCTTAACCCCTGTATAAGTGATTTATTCTCCATTTCTACAATTTTGTCCTTTTAGGAATGCCATATAAATAGAATGTATATATCCTTATTAGACTGGCTTTTTTCAGTCAGCATAACTTTCTGGGGATTCATCCAGGTTGTTGCATTTATCAATAGCTCTTTCCTTCTTATTGTTGGGCAGTATTCCAGGATACGGATGAACCACAGTTTGTTTAATCACTCCCTCATCGTAGGCCATCTCTCTCTCTCTCTCTCTCTCTCTCTCTCCCTCCCTCCCTCTTTTCCCCCACTTCATTGCCTCCTCTTCTCCTCTCTACCTCTCCTTCTCTTTCTCTTTTGCATAGGGATATCAATTGTTCAAGCACCATTTGTTGAGAAGACTATTCTTCCTCCATTATATTACCTTTGCTTCTTTGATAGAGAGGAGTTGCTTTGATCTTTTCTGAGCTATCCATTCTGTTCTGTTTCTCTGTTTGATCTATTTATTTATTGCTTCACCACTCCCACACTGCCTTCATCATTGCAGTTTTTTAGTGAGTCTTGATATAAGGTAGTGTAAGTTCACTGTATTAACCCATTTTCACATTGTTATAAATAAATATCCGAGATGGGGTAATTTATGAAGAAAAAGAGGTTTAATGGACTTACAGTTCCACACAGTTGGGGAGGTCTCACCATCATGACTCAAGGCAAAGGAGGAGCAAGGTATGTCTTACATGGTGACAGGAAAGACAGCGTGTGCAGGGGAACTGACCTTTATAAAACCATCAGATCTTGTGAGACTTACTCATTTTCATGAGAAAAGCACAGAAAAGAAACACCTCATGATTCATTTACTTCTCACCATGTCCCTCCCATGACTCATGGGGATTATGGGAGCAAGAACCCAAGATGAGATTTAGATGGGGACAGAAACCCTATCATCCACCAACCTTGTTCTTTCCGGTATTGTATTGACGATCCTAGGTCTTTTGAATCAGTATGGAAATGTCAACAACATATTTTGCTAAAAGTTTGACTGGGATTATATTTAATCTATAGGTCAAGTTGTAAATATTGACATCTTAACGTTAAATTCTCTATTATATGAACACAGAATATTTCTCTTGTTAAAATAATTAAATGAGAGGCCATTAGACTGCGGGAGCTTCAGTGCACTCGGTTTCTACATAAGCAAACTAAAACCCAACTCGGTTTGAATGGTAAAAGAAAACTTTAACCAATCAGAAACCACCAACTAACCTCTAACAAGGGAATGGAATGATTCGAATAAGGCTTATACTCCACCTTAACCAATTAGATGTTTAATTTGCCTTTCTTCCATTTTCACCCTATAAAAGCCTTTTCCTCGTGCCTCTTTGCGTGAGCCCCAAAAGACTTGTGTTTTGGAGCCTGCCCGATTCTTAAATTGATATCTGCTCAAAAGAAAACTCTAAGATTTTTATGTGCCTAAGTTTATTTTTTAATACTTCTGTTGTCAGAAGAGGGACCCAAAGAAGCCCTGATAATGGTTCCTGGGACAATGAGTAGCCAGATGTAGTTACCAGCTGAGCCGGTTTTACTCACCGCTTTCTCTCTGTGTCTGGATCCAGCAGAAACTGGACTGGGTCCAACAGAAGGTCTTAAGAAGGCAGGGTTTAGGGAAGACAAAGAATCATGAGTTCATCTGTATCCAGGTAGTCTGGAACCTCTCCATCTGGGACTCTAGCTACGTTCATGTATAAAAATTATGGACCCAGAACCTGTGTTTTTCTAAATAAATGTGTAAACTTTACTAAAGACAACTTAGAATTACACTGGTCACAGTGAAGAAATTTTAACCTAAACAGTTATTCATCTATAAGCTACATTGAAAGAGAAGTGATCTTAAATGCCTCAAAAAAATGAGATATGTTTTTAATTGGCATGCAGAAGCTTCTAAAAGACTAAGCAAATCAGAACTTGCCTTTCTTAAAGACTCTTTACAAAAGGCAAATTAAAAGCTTAAGCACTTAATCAGTGATGATAAAAAATTGCACATTGACTCACTCAACTCTCAATGCTCCTTCTTTTCCTCCTGTCTCTCTTCTTCCTCTGCCTAATTACTCTGATTCCACTACCCTCTTCACTCAGCTGCCTTTCTACTATGAAGATGAGAAGCAAGTTAGGAAAATGCCTTCTAAAGTTAGTTCCTCAGATCAACTGTGTCTGCCTTCTTTAATTACCTTTATGTCTTGGTCAAAATCCGAACTGACAGAAATAGTGAAAGACTTCCCTAACCCAAAGGAAAACCCCCAGGAATTTGCTGAGGAATTTAGAATCCTCATTTAAACATACAATCCATGACTTCCTGATCTTTGTCAATTTATCCACATGATACTGGGACCTGGTCAAGCCTGCAAATGGAGGCGATGGTTGAATGGGACTAACCTGAGGATGATATTAAGGATCTTATGTCTCAGACAGCTGCAAGGGATGAACAAAAAAGAGGCAGGGGAAAAGGAAGCATTCTATAATCTTATAAGTAAATCTCATCTTTACCTGAGCCTGTGTGTCCCTGCACTGTGACTGTCACTAGAACTTTTTTTTTTTTAAATCTCTGTCACCAGGCTGGAGTTCAGTGGCATGATCTTGGCTCACTTCAACCTCCTCCTCCCAGGTTCAGTGACTCTTCTGCCTCAGCCTCCCAAGTAGCTGGGACTACAGGTGTGTACCACCACACCTGGCTAATTTTTGTACTTTTTAAGTAGAGATGGGGTTTCACCATATTGGGCAGGCTGGTCTTGAACTTCTGACCTGGTGATCTGCCCACCTTGGCCTCCCAGAGTGCTGGGGTTACAAGCATGAGCCACCGTGCCCGGCTCTCAAGAAATTCTTAGCTACCCCCATCCCTCAAGTGAGACAGGAAGGTCAGATGGGGCTGGAATAGGGAAACGTCTTCCCCTCCAGGTGGGATATGGCTCGAGTAAAATTGTTTTTCCTGCAGAGAAGGAGGCTTTGGTTATGGGGAATCCTCTGGACATGTTTCACAATATCACTCTTCCCTTCTCCTTTCAGGGCAATGAGGGCTTCCATTCTGGCTCTTCACCATGATAACCTTGGGGGCTTCCTGGATTTAAAACCCAGGAAAGCAGGGGTTGAGAAGGGAGAGCCTTTGACCATGGTCTCTAGCAGTTTTTCACTCTCCTAAATGTCCACGTTCAGCCTCCAGCAAGTTGTCGAAGTCACCGTAAGTGTTCCTGCTAGTTTATGGTTTCAGAGCTTCCATTCCAGGTTAGCTCATCTCAGCTGTGACTCCAGATTTCCACGCAATGGGTTTGCCCGGAGCCCTCAGTTCCCTAATGGGTCCAAGAAAAGTCATTGATTTTTCCATTTATTTGGCTTTTTTTTTCTTTCTTTAAGGAGTAAAGTAGTTACTTTCAGTCTTTTTACTTGTAGCGACCGAAACCAGAACTCTGAAATACTTCATAAGGACTCAGCAAATAAAGCTTTTATTATTTTTTTCTCCTAAGAAGATATAGGATTTCTTTTGAAGTTTGGTTATTCAGTCCCTGTATATGAATTACCTTTTTTTTTTGAAGAATTGCTGAATATTTATTATCATCAGAATTTTTCAGTTTTCTTCAGAATCCTGGTCACATAGATGACCTTGAATATTGGCTGATGTTTTTCCCTTGAAGCTCATCATCAAAAATTACTAAAGCCTGACATGTGGCAGGCTAGGAGGGTCCCATGGATCCTGCACATTTGTGCTTGCTGTGTGTCTGCTGTGAGGAGAGTATCCGACGGCCTCTACGTGCTGCACGTTTGTAACCTGCGGCAGGATTCCCATGGCTACCACTCTTGCCCTGGCTGCTTCCAGGCAGTGAATGAGCACAATGTGGACTAGAGCTGGGCCATGTCTGCTGGTGTAGGACAGTCTTTGCCCTGGGGTTCCCCACTGGCAATGCTGAAATTTTCTGCACTGTAGTCTGAGGCTCCCCCGACTCCAAACCTTTTCACAGGTGTTAATTGACGTCATGTTCTGAAGACTTTCCCTACTCAATCTTGCTCCCTCTCCCCATCATCTTTTTGTTTTGAATTTTTATTTTATTTTATTTTTTTCAGAGACAAGGTTTTGCTGTATTGCCTACTACACTGGAGTGCAGTAGTGCCATCATAGCTTACTGCAACCTCGAACTTCCGGGCTCAAGAGACCCCCCTGCCTCAGCCTCCCAAGTAGCTGGGACTACAGGGACACACCACCATCCCTGGCTAATTTTCTTTTTGTGTAGAGTCGGGGTCTCTCTATGCCGTCCATGATGGACTCAAACCCCTGAGCTCACATGATCCTCCTCCCTCGCTCAGCCTCCCCAAGTGCTGAGATTTACAGGTGTGAGCCACTGCGCCTGGCCCCCCTTTATCTTTCACAGGCATTTCCCAATAAATTTATTTCCTTTCTAATTCCTGTTGATAAATGCTTCATGGAGCACCCAAACTGGCATAGTTTATGATTTCTGATGTTCTATTCTATTCCGTTACTGTGAAAGGAGACCTGGTTTTCCATCACATTCTCCCCTAAGTGAGAACTCTGGGGAAGACACACTGACTGCTAGATTTTGCTTAGGATGTGCAAGCAACGTATGTCTGTCAGGCTTTGTCTAATCTGTGTTCTAGAATAAGGGGAGCTTATTCGAGAATGTCAACTTCCAAGATTGGACGTTTTTACTTTCTCTAAAATATTTCATTTTAGAGAAATGAAGTATTTTTTTTTTTCTTAAAATAAAATTATCTGGTGTTTTCCCTAAGGGCAAATGCCAGGAGCATATGCTCTATATGTTTTGCCTCGGGTGGGGTTGGGGTTAAATCCAGGGAGCATATACCCCTGGTTGAGGGCCAGGCGTATGCTCTCTGGAAGGTTATGTTTTATTTGAAGCCATTGTTAGAAATACAGCATTCCCATGAATTGTCTCCTTTTAACCTCTCTTCTCATTCTTGTCCTCCTTTTCACCTAAGCCCTAAGTGAGCCTGATGCTCTGTGGTTACAATCCCACCCTTGGACAATGCCCGCCATCAAGTATTCCTTGTTGTCACTTGTCATCCTCATCCTATACTTTTTCTATCACAGAAATGTGCTGGGACTTTTCACGCATTTATGACCTCCCCACGCTCCATGCCATTCTTCTCCTTGACGTTGTATGTTTGTTTCAATGTTTACTTCAGAGAGGTCTTGGGGGCTATGGACTTCAATTCCATTAGCCACATCACAGTTTTCAACAAGAATCTCCTGACTGAAATGTACTGAAATGGAAGAGAAAGTCCTCTCACCAGAATTGAGGAATGTCAAGGCTGGAAGGTATCTTAGAGATCATCTAATCCAGTTCTTGCTTCAGAAACGATTCGGGGAAGCAAGTGAAGTGACTTGGACTTTACCTATGGTAATACTGTCTCCCCACCCTCAACACTGCCCAGCTGGCATTTCTGTAGCCCCAACACCTCCCCCACACTGTGCCTTGGTGAGTGTTCACCAAGGAACGCTGCATTTTGATAAGCCTCAGTAATCAAGAGCAGCCTCTGCCCATAAATACACCTGCCCTGCTCCTGCCTGGGGTGATTCCCTCCGACTTGCGTCTGCTTCTCGCCAGCAGCCCCAGCATTATGCAGAGACTTGTGCTGCTATTAGCCATTTCTCTTCTACTCTATCAAGATCTTCCAGGTAAAAAGGGACTCTCAGCTGGAAATATACACAGTTGCTGGGGATGACAGGGGGAGAAGAAAAACATTTGATTTAGAAAATAAATCCTGAAGGATGGAGTAACCTTCTTCAATCTCAGCCTTTTTTCTCTTTGCTTTCATTGGGTCCATTAGTAAAATGCAGTATGTGGCAATCCTTGTATGCACCTTACAGCCATGAGGCTTACTAGCTCAAGGAGGAAAAAAGAAACGTAGGGATCAGGAGTCCTAGATGTCCTTGGCACCCTGGCCACACACGGTAACAATTCCTCATGGAATCCTCAGCAGTGAGGACTCACTAGCCATGCTTGTTCCATTGCAGGGCAGCAGCAATTATTCATTGTTGATTTTGTAGAATAAGATGCCTTCTCCCATCCTCCTCCTTCTGAACAGCTTTACTCTGCACAGAAAGGGCGCCTACTCATCCTCCTAAATTTTGCAACTTTTCATATCAAGTCAGATGATTAGGATTAAAGGGGATGCAGTGATTTCAGTAGGCAAGAACGTAATTTACTGACAACACAAATAGCAGGTGCCTTTGAACTCTGCTCAGGAAATTTTAGACTGAGATGTCAGCAATCTTCTGACTCCTACGTTAATCTATGTCCCCAGAAGCATGTATTTCTTAATATATTTGCAATGGATATGAGTGAGCACCTAATCTAATTCCCTTCTTTTACAAGCTGAGCAGCATTCTCTATAGTACAGTGAGAGAAAATAAGATTTTTAGAGTTGCTTAACAAGTCTAGCAGTGCTGGGACGAAACCAATTGTTTTGACTCGTAGAAGCCATCGGATCTTCTCTTCCAAGCTGCTCAGTCAATTTTATGGGGCTTTGACAGACACCCAGCACCCATCTTTTTACCCTTCCAGGCTGTGCCTCCACTGTGATTCAGATGGGTTAATGATTTTTTTTCAGAGGGTACCTGTTTAGGTTAACTCTTCCTTTTTCTTTCTTCCCGTGTCATTTCCCAAAGACACTTCTGTGAAATTCTGCTATGAGCATGTTCCAGGTCTGTTAAAATATGATAGCAATTTATCAAAGAACAGGTTTTCTTCAACCTTTGATCCCAAGACAAAGAACTTGGGATGGAAAGCCTGGGTCAGGGATCCCTCCAGATCCCGAAGAATGCACCGCAGAGCTGGCTGCCATTATCCACACTTGGCTGCTGAGGGCTGGGTCAGACTGTCCTCTGCAGTTGAATTCTGAGAAAGACCATTAGCAGGAAGAGGATTAGGGAGGGAAGTGGCAGAAGTGGGTGAGGGTGAATGACATGCGCTGCCTGCCTCTTCTCCTGCCACCCCTGCTTTGGGTAAGTTTGGGTGTCACACACTGTCAGCCCCTCAGATACCCACAGGGACTGGGGATGGGTGATGTCAACCAAAAATAAAATTCTAAGCCCTCTCCCCAACCATCTAAATGGACTCCCTCCTCAGCCAGGGCTCTTAATATTTAATCTGAAAGACTGCTTCAGGCCATGAAAGGAAGTGGGGGTTGGACATGCCTCATTACACTTTCCATCATGAACATCAACACAGACTTTAAGTGTGATAAGAAACATTTTACAGCCTGTTCTCTCTGAAGCCTGCTAGCTAAAAGCATCAACTGCATGATACAACTTTGGCCTCCACAATACAACCTCTTGTCGCAACCCAAACATTCCTGTCTATTGATCCCAGGTCTTTAGACAAACTCAATCAATTGTCAACCAGAAAATGTTTAAATTTACCTATAGCCTGGAAGGCCACCTGCCACACACTCCCACTGCACCCCCACAGGCCCCCCGCCACCCCCACTTTGAATAGTCCCACCTTTCTGGACCAAACCAATGTAAATCAGCCAGGTGTAGTGGCTCACACCTGTAATCTCAGCATTTTGGGAGGCTGAGGTCTGCAGATCACTTGAGGTCAGGAGTTCGAGACTGGCCTGGCCAACACGGTGAAACCTCGTCTCTACTAAAAATACAAAAATTAGCTGGGTGTGGTGGTGCATGTCTGTAATTCCAGCTGCTCAGGAGGCGGAGGCAGGAGAATCGCTTGAACCCAAGAGGTGGAGGTTGCAGTGAGCTGAGATCGTGCCATTGCACTCTACCCTAGGCGACAGAGCAAGACTCTGTCTCAAAAAAACCAAAAAAACAAACAAACAAAAAAAAAACAAAGCAAATCTTACACGTCTTGATTGATGTATTATGTCTCCCTAAAATGTATAAAACCAAGCAAGCTGCATCACAACCACCTTGGGCACATGTCCTCAGGACCTCCTGAGGTTGTGTCACAGGTGTGTCCTCAACCTTGACAAAATAAACTTTCTACATTAACTAAGACCTGAGACCTGCCTAAGATTTTCTGGGTCTGTAGAGCAGAGGAGGAAAATTGCTTATGCAAGAAAGAAACTAGTGTAGTGTAGTCTACCCTGGAATGTATTTATTGCTTAGGAAATGTTTATTACTCAGCCTTAGTGTATGGACTGCATTCTCCCTTTTGCATTCTGTTTACTGAGACTGTAAGACATACCAACTAGGTTTTTCTTCCAGCTTTGACACATAAGTTGCTGTGTGACGTCAGATTAGTCACTTTCCTTCTCTGAGCCTTCATTCCCATCTCTAAATAGATGGCCTGTGAGGGCTTGTTTGAAACTGACAGTCTAACATTTTAAAGGTTGTGTTCTCTTCCTAGTCTATTCTTCTTCTCCCCTAACGCTAAGCTTCGTTTTCCCTGAGCAAGCATGCTGTCCTCTTTTTCCTCCTCTAACTCCAGGTTGTAAAGTGACCTGCCACAGATATGTCAGAAGGCACATATCTGCTACTCAACCTCCACATACTCCCTCAGCATGATACACACTGCAGCCCACCTCACTCCTTTCTTCATTGCCTTGTACTGTGACCACAAGGGCTTGCTTTTGAATGAAGCCTACAGCAAAACAGTCTTTCCTCATCACCCACTGTGGGGCCATTCCAAATATTAACCCCTTCAATATCCTATCCAGCACATGAATTGGTCAAACTGCCTTTTAGTCCTCACCTACATCCTGGACAAAGAACCTTGATACCTAAGCATCAGAAACAGGAGGCTTCTCTTTACCAGAACAAATGAAAGACATAAAACCCTGGTGCGAGGATTAGCAGCCCGTTTCTGCTTTGTAGAAAAGGAACAGATGCAACAGGGGAGAAGGACTTAAGGCTAAGATGAAATTAGGACTCTTGGGCCCCGACCTCTGCAAAGAGGTCCATTTGCAGCCCTGACTCTCCTCTCCCCAGGGTTCTTCTGACACCCTCTCCCAAGCCTGGCTCCTGCTGAGTTTGCTAGAGAACCTCTAGCAAAGCTCTCTCCAGCGAGACTCTCTCGGTCCACCTTACGCTGTCCTCCCTACCATCAGCCTTGCTTCTGGGTTTTCCTGATATCTCTGTAAGATCCTATCAGTGTGGCATGTGAGATAATGAGTTTTACAAAGCTGCTTTCAGCCTCAGAGAGCGCACCCTGAGACTGAGAAGCTAAATCCATGTCTCCTGAAAACTGCTCTGGGCCAACGGCCGAACAATCAGGATTCTGCTCCTTTCTAGTTTCCTCCTCTCTACTTGCAACCACTCTAGTTTATTCTGGTCTAGTCTATCCAATCATTTACTCACCACGTCCTTATTGAGAACAGGCTATGTTCCTGGTAGCAGTTACACAATGGTAAGCAACATAAACATGGGCCTCATTGTCAGGGAGCTCATAGTTCGAATGAGAATAGCAAATAACAAAATATACATACATATATACATATCTATATCTATGTCTATGTTTGTATGTATCTCTCTCTATATATGTATATATATATATATACCTATATAGATACATAGATATATAACTACAACTTGCGATAGGTGATATAAAAGAATAACAAATGCATAGGGAGAAAAATACTTTTGGGGCATTTGAATACACGAAGAGGACAGAGAAAGATTTGCCCAATATTGGGAACTTAAGGTTGAGACATAAAAGTTCAAAGAATTCACTTATGGGAAGGAAGAAAAACCTTCCAGGCAGAGGGGACAGTGCACGTGAAGGTACCAGGATAGCAAAGAGTAAGCTCACACGGAACAGAAGGGAAGCCGGCGAGAGTTTCATGGACAGAGTGAGGGCCACAGTGGAAAAGCATGAGTCTGAAAAAGTGGCCCAAGATCAGATCACGATTGCTTTGGAGACCAAGTAAGGGGCTTGGAGAGATTTAATAAAGAAAACAATAGTAAACTTGTAGGGATTTTGAAAATAAGTGTGACATGGAATGATGTACATTTTCAAATAAAATCCATGCTGGTTGGGAATCAGAAGGTCAAGTCAATCATCTAGGAAAGTGGAGGAGGATGGGGGTCCAGGAAAACCTCTACCACCATGCACTAGCATTCTCTATCCCCCTCCGAAAACACCTTCTACCAAAGCCTTGCCTTTTGGTGCCAGTAAGCAATTAATGACAGTGCCATATCCTGTTATCTAGTGAGAAGCGAATTTGAATTGGACAGAATATGTGGTTATGGGACTGCCCGTTGCCGGAAGAAATGTCGCAGCCAAGAATACAGAATTGGAAGATGTCCCAACACCTATGCATGCTGTTTGAGAAAATGGGATGAGAGCTTACTGAATCGTACAAAACCCTGAAACGCAGTAGTGCTGGTCCCTAGAGTCGCTGGAAGTAGGACCTCAGTAGCTTTCCTTCCTGCGGCCTAGCAGCAAGGGCATCCCCATTGCAACCACGGGTTCAGTTATCAAAGAAGGTTTGCTGAGCTTCCACTCAATGCAAAGCCAATATAGGAGATTGAAGAAGAATACAGGCTGGAAAGCCGCCTCTGGTTGTGATAATGGAGAATAACAATGGGAGTTAAGCATGAGTTTCAACACTTTATAAGTTGAACAAAAAATATGTCTACCTAATCAGCTATAAACCTAAGAAAAACATCATTTTTATCCTGATAATATTGGTTTTCTTTTCCGATCGAAAGTTTTGCTCAGGAGTTATATATATCGTGTGTTAATTAAAATGTAAAGTAAATCAATGTTAAGTGTGCCTTGTTTAGAATACACTATATTTCAAAACATAGACCTCTGAGGAGAAAAACAAAAGAGGTGATGTGTGATGACAAGCTTGGGAACCCATTGGAGCTTAAGGGGTTGATCAAGTGGGCGTCTGTGGAGGGTCCCATCCAGCAGAGGGCAGCAGAGAGCAGCCCTGCGCTGAGCTGTGGATTCTTGATCCTGAAAACCTGTAAAGAAAGGTGAGTGATGAAACATTTGACCTGCCTGCCTTTCCTGTCCAAACCAAATTTTAAGGTAGTCAAAAGCTTCTCTCTTCGAAAGCAGTCCAGCTAATAAATGAGGAGTGTCGCCATTTTGCAAACACATAGGGAAACAGGGATCTAGCCAAGGAATGTCAACAGCGATTAAAATAAGCCAGAAAGACAACCTGCTACCCTGTGCTTCCTAATAGAAGGACATAATGCCACGTACGAGCTTCTAGTCATGGTAAGCAGCATCATCCTCACCTTGTCATGGTGGAAACTGAGGCTGCATTGTGCCCTTTCTACCAAAACAGTGTAATGGCCCTTCGCGTAGGCATCGCCCAGCCTCAATATGTGGTTAGTCTTGTTTCATCCCTTGATAACTCTCTCCTAGATTATCTCAAATAAAAATAAATTATTTCAAAGGTGCCCATTTGAAAATACTCTAGAAGGTGTAACTCAGGGGGAAAGAACTCGTTTTGTAAAATAGAACCCCAATACTATTATCACCCCTGGAAAAAATCAGCATTCATTCCTAAATACAATTTAACAGCCAATCTGTATTCAAATGACCCTGAGCATTTCATAAGTGCCTTTTTAAGAGTTGATTTATTAGAATCTGGATCCTGGAAAGTCCACATACTGCCTCAGGTTGTTTACCTCCAAGGCCTCTTGCACAGATGGTGATGTGTACTTCTATTCCATCTATAAAATATTGTGCTGAAAATTGAGTGCATATCTGGGCAAGCCCCTAGGTCTCAACACTGCAATTACAGGAAAAGAAGAAACTACTGAACCACCCCCAAGGATGCCACACTCCAAATGCAACATACAGAACACGCTATAAGACAATGTGACATTTATTTTAGTCTTACATTTTTTTAGACTCTTTTCATTATTCTCATATTTTGTATTTTATAAAATACTTTTAATACATAATCTCCTTTGATCCTCACCATAAACTCTTGAATTAGGCATGGTAAGTGTCAACATCCTCACCTTTTAGGCACTGTTACTAAGGTTCAGACGGATTAGTGGTTTTCCTAACACTGGCCACGATATTAGGCAAGACCAGGCCTAGACCCCACATCTCAAGTGCAGTTCAGAGGCAGCACAGCATGGCATGTACAAATACGCAAAGCCTGGAATCCCAGCTCTACTGCTTAGCAGCGGACCTTGGGAAGGTGACTTATTTGACTTGTACCTTGATTTCCCCTCCTGCCGTATGGCCATTCTGCCCAACAACACTTACAAACAGAGATCCAACTGCTGACCCTGTGCTACAATTATTTTTTGTCTCCTTTTAAAATGTAATTTGATGCCTTGCCAAGGAGGCCATCTTGTACCTCCCAATGTAAATATAGAGCAAAGCAAGGGACTTCTACAGACTTTAATCAACGCCACCCGCCGTAGTGGCCAGAGAGACAAGAACAAGCAGAAAGCAAAGCTATCTCATTGTCAGATAACGTAGAAAGCCTTGTATCGTGGTCTTCACTGAAGAGCCCTGGGTTTGGCTTGCCGTCCTGGTGTCCTATTGTTTTGCTCTCTAAAGAGGCTGGATTCTGAAACAGCGCCCCCTCCCGCCCTCAGGTGTAATTCACATAGTCATATTAATGAACTGCTATCCTCAGCACTTAACGACATCACAAAGTCGCACTACTTTAATTTCAGGGCTTTACAGTAAAAGAACAAAGATAGATTGTTCTATTTTATTGTTTCCAGAATTGGCAGGAAATATTTAATAATTTGTACCTGATGCACTACAAACACAATCAGAAACCCAATAACATTGCTACTTATCTTCTATCTCCAAAGGATGGATACAGATCTGAAGTCTGTAGTTCATAATGAATGATCAGTAACCCTTTGAAATGTGCCTAATGAAAATCAACAGAAGGAAGGATTGTTTGGATATTTTTCACTTTTTAATTTATGCGTTTTTTATTATTTGAAGTTGAGAGAGAGAGACAGAGATTGACAGAGAAAATATCTGGGTGAGCAAATCACCACCCAGGTCCTTACTTAAATATCCAAAAGAGCAGAACTTGAAATTTTCAACGTGCAGGAGTTAAGGTTTTCCACACTGGCATATTCTCTTTCTTGCCTCCCAAGAGACATCCCATTAAATCCTGGAAAATATGACTGTGTAAAGGGGAAACATATTGCAGCCAAGTCTGTGCTCAGAAGTTGCTATAGAATCAACTTTCTCTTGCATTACCACATGACCCAAAGAAAATTAGCCTGGAAGAGTCTCACAGGTGAGTGAAGCAGAGATTCCTATGTAGATTTTCTTATCCCTGAATTTTAGATTGTGATATGTCCACAAGGACTGCTGGGACCTCAGTTTCATAGGCACAGAGGGCCCTGTGGGTAAAAATAGGTGGGGTCCTGAGTCTTCCCAACATGACAAAGTCAAAGACAGACACATGGTGAGTGGTAGAGCTGCCTTTGTGGCTGAATCCGAGAGAAAAAAATGGTCAACCTCTGAGGACTGGGAAGGGGCTGAAATGCTTTCCAGTTATGAGAAATTACACCCAAAATAATAAAAGCATCATGGCACCGTGGAGAAAAGATACTATTCCCGTGAAAAACTACATTTCTTCTTATGTCTGTGACCACCATGAACTCCTGCTCTTCCCCAAACAAATCTGTTGCCTTTCCCTTTAACTTTGAGCACCCCTTTGTTTATTTACATGGACTCCATTCTGTTAATAGTGTCTGCAGTGCATAGCCTCCTCCAGATCTTTAGTCTTTAATTAACACATATAGACACATCGCTTTTTCACTCATCCTCCATTTCCTCTTCTTAAAATATTGGTTAGGTCTCTAAGACAGTTTTCAGTTCCAAAATGTTATGATTGTTTCGTCAGAATTGCCAACCTCGGCCAGGCAGGGTGGCTCACGCCTGTAATCCCAGCACTTTGGGAGGCAGAGGCGGGAGGATCACTTGAGGTCAGGAGTTCAAGACCAGCCTGGCCAACATGGTGAAAACCCGATCTCTACTAAAAATACAAAAATTAGCTGGGCGCGGTGGCAGGCACCTGTAATCCCAGCTACTCAGGAGGCTGAGGCAGGAGAGTCGCTTGAACCCGGGAGGCGGAGGTTGCAGTGAGCTGAGATGGCGCCGCTGCACTCCAGCTTGGGCAACAATGCCAGACTCCGTCTCAAGAAAAAGAATAGGCAATCTCAACAGATTTATTTAAACTTATAACAATACCATGTTTTTATTACCAAAACTAAATGGTGTTTATGCCTTAGCGCTCATGAAAGGATTTCCTGTGTTCTTTCATATGCTGCCTTAAGAGCATTCTTGGGATGGCTGAAATGGCTACAGATCAAATCGACTTCTGAAAACACAATTCATTTTGTGATTCTGTGCATGAAAAAGAAACAAAATACCAAAGAATATTTTTGCACAATTCTCAAAGCTACTTCTTTAACCACGATCCAAAAGCAGTTTTCTCTCCTATCATGTAATTCTTCCTGACTGCTTTTTCCAAAGAAGACTCTAATATTTGTGTCTTTTCCATATATCAGTTATTTTCCCTAGAGGGGAATCTGTGCCTCTGTAAATGGCATTCTAGTTGGTCTTACAGACTGGTTAGCATGTTACAATCTCAGACTTAAGAATAAGAAAATCTGCATAGGAATCTTTGCTTCGCTCTTCTGTGAGTCTCCTCCAGAGAAACTTTCACTGGGTCATTTAGTAATGCAAAAGAAGAGTCTAAATTTGATTCTGCAGAGAACTTCTGATTCCAAACTGGGCTACAATAGGGTTTTCCTTCTCGCATTCATATTTTCCAGGATTTACCAGGATGCTACTTGGGAAGCAAGAAGGAGGATGTGCCGATGTGGAAAATCTTACCCCCTGCACATGTGTGCAATTTCCAATAAGATCCTTCAGGAATATGTATTTGCAGAACTTCTTATTTGACAATAAAATCTTGATCATTTTACTTTAGCCCACCTACTTAGTCCAAACGAATCAAGATACCACATACTAAGCAGCTTAAAAAAAAAAGAATATGATTTATTGATTGAATGGACCAAAAAAAACTTGAAACAATTATTAGAATATTCTATAATGGGTTCTGCCATCCTCCCCCTCAGGATGGATGTGGCTTTTAGCAAGAGAATTATTCAAAGATTTTTTTAGGACACAGAAATCTGGCAGAAGAGGACAGGAGCTGAGAGCATTGTTGTGTTAGGACAGATGTAACATTAATTGCCTTTATTACGACTTCACCAGCTTTTGCCTGTCAAAGAGCAGAACTAGGCTTTCCCGGCTGCTCTTTTTTAAGATTGTTCTTTTCAGAAGCATGGAAGAGGGGGCTTACTTTATCTCAAGACGTAGACAAAGAAAGTGAGATCTAACTATTTTTGGCTCAGTTTCTTCATTTAAATTATTTCAAATAATTCTAACGACTTAAAAGAAGATTCCGTTACCTGGGTGGTAATTACTCAAATGCTGTTATATTTTAAGTCATGATTTTGATTAATGATTCATTACTATGAATATCTGAATGGTGGAATAGGCTTGTTTTTGTTTTCTTTCCTTTTATAGAGAAGATAAAAATATATAGAAATAAGTTACCAATATACTCCAAAATTTCCATCACTGTTATAAAAGATCCACATTCCAAGTTTAAATAATTACAAATACAACTGTAAGAAGTTGCTATTGAACTAGAGTATAAAAAATACCCAGAGTATGTAGATGAGCGAATAAATCTTCATTTAGGGTTGAGGTAGAGCAGCTGTCTACCTCCTTTCTTGACTGTCTATGTTCTTCCAACATCCAATTATCAGAATTTGATGCAGTAAGTGATTAAAGAAACTTATCATGGGCCAGTTGTCACCTATCTCCGCAGTGTTGCCCTGTGCTCTTGGAATTGGAAGACTTCCTAATTCCTTAAAGTGAAAGGATGTGAATGATGCTCCTGCTCTCCCTGACCAGCACCTCATGCTTTGCAGTGGAGAATCTGTCCTGAGACCCAAAAGATAGTGGCCTCCGCATTGTGCTGCCAGGGCAGCTGCTATGTGCAACTGTCCGCAGCTGCAAACCTTCCGCCCTTTGCTGGTGCTTCAGCGGATGCCCAGGTCTCTGTTGTCATTGCTGCCTCTTTCTCCATTTGCTTCCAGCTTTCTCCAGGTAGAGAGTAAGTATTTTTATTTACACAAATGACCTAAGTTGTTTTCTCTGTCTGGATTAAAATATACATGCAAATGAGACATATGAGATAAGCACTATCTTTTCCAGACATCACTGATGTTACATTGGATGCTATGTGAATACAAAACTCTTCAACCAAAGCCTTCTTCACTTTAGTTAAGTCCAGAGCAGACTGTCTGGGTTACATGCATACCTGAGCTAATGCAGCCAAGTAAGAAACACACACTTGGTTAAAATGCTTAAAAAGATGAAGGAGAAGGGAAGACAAGTCCTCTGCTTGGATATTACTAGAGGAGAAAACCCAGACTCAAACACAGATTTTTTTTTTCTTTTTTAAAAGAATTGAATTGGACCCAGTGACATCAACAGGAGGTGTCTGGGGGTAAAGAGAATGGAAAGGGGAGAGAAAAATCAAGACAACTCAAATAAGTTAAAATAGAAAGGAGGGGGGTCCAAAGTGAGGAAGGAGAAGTGGAGGGGACCAAGAAACAGGGAGAGAGACTCAGAGAGGAGAAGAAAAAGAAAAGAACATTTTGAGCAGCCTTGGAACTCTCTGTATAACTTCAGGAAGGGATAGTTTGTAAAACCAGGTCCTACCTGTTATGTTGTGTGTCTTATGCATGATTTTTTAACACTAAAATAAAAACGCTCAGCCAACAGGATAGAATCGACATGGCAGTTTATTTATGTCCCTGTTCTCATGAACATTAGGGGGCTTTTGAGAAGCGTTTGAGGACATTGGCAACTTTATGATAGTTATGTTTGTTCTGCCCCTCCATGCCTTTCATCTTTCTGTTTCTCTCTGTTCTTCCTTATTCACCAAACCCACCCAAGGCATTCAGGCGTATTATTTACTTCCTGAAATATGTGTCTCAAGTGTTTGTTCCACCAGCAGTGGGATAGTAGCGTGTCCACATTGTCCTTTGAGAATGAGAAGTCATCCTGGAGCACAGCTCTTCCCACGCTCCGGGCCCACACACCCAGCCTCACTCCATCAAAGGAGCCCCGCTGCCTGCCCACCCACCCTGGGTGCTTTCTGGCTTGCAGTGCTCTTGGCAGACATGAGGCAACGATTGCTCCCGTCCGTCACCAGCCTTCTCCTTGTGGCCCTGCTGTTTCCAGGTAAAATGGAAAGGTGACCCGGGTCTGGGTGCCAGAATCTCTCTGCAATGGTCATCTGAGGTATGGGAGTCCAGGCTGGACAGGGAGAGATGAAGTCCTTGGGGCATGTATTCCTGGTGGAGCTTTGGGTACGAGTCTCTGAACTGGGTTCATAAATGGCACTCTGAATTGGCTGATGGCACTTGCTTCCCAGGGAAGAGTGTCCCTCCCCGACTCCATTTTCTTATCCTTTTAACATTCCCCTTTCCCTTACAGAGAAGAACATTACATTTTAGGGAATCTTAACAACTGCATTAGTGACACTTGAAATAAATTCTCTGGCTGTGCTGGCTTTGAGGAGGTGCTCAGACTCACCATTCATGGCATACATTTCTTACACTTCATTCACCTTCTCTCTCTACACATAGGTGCATACAACGCATGTGCACAAATGTGCACACACACGGAACACTAGCACCCCTCCCAACTCCCCCACCCAATCACCCATGCTCACTCACCTGGTAGAGTGTAGGTGCCTCATGCTGACGGGTCTGCCAGGCGGAGGCCTCAGAGCATCCTCAGACGTGTGTTTCCACTTGCACAGGATCGTCTCAAGCCAGACATGTGAACCACTCAGCCACTGAGGCTCTCGGAGAACTCAGGGAAAGAGCCCCTGGGCAAGGCACAAACGGGTTTCAGCTGCTACGCCACGCAGTGAAACGGGACCTCTTACCACCGCGCACCCCACCTTACCAAGGTGAGTCAGGGACCAACACGTGCAACAAGTGCATCCACTGGGGAGACGTAGAGGGAACAAATAGACGGGAAGATGTCTGTGCTGGTCGGGGTGGGTGAGCAGTCATTGTTTGGGGAAGACATGGTGCGGGTGCATTGGGCTGCCCTGCCTGTCAGGGAGACCACGGGGTCTCACAGCTTCCCCTGGGGCTGGATCATTGAGGGCCTTGTGGAACGTGGGAGTATTGAGGGGCCAAAAGGCAATTTATCTGAAGCCACACCTGTAATTGCTGGCTTCCTCCAAGAACAGGTGCCAGAGGAGACACTGGTGGAAACATGGCCTCCTGCCAGGTTGCAGCCCCATGCCCTTAGCTTTGGAGGTCGTTCCCGTTCAAGGAATTTACTGAATACCTACCTACTAAGTTTCAGGTGTCCATTGAGGTCTGGGAAATGCTTCCTGAGGATGGGGGCAGAGAATAGACTGTATTGTCAGTCTACTCAGGCAAGGAGGTAGCAGGACATGGCAAGGGACAATTGAGCCCACAGCCACTCTTCTGGACTCTTCCAGAAGGGCCAGGCTTCTGGTCAGCCCCCAAACCCCTGGGCAGGACCAGCTTCAAATCCAAAAGGGCCTGGAAGAGCCTGTAGTTTCCAAGATGCTTCTTTAATGCCAAGCTGATTGCTGACCCTAAGACAGGGAGAACTAGGTTAGCAGATCAGTGGGCAAGAGCAAGAAAGACAGGAGGGTGTTGGCAAATTGCTGTGACATCCAGCAAATAAAGTCCTGCTGAATTTGATGCCTGCAGCATCCTACCCAACCTCCCATCCCTTTCTAATTGGCCCACAGTTCCAAAGGACTCATTCATCTGGATCTCCTCCCAAGGGAAGGGAAAAAGAAAACTCAATTATTACACAACAAATATAAACAGGTGCAATAGTAGGCGTGTGTTATTTAGTCTAACAGTATTCCTGTGAGACAGGATTATTCCTTCCTTTGGTTAAAGGAGATTTAGTGGGGCAGAGCTATATATCTGGAGTTGATGTTTTAGTTTGGAACTTGAAGCTATTAACTATGGAAAGCTGTTTCATATCCATGCCACCCCCACCCTGTCCCTCACGGCTCAAATGACCACTGTTTGATTCTGGAGATGGTCTTAAGAAGCTAATGTTGGATTTTTTCTTTTTTTAATGAAGAACCTGCATCAGATTTAAAAGTTGTTGACTGCAGGAGAAGTGAAGGCTTCTGCCAAGAATACTGTAATTATATGGAAACACAAGTAGGCTACTGCTCTAAAAAGAAAGACGCCTGCTGTTTACATTAAAACTGATGTTGCTGATATAGAAACAAAGCTCTGCCACTTACCTGTTCTCCGGGGCCACGTTGTCCAATCAGGTGCAGGTTTTTTGCGGAAGTGTCTGAGCAGCAGGGAGCGGAGATATTGCCACTTGTGCCAGACAGTTCAAATATTTTATTGTGGCAAGATAAATGACAAAAATGCTACCTGTGATCTTACAGAAGATGACTTAGCTTGACATGAACAGAATTTTCAAAATCACACAATTTGTGCTAGTAAATGTGGATATCATAAACTTTTATTAGAAAGAATTAAAATAATTTGTTCTTTTATTTAAAAACTATTTTTTGAATACCTACTTCTATTCTAGGTACTGTGCAATGGAGTCCATTCTATTCTAAGTACTGTGAAATGTAGTTGAGGTGTCAGGTGTGTGGTCAAACCCATTCTCCATCAGCCCCATCATCTCCTACCTGCAGGCCAGTTCGAAGCCCTGTTCTCTAGCAGCAGCTGAGAGAGTGTGCAGGCAAATGCCTTCTGGGGAGATACTGAGAGCTGGGAGTTACTGCCTGTTCTCTTTGTGCTAAACCTGGAAGAATACCCTCTGGAAGTCCTCTTGTGCCCCTTTAAAACTACCCATTTGTTCTCTGTGGCCTTAGAAGACACAAAATGCAGAGACCCATTTATAACCCGATGGTGCTGTGCAATTCCAGGCTTTTGGTGTCCTGAACAAAGAACTGGATGTGATACTCAGACAGCAAAGCAAGCAGCAAAAGTGTGTGAAGCGCAGTATTACATTCCCGGAGAGGGGAGAGTGGGCTGACTTCTGCCAAATGAGATTAGCATGGCTTCGGTGTACCTTGGGTCTTTTTATGTGTTTTTTCCCCTTCTCTTCGCAAGGCTGCCTGATCTTTTGCCGGTGCCTGCCTTTTGATAGATAGGTGTGTTGCTTAGTTACTTTAGCCTGTGCGGGCTTGTGAATTGTCTCCATCCCATAATTTTAACTACATGCGTGATAGGTAGTCCATATGCATGAGCTTTAATGAGCTGATTATCATACAGCATCCTGTTAAGGATACTTTTTCTCTTTAATGCGCATGCCTATCTCTGAAGAGCTGCCCCTTCCTGGTTTGATCTGGATCTTGCTGGCCATGGGGTCCTTGCTCTCTTCTTTATCTCACTTTTTCTTTTGGCTGCTTCACTTCTGCCTTTTATCTTGCTTCTTGCTCACCCACCCCTTCACCTTGCTTCTGTTTCTGCTTTTATTCACTCTATCCTTTATCCAACTTCCAATTTCCTCTGCAATTCTCCTGCCTCACATTAACTTCTAGAGATAAGTGATTTAGGAGCCAGTCCCCCAGGTGGCAGCTATAAAACTGTGCTTGAAGTATTCTCCTTCAAGGGAGAAGCTGGAGACCTGGATTTCTTGCTGGAGCTAGTCGAGAGGAGCAGGCGCAGTGCCTACCTATACCTCTGTTCAGGCTCCCACAGGTCTACTGTTCACCCTGCCCCTTTGGCTCCCAGATACAGACCCAGAAGTCAACCCTCAGGCAGCAGATGGGAAAATGGGTAGATAAACCCCTTGCAGGTAGAAACCGGGAGGTGGGCATTTACCTGCCTGCTCTGGCCTGAGCCCAGGGAGAGAGCTGCCAAAAGTGCTTGCAAATCTGTGTCCCACCATCTCTTTGGTGTCTGTGGTTTAGGGAGACCTGCAGATGCCCAGCTCTATCAACCCTGAGCTGGGTGATTTAGGAGCCAAACCCCTGGGTGGGAAGCATAAAGGTCAGGGTACTATATGTGTGGTCCAAACCCTTCACTCCTCAGGGAGAAGCTAGGAGTTGGGACTTCCTTACCAATTAATTGTAAGGTGTTATGTCTGGGATAGGGATTGTGCGGGGAGTGTGTCTCAGCTCTTCCCACCTGTTTTCACATGAATATTTTCTCAGTTGCTTGATGTGTAGTAGTCTTTCAATTAGTCCATGGTTTTCTCTCAGAAAGAACCGATCTGTGTGTTGATATTTCTTTGGTATATCCGTGGAAGGAAGGAAAGGCTGGAGCCTCTTAGTCCACCATCTTGCAGATATCAGTCTGGCACACCCTTGATTACTGTGTAGTTGAGCGTTTTTTCTTTTGTTTATTGATCATTTTTTCTCTTCTGTAAAATTTAATAGTTTTACTGGGTTACTACTTTATTCTCTTTTTTCTTTTTTTTTTGAGACAGAGTTTCACCCTTGTTGCCCAGGCTGGAGTGCAATGGTGCGATTTTGGCTCACCACCACCTCCACCTCCCGGGTTCAAGCGATTCTCCCAGGTTCAAGCAATTCTCCTGCCTCAGCCTTCCTAAGTAGCTGGGATTACAGGTGTCCACCACCATGCCTGGCTAATTTTGTATTTTTAGTAGAGACGGGGTTTCTCCATGTTGATCAGGCTGGTCTCAAACTCCCGACCTCAGGTGATCTGTCCGCCTCGGCCTCCCGAAGTGCTGGAATTACAGGCGTGAGCCACCGCGCCCGGCCAGGTTACCGCTTTATTCTTATCCATGTACATGTGCTCCTTTTATATCTAACCTTACATATTCTTTCCTCCATCAATTATCTTCCCTTTCTCTGGAATGCCTCCTGCTTAAACCCCAGTTATCCTTGAAATATCCTCTCATTATCTTTCAACCATAATTTTCATGCTTTTCCCTTTTGTTCTCTACTTTGCAGATATTTATTTTTATATCTGTAGAGCCCTTCTATTTTTTTTTTTTTTTTTTACTATTTTTGGATTTTGAAGTTCAGTTATTAGATTTTTAATTATTTTTAAATAGTCTTATATTTGCAAATAGTCCCTTTCTTTCTCAACGTGTGACTTTCTCATGGGATCTAATTCTCATTTTGCTGACCACAGTTTCTCAAATCTCATTAGGAATAAATACATATTGATTGTTTTAAAACTGCATTTTTCCATTGAAATCGCACATATTCCAGTTCAGTTAAGTCTCTTCCAGTTTCTAAAAGTGCTGACTTCACTTCTGCTAGTTTTACACTGACCGCTAACATCTGCTTGCTCATGCAGACCAGCTGTGCAGGATTGCTTTGGTAGGGTAAGCAAGCGAGTGAGAGGTGGCAAAGAGTGAATGTGGGTAGAATCTGCTGTTTGTCTTCAACTTTTCTGTAGGGTATCTCTACTTAAAAGAAGTTTCATGGATGTCTTTAATAAATAAATAGGGAAGAAATAATGATATTTGCCTAATCTGTCCATAAAATCTTCATCAGTGATCATTATTTTAGGCTCAAGTTAATTAATAATAAACTGCACATCACAAAACTTTGAGCTCATTATTCTCTTTGCAGCTTTCTTTAATCCCCATAAATTAAAACTTCCTGCAAATATTGTTATGTATTAGATTGCTACAAAAGTAATTGTGGTTTTTGCCATTGAAAATAACGGTCAAAACCGCAATTACTTTTGCACCAACCTAAATATAAGCATCTGGGTAAGAATCAGGATCCTGGGGCTCAGCATAGGAAAGAAACTAGGTACACAGAGCCCTTTACAGAATGCCACCTTTCCAGGCTTTTTTTCTGAACAAAGATGTTCCTTAATCAACTTATATATGGGCACACTCACACGGGGCTGATACCCACGGATAATGAAGGTATATGAAACTAGTCCTCACATACAAAACCAGAAGCACTGGTAACTTAAATAACCTCTTTGTAAAGCAATCTTAATATGTATGTAAGATATAAAATACTCGTTCTCATTGTTTCAGTTATTCTGCTCAGAAATTATCCTGGGAAATAAAAAAATACTTTGAGAAACCAAAAAAAACTCTAAAAAGTTCAAAATGGAGCACTATATTAGCAAACTACAATAAATCTACTCAGAGATATTACATATTCCTTAGGTATAATAAATATAACACAGTGAAAAACCATCAAAATGCATAACATTTTCAAAATACTTACATGTCCTAAAAATTATGATACCAATGTTCACATATTTGATATAAAATTAACTGTGAAAAGTATGCTTAAAAACAATAAAGTTTCTAATGTTAAAATTATTGGTGATTTTTAGATATTTGCACCTTTAAAAATACCATCAAGTTATTGCATTACTCTTAAATGTTAAATATACATTTGTAAGAACAAAATTAATGTGCCTAAAAATAAACATATATATGTATATACAAAGATATCACTTAATTATAAGCAAAGACATTCTGTTGTAGACTTAAGTTGCATCCAGAAACTCACAGAGTTAACATAAGAAAGCGCTTCCTGGGCAGTAAGATGATAAGACTCCTTGTTTGCATAGCGGTGAGTAAAAATAAATAAAAATTTTATAAAAAGATGATATGACATTTAAAGCATGTTACCCAGGGAGATTTTGGAGCCTACCTGGGATTCATAAAAAACAGGTAGAAACTGATTTTTTTTTCCTCTCATTCTTTGATATTATAATATTTGCAGTGCTGGGTTGTGGACAAGGGGAGGGAGAGCATTAGGACAAATACCTAATGTATGTGGGGCTTAGAATATAGATGACGGGTTGATGGGTGCAGAAAACCACCATGGCACATGCATATCTATGTAACAAACCTGCACGTTCTGCACATGTATCCCAGAACTTAAAGTAAAATAAAATAAAAATAAATAAAAATTACAGACGTTAAAAAAACAAATGTGCCATCCTGCTTGGAGACAACTGAATAAATATAATGGGTTCTCAAGGTCAGTCCTGAGCCACCAATTCCGTTAGTTATGCATTCTTTGTTCTCACAGCAGCTTTTTAGTACAGGCCCCTGAGCCCTGATGAGGTTTTATGGCCACCAGTTTTACGCAGTGGGAAGAGGTCCTTAGACAGAAGCTTGCTGGAGGCTGTCTCAGAACGCACTGCAGCACACCTGACTGCCTTGTATTCCACTCTGCACGCCCACCTTCCGCGCAGCATCCTTCCCTCCCCTGCACCCCAGCAGCTTTTCCCGGGATTTGATCCTTCTGACTCATCCATTGCTCAGAGAGTCCCCATCATCAGGAAGCCTGTCTTCTCTTCAATGCCTGAGGTTTGCGGGGCAAGGAACAGGTGGGCAGGCTCAGTCAATTCCACCCCATTGCACCTCGTGTGACATAAATAATGGGCGCTTCTAATCTTTTCTTCCTGTCCCTACATGTGGTCGTCACCGCAACTCTGCAGGCTTGACCTGCTCTCACCTGGCTTATTTTTACCTCTTTGGGTCATGGGAAATGACCTTCTGCACCCAGGGAATCTCCCTTAGTTGATAAGACCAAAATGGAAATAAATAATAAGACCAAAATGGAAAGTTAGTATGCCTTCATAAAGAGAGATTAAATTCATGAACACAAACCCTGCCTCTTTCTTGAAAACCCAAAATACATAAATAAATAAAACCTCCGGAGCAAGAGGAGTAACATTAGCATTGTCCATGAGGATAAAAAAGTGGGGAGAAACCCCAGCTGACTTTTTCATCATCCCAAAAGGAGACACCAGTAAGCAGCCACTGGATTTGCCAGCTGTGCACATTTCATATATATGGAATCATACAATATGTGGTATTTTGTGCCTAGCTTATTTTACTTAATGTGAGATTTTCAAAGTTCCTCCATGTTGGAGAATGTGGCATTACTTCTTTTCCTTTTGTGACTAAATAATATTGCATTGTATGGATGCGCCACACTTTGCTTATACATTCATCAACTGATGCACATTTGCATTGCTTCCACCGTTGACACTTGTGACTAATTCTGCTATGAACACTACACTCATGTACAGGTTGCTGTTTGAACACCTATTTTCACCGCTTGTATGTATACACCTAGGAGTTGAATTGCTAGGCCATATTGGTAACTCATATTGTTTAACTTTCTGAGGAACTGCCAGACTTTTCCACAGCAGCTGCACCACTGTACATTCCCAGCAGCAACATATGAAGGTTACAATGTCTCCACATTCTCACCAACACTTGCTGTTTTCAAAAATTTTGTTTTGTTTTGTTTCATTTTGAGACAGAGTCTCGCTCTGGCGCCCAGGCTGGAGTGCAGTGGCCCGATCTCAGCTCACTGCAACTTCCGCCTCCCGGGTTCAAGCGATTCTCCTGCCTCAGCCTCCTGAGTAGCTGGGATTACAGGCACCCACCAGCATGCCTAGCTAATTGCCCGGCTAATTTTTGTATTTTTAGTAGAGATGGGGTTTCACCATATTGGCCAGGCTGGTCTCGAACTCCTGACCTTGTGATCCACCCGCCTTGGCCTCCCAAAGTGCTGGGATTACAGGTGTGAGCCACTGCTTCTGAAGTTTTATTTTTTTTATGACTGTCCTAGTAGATGTGAAGTGATATTTCATTGTGGTTTTGATTTGCATGTTTCTAATGACTAATGATATTGAGCATCTTTCGTGTGCTTGCTGGTCATTTGAATTTCTTCTTTGGAAAAATCTATTTAAGTCCTTTGTCCATTTTTAAGTGTGTTGTTTGTCTTTTTGTTGTTGAATTGTATCAATATTTTTTAAAATATAGAAACATTTTTTCTACTATCAAATGTTTGCAAACCCAAAGTTATCTTTCCTCTCTTCTCCTTACACTCTTCTTTTCCATTCATGAGTATGATGCACATCAGAATAATTAGCTTGTGTGTTGGCACAAATTGAACTCTATTTCCTTTCAACTCTGCAATTATATGAACCTATGAACCTATAACCAGATATTAACAAAATTAGCCAATAAGCGTGATTTTCTAGTTTGATTTCTTTGAAATGATATGCCTTATTCTTCAGAATTATCCACAAAATAGTTCCGTGGGGATTGCTTTCTGGGTCTGTGATTTGGGAATGGATTCAAGTCTGGAGGAGAAGGTACATGATAAAATTTAATACTATTAATTTATTTCTCCCCCAAATGAATTTATTTTCCAACATAGTTTATTGTTTCCAAACTATACAGAAATTTTCTAAACTATAATTTCACAATGATTTGATTAGTAACTGTACTGCTAGAAAAAATATGCCATCCACATTTACCTTGGATCCTTTCCAAATAACGTGTAGTATAAATAGAAAGAATGAATGTAAAGTATAAAATATGCATTTTATTGTTTTATCTATAAGTCATCTTAGTGACTTTTAAAAAATGACTCAAATTTTTGAATATCCACACTCAGTGTTTTTATCAAACAATGGTTCATGTATCGTACAGCCACTTTGTCCATGCACAGGATACATTCAGAATTGTCATTATTCCTTGGGACCCTTGAACTTAGGGTATCATCTTGGTGTGGAAGCCAATTTCCCTAAGGGGCAAATGAAATTGCTTTTCTTTCTTTCTTTCTTTTTTTTTTTTTTTTTTGAGAGATTTCAGAGATGTCTTCAGAACAAATGCTCCACAGAGAAAGAATTTCACATTTTAATCGATTTCTTAAAGTACTGAGTTGGACCCTCACAAATATTCATAACTATTTTACAATTACTTAGTACATAGCTAACATTTAAGGTAACTTTTTTTTTTCTCTCTTTTTTTTTGGTGGAGGGTCAAAAGCAGCTTGGAGTGCCCAATTTTCCCTAAAGTCTTAACTTCAAAGGTGATTTTGCAAGGTACAGAAAGGTCTGTGAGTCAGAGAGTCCCTGCCAGGGCACATTGTCCTGCTTAATCTCTCCAGAGGTGGAAAGTTCAAAATGAACACCCAGCCCCTGCCTCTTTGAGATGCTCACACTGTTCACCCATGCAGAAAGTCCAAGACCACTGCTTGATGTCTCTTTTTCAAAATCCATGTCTAGGTAAGACTCATGGTGAGATATGGTTGTTGTAGACTGGTTAAATAACGCAGAAGACAGCTTGCAGAAAATATGATGTGTCTAATCTGAAGAATAACAAGGCTCTGCAAGCTATAACAAGTAATATAGGCAAGTCCAGAATGATATCTAGAGTCTGCTATTGCTTACATAAAAATGGGGTATGGATTCATCTCTGCTTCCATACACATGGGACACCTCTGGAAGGATTAATAAGAAGCTAACAGCAATTGTTATGAAGCCCAGGGGGATAGGAGAGAAGACATCCTTCTCACTTGCCCCTTTTGCTTAAGAGAATTTTAAGGGAAATAAATCTAAGTGATCCTGGGACTAAAATCAAATAGGGGCAAAATGTGCAGATTTATCCACTGTGTGTTTTAATACCACACATTATATAAACCCACACACAAAAATATCGTGTCCTTGCAGATTCTGTTTTCACAACTCCCAGCACCCCAGAGCCCACAAACCTCCCTCCAGCCCAGGATGACACAGCCCTGTGGTTGCCGGGGGCTCTCTGCATCCCTCACTAGACTGTCACCTCCGACAGCGGATAACTTCATCAAATGAGAGAAGAGCATGTCCTCTTCCTCCAAAGTAGACAATATCCTGGCTCTTCATAAATAGGTGAATTTTGCCAAATTTTTGGAATAATGTGGTACGTTGTCTCTGTTTTTTTTTTTTCTTTCAGCATAGCGTTTGTGAGGTTCATCCACGTTGTTGTACACATCTTCTTGTTTTTCTATTCTTGTTGTGGTGTGGAAATACATTGTGTTTTGTTGTTGTCATAATACACTATTTGGTTGCATTCTCTTGGCTGCAAGGAAATGTGCTACAATGAACGTTCGTGCACATGTCTCCTAATGCACGTGGGCCTATGTTTCTGTTGGTAGATGGGAGTCATGTTGCTGGGAAATAAGCTAATTATCTGCTCAACTGTGGTGGACACCGCAGCTTTCTGAAGGCAGAAAATATATCTTTACACAACCATGTCTCTAGCACCTAGCACAGGGCTTGGCACTAAGTAGCCACACCTCAATGTTGGTTCACTTTCCTCTTCAATATCCGTATATGGAATTATTGGTTGATCCCTGCTTCTCTGAATATCAGGAAGCCAGTCTATTTTTAGGCAGAAAGGGAAGAGTAGTCAGTAACCTTCTGCCCACAGCCTTACTCAGTAGAGCAGATAAATATGCTCATGCTGATCAGTATTCCCAAAAACCTATAAATGTCCCATTTTGTGCCTTCTCCGCTCCATTTCATTCCATCATTCATCATATTTGTGCTCCTTCACGGGAGGGCAGGGAGGTTCAACGGACCTTAAAACATGAAGGTCTTTTTTCTGTTTGCTGTTCTCTTTTGTTTGGTCCAAACAAACTCAGGTAAATGTCTCCTGGTTAGCCCTGGGGAAGGTAGTGCAGGAATTCCATTTATGTGTGTGTCTGTATGGACAGTGTGTAGATGTGTCTGTATGTTGTTAGTGGATGCAGGTGGGCCACTGTGGGGCTCAGTCTTGGACAATTTTGATCTCCCCTGTGAAGTTTTTTAAAAGCTAAATAAGTGTTATAAAGGTCTTGACACAAGACAAAGGGGTATGCTTGCTCTGATACAAGTGGCAAGCACTCACTGCAGTCTGAGAAAAGTTTTCAGAAGGAAGTTATAGTCATATGAATGTCAGAGCTGGAAGGGAATCAGAGATTGTCTATAGCAGCCCCATGCTCTACAAAAAGAAAACCAAAGTCCAGAGAAAGTGTTAATTTACCATGGTGCAATGAATCTTTATGGTCATAGTAGGTCTTCAAACTTATAATATTCCCCCTGCTTGCACATAGAACACATTTTACAGATGGGCAAGCTGAAGTGTAACCAGTTAAATGAGTTGTCTAAGGAGACATAATGAGATATTGGAAGAAGTAAGACCAGAATCCAGTCTCCACGCTTCCAGGCTGGGGGCTCTTCTGTCTTGACTAAAGGTGGACCCCCCACCTTCTTCACTTTGCTGTCTCCTCCAAGCTGTGACAGGGCTGAGATGATACAGAATCAGGGATTAGACCCCGTTTGGAGGTTGGATGTTGTGCAAGAGTGTTTTCCTAATCACGCAAGACCAACACTGTGCTGTTGTTGTTGTTGCTGCTGTTGTTGCTGCTGTTTAAAGTCATCGTACGTAGCATTTGCAGATCTGACATAAGTAAGATCTTTCTTTCAACCATCTCTTGCCCAATGTCCTGTTGTTATAAAAATTTAGGTGGTCATTTGTGACTTACAAGCCCACAGGTCCTGGTGAGGAGAGAGGTTTTATTTTCTCCTTTTCGTTGTAGGACATAAAACTAAAAATTGGGCCATAAGTTGAGAATGGGTTAATACCTCTAATTTCCTTAGAGACCAAGACCTGTCCTATTCTGGACCACTTCTGTTTTCCAAAACTCCCTTTGTTTCCTTCTAGTGCACATCTCTCACCAGGAGGCTCGAGGACCCTCATTTAAGATCTGCGTGGGCTTTTTAGGGCCTAGATGGGCCAGGTGAGCATTCATAAAACACACCCTATCATCCTCCTGGCAACATTTCAGATATAAATTATCGTTCCTGTTTTAAAGCTAAGAGGCCAAAGTTCGGTTAAACTGGGGCTTGTCCAAAAATACTTAGCCTTGTCAGAATATATAACCCTTGGCAGTGGGCTGGGTTCATCTTCTATTCTCTGCACTATATGAGTTAAATGTCAACTCTCTTCTGTTGTATCCATAGGGGATGTTCCACTGGGAATTAGAAATACCATCTGCCGTATGCAGCAAGGGATCTGCAGACTTTTTTTCTGCCATTCTGGTGAGAAAAAGCGTGACATTTGCTCTGATCCCTGGAATAGGTGTTGCGTATCAAATACAGATGAAGAAGGAAAAGAGAAACCAGAGATGGATGGCAGATCTGGGATCTAAAATATAAGCTCCCGGAAGGCAGGGATGTTGAAGTATCCCAAGGGCTTAAAGGAATGTGTGGCTTATAGTAGGTGTTCAATAAATATTTGTTGAATGAATTTAGCACCAAAGGTGAAGAGCTGATAAAAGACATTTTTTTAACTTCCTTACTTCTCCATGTACTGCCTTTTCAAAGGGGTCTCAGAATTTTGTGATATTCCACTTTCCTTTCCTAGTCAAGGGAATATCTCTTAAGTATCTGGAGATGGGAACTGACTAGAAACCGAGCTCCAAACTGATTTTCAGAGAGACATAAATGCAACCAATCTGCTGCTCTGTTTTCCATCTGATGACTTCTTTCTTACCACACCCAGCACTAGCCTTCTCCTGCTTATTCACCCAGATGGTAATGCACCTTATCCCTTTTCCCTTTATGCCTCCTCAAGCAATAACACCAACAGGTCACATTTCAGTAGGATAGTGTTGTTTTCAAGCATTTACTCTTAGGCTATTTCAATTTATTAATACAACAAGCTGATAGTGTGTATAATAGGGGGTAAGCAGGTCCATTTTAGGAATGAAAGAAAAATGAAAATCATCAGGTGAAGCACATTTCCCCCAGGCTAGCAATTCATAAATGGCATTCTCAGTATGCCTATCAGCCAGCATTCATTCTTCTATGATCCTTCTAAAAAACATATTTCTGTGCAATTGGAGCAAGGCAGGGCCCCTGTTCATGGAGATTCCTGAATGCTTAGCTGCCTTTTGCCTTTCTCTGGATCCTGCTTGAATTTGTTGAATACTAATTCCAATAGTAGTGAACACCAATTACAAGTAAGGAATTTAAAAAATAATAAAAACAAACATGCTGAGAGATAGAGACCACATGCCAAGCTTTTTCCTGACTGACAGGTGGCTTGGGAAGATGCTCTGTGTTCCTGTTTCTGTCGCTGCCTGAGTCCAGTGTGCTTCTGAATGAGCTGAGGTGCTGTAAAGAGCCCACTAGAATGTACACTTTGGGGCTACAGTCTCAATTCCCAGCTCAAGTTGCAATGAATATTTGTCATCTTGCCTTTGGCCTCTCGCAACCTCTTCTAAACTCACTCTTGTTTTTTTTCTTTTCTAAATGCAATCAGACAGACCTCTGGAAGTGCACAGAGTAAGTCTCTCTTAGGCACAGGCACCTCTGCAGGGCTCTCTGTCATGCCTCTAGAGGGGAGAGCCATTGTTCCATCCCTGAAGGGAATGACTTCCTGAAGGGCATTGGCCCCTATTAGCCTTGGCTCAGAGTGAAACGCAGCAAACGTGCATGCCTCAGAACTGGCAGACACGTTCTCAGCCAGGAGTGCCACCAACCCACACCAGCAGATCTGTGTACCAGAAACACAAAATAACATGAAGGGCCACTGGGGGGCTGGAGCCTGGTTCCATAAGGATGGGACTTCTGGGCAGGTGCCGTTAGACAGCAGCACCTTCTTTTGGCCTCATGTTCCTCAGAAATGAAATGAAGGAGGTGGGCTCGATCTCAGACTCCATCAGAGCACAGCAGCCTGGGGGTGTGGAAGCAGAGCCTCACCCAAGGACCAAGGGGTCTCCACCAGGTGAGATGGGGAGGATGGGAACCCCGTCCCTCCCTGCCAGGGTGCTGCAGGTGAGAACCCCCAGGGAGCCCTCTGCAGAGTCCAGGGCCGGCCAGCAGGGCACTCGCGTGGGCCCTAGGCTGTATTATTTAATATTTTTAAGGTGGACCCTGGGCCTGGGCTGATCTAAATTGTGGAAAATGTCATCTCCCTCTTATGTAAAATTTCTCCAAAGGAAGTGTTTGTCCACTTGTAAGGCATGGTAAAAAACTAGTACCTATGGCGTTGCCCAGCACAAAACAGGCTGTCTGGGAGTGTTTGCTGAGGCTTCCGGGAAGCAAACACGGAAGGGAAGGGAAGGGAAGGGGAGGAGAGGGGAAGGGAAGGGACGGGAGGGAAGGCGGTGCAGGCTCCTGGAGTCCTCAGTGGTGAGCTCTGGAGTTGCTCTGTTCCCTTTTTAATTTTTGTTTACTTTTTGGCTGTTTTTTCTTTTTCTTTTTTTCAATGTAAAGTGTCTCTGTAAGGCCTGAGAATGAATCTGACTGGATCAGCCCAGAGACCAAGTGAGAGCCCCCAAAACTGGGGCTTACTTTCTTGTTCCGCCCCTCTGGGATATTGGGCAGATCTCCATAGCATCCCTGTCCCCATCTGTAAAGTGACAGGATTGAACTCAGTCCTAAAATGTCCTGGCGTGGTTCTAAGACAGAATCCCCAAAACGCTCTTTTTCAAAGCCTGAAAGGCTTGGGTCAGGCAGGCATCCCGGCAATACCAACACCTACCACGCGAGGGCGCGCTGCCCTTCCGGCGCCTGCAGATGGGATTTTTTTTTTTTTTTTTTTTTTTTTTTTTTTTTTTTTTTTTTTGACCACTTGTTCTGAAGCTGGGCACTGGGCTAAGGACAGGAGCAGCTGGGGTCACCGCAGGGGAGAGCCAGGGGGCCCAGGTTACCAAAGCTTCTGGCCTGAATCTCTTGGCACTGATTACAGTGCCTCATTCGTCTCTGCCCTGCACAGGGTACCATTCACGCCGGGGGTGCGGAAATGAATTAAGTTCAGACTGAATCAGCAGGGATATTTATTGAGGCATTGTCAGGCATCTGCTCTTATTTGGGAACAGGGACAGGCCAGCAGCACAGACAACGCTGTGGATAAGGAGAGTAGAGACTTCCTCTTCCTGCCTCCTGTCTTCTGGAGTTGTGACCGCAGGGTGGCCCAGGTGGATCGGCTTCAGAGGCCAGGAGGCAGCTCTCTGCAGCCGAAGAGCAGGAGCCTCACCCACGGTCTGTGGCTCTGACTAAGCCTGGACTGCCTCTCGGCTGTGCTCCGTGGACTGGCTCCCCAGGGATCCATGTGAGAGACCGGAGTATGATCCTCAGTGCGAGGACAAATAAAAGTAGTGATTATGTCCACCCCATCCTGCCCTCCGTCCAGATCTGTTTTCAACTTGAGGATTCATCTGCCTTGTCCTTGCTAAGACACCTTCAGCCTGTGGTGAGGGGAAGCTGGGAAGAGGTGCTGGGAGACCCAGGACATCGCAAGTTGCTTCTCTGGCTGGCACTCAGAGGTGCGTGAACCCTCTGCCAACCCTAAGAGGGGCAGGAGGGTGCCTGGTGATGGGCCGGAGCTCCAGCCAGCCAGCAGGGGCAGAAGGACTAGGCCTGTTCCAATGGGGGCCCAGGATGTTTTTCTTGGCAAATCCTCATACTTTTCACATAGCTCTTTCTTCTGAGATAAGTGTGATCATCTCCACTGTATCTCTAAGGAATCAGCTTCCTGAGATGACACAGTAACCAGGAATGACAGAGCTGTTCCCTCCTAGTACTCAAATTGGCTCAAATTTCAACCCCACTCTGAAGCTTTCCTGGCCCTCTCCCCGCATTCCTGCCTGGCATTATCAATTGCTCTACGTCTCTGCCCCTCAGACACTTCGGTGCATCCTATCATAGGGTCTTGTCACTCTGTTGCCATCATTTATTTACATATTTATAGTCCTCCCACTAGACCTTGAGCTCCTCAAGGACAGGGCCTGGTACATAAATACTCATATTTACATCTTTAGTAACCACTGAAGAACAATAAATATGAAATAGAGGAAGGAATGAGTGAATTAACCTAAGCCTCAACCACTGGTCTTCTTCAGTGCACCACTACTGTCCTTTTTAATCCAAGCACTGGGGCAGATTTCACCAGGGGATGCTGGGAAACCCCACTGTGATCGCGGCCACATCCTAGTCACAGCCTGAAGCCCGCATCCTTGTCTTATCTCTCACAATCCCCTGGTTTCACCGCCTTCTTCCTCTCCTCATTCCAACCACTCCCCGTCCCATTGGAGTACTCATCTCTACAATCCGGTCAGAAGGTGGGGCGAAGCCTTTATTAGCTCTCCTTTATTATAGGGCCTCACAACAGAACTTGTAACCCCTTCATTTTCAGGGGCTTAACACTTACCCCACGGGAGGCGGCAGAGCTAACAGGGAGGCTCGACGTGTTGGGGCTGGAGAAGTGAAAAGTCCCCTGGCCCCTGAGTCTCCACACTGAGCATCTGCCTCTGACAGCATGACATGTGCACCTTCTGTCCCTCCCTCATGGAATCATAGACAGAAAAGGGACCCAGGATGTCACTAAATTGAAGCCATGCCCCAATGAGCCTCATGGCATCCTGGAAAAAGCCCTGAACTAGGAATGAAAATGCCTGCGTCCTTGTCCTATGTCTGCCGTCCTTGACCTCACTGAGCTTTGGCCCTTCCTTGATAATTTGAACACACGTTGTTTGCTCTTTGATTTTGAAAACAAAGATTACATGAAATTCCTATGAACCATACAGTATTGGGACTGTACAGGTGATTCATTTTATTAACTAATAATTGAATCTTCTTGATTCAAATAAGATACAGCAAATGTGATTTGAGATAGTTGTCAACCTGGAAAGAATACATATTGCATTTTAACATCATACAGGTGGAGTAATTTAGTGACTAAAACACACACATGCAGATACATGTATAATTTACACATAGTGTCTCACTATGCAATTATAGCCAGAATGGATTTTTTTTTTTTTTTTTAGACTGAGTCTCACTCCATCACCCAGGCTGGAGTGCAGTGGTGCAATCTTGGCTCACCGCAACCTCCGCCTCCCAGGTTCAAGGGATACTCCTGCCTCAACCTTCCCAAATAGCTGGAATTACAGATGTGCACACCTGAACCTGGCTAGTTTTTATATTTTTAGTAGAGACGGGGTTTCACCATGTTGGCCAGCTGGTCTCGAACTCCTGACCTCAGGTGATCCACCCTCCTTGGCCTCCCAAAGTGCTGGGATTACAGGCATCACCCACCGCGACCGGCCTAGAATGGATTTTTAAACCACCCATGCATGAGCCAATCTCCCACACAAGCTCAAAGTCTAAACCTTTTAGAGTTGGTCTGGGCTCTTCAGATCAAGGCAGTCAGGTTTGTCTTGCCACCTCTTGGAACACTTGATGCAAATAATCGTCACAGAAAGGTGAGGCTCTTGTCCTGCCACCCATCTCCGAAGGTGATTTATTATCACCAAATCCCACCCCCATGACAATCCTTGCTGGGCGATATGAGCAGGTCCATCCCACCGAAACTCCTCCAAGCCCCTATCCTTCCTCACATGAGGCAGAGACGGGCAGCATAGCTCTCCCAGGCTGATTATCAACCAACTGAAAATGGCTGTCTGTTAACCTACTGCAACAATAAAGGGATAAGATGGATTTTTAACAAAACAAAGAAGAAAACCTTTCAAAATCCTACTCTTGCAGTACCATAGGCTATGTGCTTTAACAATAACACTGCAATACCTCAGAATACTAAAATTCCTCTTTTGGAATTGCCTTCCACATACCCCTCTATGCACACAAATAATGTCATCTGTTCGGAATGAATTAAGAAATTCACCCAAAATTATAAAAGAAATTCACCCAGGGTCCTCGGCTTCCTCCCTCACTCTGCAGAGAAGCAAGGGTCCGCCACACTCAGAAGACCATAAATGGCATCTCTAAAATCCTGATGGTCCTCGGGATGGCAGGATGCCAGAGGTTCAAGCTGTTTCCAGGATTCCTCCCCATGGGATGCCACGGGTGTGTTAGATCACCTGCAGGTTGTTCTACAGGTGACTCCACTGGAAGCTTAGTCACAGGTCTCGCCTGCAGGGAAACATGTGCCTGTCCTGACTAAATCTGAGAATGCACACAAAGGAGTAGCCCACCCTATAGACAGGCTAGCAAGGGCTTCGTGGTCACTGTGGTTACCCAGAGGGAGGCCCCTGGGATGGGACACAAGCACCGGCACAGACAAGGCCCAGGCAGATGCAGAGCTCAGACCAGATCTGTCCAGCATACAGGTATAGAAGAACTCTGTTGCTAAACTCCCAGGGGCCCAAGCACCTCCTGCAGGTAGACCTAGCAACACCACCTCTCCCAGCTCGTTGGAGCTTACTGAATGCTTTCTCCACTCCAGCTTCTGTGCCGAGCACCGCCCATGCATTGATCCCAGGTCATCTATGGAGTGGCATGAATATGCCTACACTGTAGATGAGATACTTAAGACTCAGAAATGTGAACTCACTTACCCAGAGCCACACAGCCAGGAGCCAGCAGACTTTTACCATGTCTATTTTAAGGTTCAAGAGGCATGTCTGCATGAAGCAAGTTAATGGTGGAAACTGATGGGCCCCCAACCTGGTGCACTTTCCCTTATGCCACATGGTTCCTATGCCGTAGAATATAGGAGACATGCTGTTCACCCACAACGTCACTTCTAGCTCTCCCTCTCTTAATAAATAGTGCTTGTGACAATCACTGTGGTCATAACAAGGATAACAGAAGACCATGCATTAAGAATTGCTTTTTATGTTTTACACTTGATCTGCAATGAAGTGGTTATTATTACTTGGACATGAAGAAGTGGAAACTCACCCAAGTTAAGAAACTTGCCCAAGAGCACACAGCTGGTAAAGTGGAAGAAAGGGGCGGAGTCTCCTATTCTCACTGTGGTGGGAATGTGTGAAAGGAGTTGGGGTTTCTGCCAAATGCATGTGTTCCTGGATTTGGGCAGGGTGGAAAATGACTTGTGAGCTTTGCTCCATGCCGCTCTGGGAAGCCATCTCAAGGTATTTCACAGCTCACCTCAAGACTAAGAGATAAGGGACCCCTGCCCTGTCTCAGGAGAAGGAAGCAGACAGGAGCCTGGCAAGATGGTCCTGGAAGGAGGGAGATTTGTGTCTGTCCCAGCAGTGGGTATTGGGAGAAGCCGGTGGATGATTTTACACTCAAAAGTCTCCATCCCTTTGATCCATGTTAGCATAGCAGGCTTCTCCTCCTGTCATTTGAACTTCCAAGGAGAGGTTTGAATCCACTGTTCATATTTCCCACTCAAAAATATAAATGGAACTAGAGGCACAGTTCCATGCCTCTAGACACTGGCTTAAGCCTGTTGTCAGGCCTTGAATTGCCAGCTTCTCGTGTCCTGGGACTCCAATGCAGGGCTGCAGGGAGAGAGAAGGGTCAGGCTCAGACATGAGACCCATCACTACAGGAGGCTCCCCTGGTCCCCGAGTGGGTCTGCATGGTGCAGAAAAGCAAGAGAGAAGCATAAATTCAATGTAGCAGAGCGAACTGGCTTCCTTCCTATGGTAGGATCCTGGGTACAGCATGGAAACTGAAAATGACAAGTGGGAAAGACTCGATGAGCAAGCACAGGGAGGCCAGCAGAGAGCAAAGCCAGGTCCCAGGCCCTGGGCATGGATTCAGCCACCGGTTTTGGTCTAAAAGCAAGACGGAGACATCCAAACCAAAGCCAGGTGGCCCGTAAAGGGGCGATGGGCACCAGACAGGAAGGAGGTCAAGAGCCTCCCTGACGCTGAGCCTGGTGCTCCCAGGCCTCCCTAGGTACCAGGCTGACTGTCCTGAAGCCTAGTCTGACCCCCGCATTGACTGCCTAAACCCCATCACAAGCTGCTCACTGTCCTCCTGGTTAGCCCCAAACTTCCCAATAGGGTCCCCAAGACCCCTTGTACAGAAGCCCCCGCTAAACTCCCCAGCCAGAACTGCTGCCTTGTTCATCTCCAACCAGCCCAAAGTATTTTTTCTTGTTGTTGTTTTTTGAAACAGGGACTCACTCTGTTGCTCAGGCTGGAGTGCAGTGGCACTGTTACCGCTTATTGCAGCCTCTACCTCCTGGGCTCAAGTGCTCCTCCCACCTTAGCCTCCCAAATACCTGGGACCACCGGCATGCACCATTGCACACTGCTAGTTTTTTTAGGTGTTGAGCCACCACTTCCAGCCCCAAGGTATTTTAAATTCCTGAACTCACATGCTTTTTATTTTCCAGTTTTGTACCCTCTGGTTCCTACACCTGGGGCGTTGCTCACATTTTCCCCTGTTCACCCTTTAGCTTGCAGCTCTGACTACACTTTCTCCGGGAAGCTGACACTCAGGCCCGAATGTGGCTGGCTGCCGCTCCTGTGACTCCTCCACTGCTGGGCCCACCTGGAGCTGGAGTCTGTCACCATGCAACTGCCTCCTGTGTCTGCTGTCCTCTACAGACTCCTGTGCCACCCAGAGCCTGTGACCTGTGCACCATTTATTTTCCTGAATATTTAGCTCGATGCCTATGTTTGTGGAAAGAAGGAGGAAAAGGAGGGAGGAATGAAACTGGGAGGAAGGAAGGAAGAAATGAAGGAAGGAAGTTAAGAACTAGCCCAGTGGCTGGCACCCGGAAGAGTGACAGATCAGCCCCACCAGAATGTGGGGAGAGTCAAAGGGACTCTGTCCTCCCTTCCTGCCTCCCAGTTGACTCAGCGCCTAGATCCTGGGTGGGGGAGCCCATGGAGGGAAGCATCAGCTGCCAGGCCGGGTAGAGGGGCAGCAATGGGGGGACCAGGTGACAAAGAGACTCTCAGCCTCTCTGTAGGACTGACCAGGCATGTGGTAGTGCCTGGAAGTGGGGAAAGTTGCTACAGCTGAAGAAGTCTTGGAAGGCAGCATTTCGGCATCATTGTGCTTCTCCATCCTTCTTCCTCTAAAGGGGGGTGTCTTTCTATCCAATTCCTCCCACAAGACTCATGTGTCCTCCTCCAGGTGAGGAAAGCCTGGCAGACTCTAGCATGACTGGGAGTAAAGGTGGCTGGGCAATCTCAGCACCAGGAATGCACATTCACACCACGAGACAGGGCAAAGGCTAGGTCCCTTCCCGGCAGGGGGATGCGCCAGCCTCGGGCTTCCTGGAATTCTCATCTGCCTGACCAGCTGATGGCAGAGTCATGGTGACTCAGGACTGAATATTCAGCTGCGATGTTCGATGCTAGGTGTGGTGCACGTCACAGGTGAGCAAAACCAAAGGAACTGGAAAAGCTTCACATTTGAGTTTACCATTGACACTGAGTTGTTTTACAGGGAGGAGCCTGAGGTGCAGACGGTATCAGCTACAGGCCAGGTTGTGTCTCTAAGCCAGATGAGTGTCCTCATCCTTAAGGAGTCATCTTCCTCTAATCCTCTGGTTCTCATCCCCATCTCAGCTGCTTTTGAAAATTAAATATTATGCCAAGGCACCTCCTGCAGTGATGTGACTTCCTTGTCTGGGGTGGATCTTTAGCTGTTATTATTAAGATACCTCATTGTGTTCATTCTGCATCCAGAGCTCAGAACCATTGCTTGAAGTACAGAGTTGTGGTTCTTCCTGAACAAAGTGTTTCTGGGTCCTCCTATGTGTTGTGAGCGTTGCCTGGAACCGAGGCCCTGCTGGGGGTCATGGTCTTCTGCTGTGGTCACCTCCATGTAAAAGATGATGCCCTCTCTCCAGGAGCACACAGGAGGGTTGCAGTGGACCACAGTCACCCTCCCCTGACCAAAAGTTCCCTCAAACTCCCTTACACTTTTGTACGAGACCTATGCAGTACAAACAGAACATTTTATCAAAGTTTCTGGAGATTTCATCAAAGAAGGGCAACAAATTAAAGTCTGGAAAATTAATGCTTTTCCCAGATTCCAAAAGGGAAGTTTCTTTGCTTAGGTCCTTTAAAAGGCCAGTGGGCTCTTACGTGTTCCAGCCTCAGTCTCTTGACCCCAAGTTGTCCTCCTCCTTCATTCACCCTCCTTCTCTCCTTCACTGCTTGGGAGTGCAGTCTTGCTTCACCGCTCTCCTTCACTCCCTCCCTCCCACCTGCCAGCAGTGAGGACACCACTTGATTGTTCCAGCACCTCTTTCCCTTCGCTTAAACAGGCTGGAGCAGTCACTGAGAATAGCAGCAGGAATATCATGGGTATCTAGTGACACCCAAGCTCCAGAGAACATTAAGCCTGAGGGGCTGAGTTCTCTAAAATGCCTTGTCTACTGGGTACTGGTCGAACCCTCAGGCTGTCTCCATGCATGCCCACCAGGGTGAGTGCAAACAAACTTATTTCTTAGCTCATGAACCTGTTAGATAGAACATCTGTACAACTCCCCAGGACAAATGTTAGGTTCTGAGGACAGTACAGTCTCAACCCCAAGTGAAGAAAGAAATATTTCCCTGATTACTGAGATGCTTCTCACTTCCCCAAGAGCTAGGATCTCATTGTTCACCAAAGTAGCATTTGATTTCTTTCCTGCTCCACCTCATGCCTTCTTGGATCATTAAGGTACACTGTCACCCTCTTTTTGTATCTCAGGAGGTGTTGAACCTGGATTCTTCAAGTTAGGATCAAATTAAATATTTTTTTTCTTCCTGGAAAAAAGGAAAAAAAGGTAAGAAGAAGTTGGAACCTTGAAAAAAGAACAAATAGATTGCAGGGTAGGGAAAGAAACAGCTACCTCATTTATTTGGCTGAGTAGCCTTTATGGAAATAAAAATAGAGAAAAAGACTTCCTTTTCAAAGAAGCTGTCCCCAGGAAATGGAGAAATGCCAAAAACCACCTCTGTGCACATGCTTGTATCAGAGAGGAATAGAGAACAGGAGGGTACTGATTTCCACTCCTATAATCTTCCGTCTCCAAAAACTAGATAAAGAGATTTCAATGTGTTTTTGAGAAAAACTAAAACACATTTTTGGTTTGCCATTGCACAGAATGGCATGAGGAACTCATAGCATGACTTAAAGAAGATGCCCAGTTTTGAGATTGAATTAATGGGCAACTGCTCAAAGATGTGATATTCTTAAATATACTCTGAGATCTGAAGTTAACAAAGAGAAAAAAAATAGTGCATTGATTTTATAAGCAAAGGAACTACAAACACTAAAGAAAAACAATTAACAACATGACAATAGTAAGTCATTACCTATCACTTTGAATGTAAATGGATTAAATTTTCTAATCAAAACATGTAAAGTGGTTGAATGTATCAAAAAGCAAGGTCCAACTATATGCTGTCTACAAGAGACTCACTTTAGCTAGAAGGACTCACACAGGCTGAAAGTAAAGGGATGGGAAAAATATTCCATGGAAGTGGTAACCAAAAAGAGCAAGAGTGGCTGTTCCTACATCAGATAAAAGAGACTTTAAGTCAAAAGCTGTAACAAGAGACAAATAAAGTTATTATATAATGATAAAGTGGTCAATTCATCAAGAAAATAAAACAATTATAAATATATAAAGCAAAGATTTAGAGAACTGAAAGGAGTAACAGCAATTCAGTAATATCAGAGACTTCAACACCCCACTTTCAACATTGGATAGGTCATCTAGAAAGAAACACAACAAAGAAACAGTGGACTTGAACAACACTAAAGACCAAATGGACCTGACAGACATATACTGAACATTCTATTCAACAGAAGAATACACGTTCTTCTCAAGGGCACGTAGAATATTTTCCAGAGTAGATAACATGTGAGGCCACAAAACAAGTTAATAAATTTAAGAAGATTAACATCATATGAAGTATGTTTTACCAACCACAATGGTGTGAAACTAGAAATGTGTGTGTGTATGTAGAAGTGTGTGTCTTTTTCTGTAAAGAGGGAGGGATAAGATGTATTCTAGATGTGAGGAAGAGAGAGAAGAACATAAGAGCTCTAATGTTCTAATGTAAGAATATGTGGCTCTGATCTGGGATTTCCCTGAAGTTTGTGTGAGCGGGACTTGTGGATCTAGATGTTATGACATCACAGAACTTCGCAAAGGCCATATTGAAATAAAAATTGGCCAGTGTCCTGGACCCAAGATACAAGCAGATGGTAAAAGAACATAATTTCTCTGTTTTAGGGAAGATCTCAAAATAAGCATCATTCAAGTGGTTCTCCAAAGACCATCAGAGCCAGGCCAGTGAGAGATAGTAAGGAATTGGGTACTGCAGTGCA
Source organism: Homo sapiens (assembly GCF_000001405.40). Taxonomy (NCBI): domain Eukaryota; kingdom Metazoa; phylum Chordata; class Mammalia; order Primates; family Hominidae; genus Homo; species Homo sapiens. The sequence continues at coordinate 780,499 of NW_018654717.1, forward strand.
TTGGAGCACTCATATTCTATGTAAGGAAGCTGTCCCCAACCTTTTTGGCACCAGGGACTAGCTTTGTAGAAGACAATTTTTCCATGGACCAAGGTGGGGGAGATGGTTTTGGAATGATTCAAGTGCATTACATTTATTGTGCACTTTATTTCTATTATTACATTGTAACATACAGTGAAATAATTATACAACTTATCATAGTGTAGAATCAGTGGGAGCCCTGAGCTTGTTTTCCTGCAACTAAAGAGCTCTATCTGGGGGTGATAGGAGAGAGTGACAGATCATCAGGCATTAGATTCTTATAAGAAACATGCAACCTAGATCCCTGGCACGCACAGTTCACAATAGGGTTTGCAGTCCTATGAGAATCTAATGCTGCCACTTATCTTACAGGAGGTGGGGCTCAGGTGGTAATGCAAGTGATGAGGAGCAGCTTTAAATACAGATGAAGCTTCGCTCACTTGCCTGTCACCCACCTCATGCTGTGTGGCACGGTTCCTAACAGTCCAGGGACGGGTACTGGTCCATGGCCCAGAGGTTGGGGACCTGTGATGTAACGGGACAAGAGATTTTTGGATAAATCTCAGTGTTACATGTAGAAACGTGGGCCCTGGTGGTTTAATCATTGAATTTTTCTGAGGAAGTCAGAAAACTGAATTTTTATGCAAAATTTTTAGTGTTTTAAATGTTGACACCTAATATCAAAATACTTCGATGGACTATATTTTACTCATGGGCTTCCAATTCAAGACTCTGGTTTAGATGCAGGAATCAGCTTGACAATTCAATGAACCATGAAGACTTAGACCTGTAATGACCTCAGAAATCCATGATTCCTTTCCCTTTTGTAGGCAGAATAAAAAATGGAAGGGCTAGACTTGGTCAACAGTTAGTCTAAATTTACATAGCAAATTTGTAAAAAAACTGGGACTGAAACATAGGTCTCTAAATCTCTTCCATTCTTTGCACTATACCTCACTATATTAGTTATCCATTGCTGCATAACAAATTATCCCAAAACTTAGTGGATGAAGACGAGAAACATTGTTATCTCACACATTCTGTGGATTGTAGAAACTAGGCATGGCCCAGCTGGGTGCTTCTAGATCAAGCTCAGTCATGAAGTCGCAGTTAAGCTGTCAGCCAGGGCTGCATTTGTATCTGAAGCCTACACAGGGAAGGATCTACTTCCATAAACTCACTCACATGGTTATTGGAGGGAGTTAGTTCCCTGTGGGCTGGTATATTAAGAGCCTTAGTGACTGACTAGCTGTTGGCCAGAGAAGCCCCTCAGTTCATTGCCTTGTAGGTCTCTCCATAGGGCGACTCAAAACATGGCAGCAGGCTTCCACAAGAGCAAGAAGAGTGAGAAGGCATCCAAAACTGAACCCACAGCCTTTTTATAGCTTACTCTCATGACTTCTGAGATTAGGTTATAATCTATTGCTTCATAGACTTATAATCTATTTATTAGAAATGAGTGAATGAGGCCAGCTCATAATCAAAAGGAGTGGCTTACACCAGAGCATGAATCACAGCATTTCACAAAGACAGGAATCCTTGGCAGCAATCGTAGAGGCTGCCTGCCACACTCAGTGTCTCATAAATTTATGCCAGGGGTCAGAAAACTATGGACTGCTGGCTAAATCCAGTTGCCACCCAGTTTTATAAATAAATTTTTATTGGAACAAAGCCATGGCCATTTGTTTATGTATTGTTTATGACTGCTTCTGTACTATAGCTGCAGAATTAAGTAGTTGCAACAGAAGCCACATGGCCAGCAATGCCTAGAAATATTTACTGTCTAGCCCTTTACAGAAAAGGTTTGCTGGCCCCTAATATATGCAATCATAAAACCTCTTGAAAAATATGGAAGAGGAGATTGAGTCAGAGATGTCAAATTCATCATTTTATTGAATTTTTCTTGGTGCTCTAGCACCATAAATACCATGCTATGTAATTTTATAAGGCAGTTAGCTGGAAATTCTCAAAACAGGAGTAGCCCTGTGGTCTGAGCCAAGTGGGTGAGGTGTGGCTTCCATTCCCCAAGCCCTCTCTCATTTATTCTCCACCATATATAATCATTTACCTTTCCACTGGGAAACCCCACACCAAAAACCTTTGACAGAAACATGGATATAAAATATAACTACAATAACCTGAATAATAAAGCAAGTAGTTAGCATAATCTGTGAGCCTGATGGTCCTGGGCTTCAAATTTTAGAAAGTTATTTCATTTGTCTTAGCCTTAGTTTCCTTAATCTTTTTTTTTTTTTTTTTTTGGAAACAGAGTTTTGCTGTCACCCAGGCTGGAGTGCAATGGCGTGATCTGGGCTCACTGCAACCTCAACCTCCCAGGTTCAAGCAACTTTTCTGCCTCAGCCTCCCAAGTAGCTACGATTACAGGTGCCCGCCACCACTTCTAGATAATTTTTGTATTTTCAATAGACACTGGGTTTCACCATGTTGGCCAGGCTTGTCTCAAACTCTTGACCTCAGGAGATCCACCCACCTTGACCTCCCAAAGTGCTAGGATTACAGGTGTGAGCCACTGTGCCTCCTCCTTATCCTTAAGTAAAAATTCTGATACCTACTTTATGCCTTTTTTTGTCAGAGAAATGCATTAAAGCACCATTGCCATGCCAGGTACGTAATAACAGCTCCATAGATACTAGCCACCATGTGCAAATCATTTAATAGTCATCCATGGCCTATTACCACATCAGTCAATAGGCTCATTTCAATTACCAGTTCTGAAGAAAGGATAGTGGCAGACGACCTGTTTTAACAAAAAGTCCCCTGGGTCACACCTTTTGCCTTGGATGCATCACTTCCCCACCTCAGCTGCCAGCCCATTGATGAGTTGAGCTCATGATTGCTTTGTAAGAGCCACCTGTCCCCTAAAAGTCCTCCCTGAGGAAGCAGCCATCAGAACTGTGTAGGCTGGTGGCCAGAGGTAGTATAGGGTGTGTTTTTACTGGGACAGGGCCATGATTAAATAGAAAGAACCCGGTTGGAGTTACCCAGTGTAAACAGAAGGTGAGGTAGTATTATGCACTTCATTCTATTTGTGGTGAAAATATTGCTGCCAAATGGGTAGAAAAATGTCTTTAGGGTAGCTTTATATGAATTTCTCATACACTTATCCCCTCCTTGATTTTGCCTATAGGAATTAGGAGAGTCAGTCCCCATCTTGTCAGGCATGATTTTAGAAACTCTGGGAAAGGCATGCAAACCCACATCACTGCTAAGCCTGTAAATTCCTAAACTAGTTTGAGCCTGTTTTAAAAAGATGCCATATGTTAAGCCTGGCTCTCTCTCCATAGCATGTCTCCCTCAGTGCCTGCTGGCATCACCACTTTAATTCTAATTGATGGGACCGCCACCTACCCTGTCCCCTGAACAGTATCCCTAGGCTGCCTCCTCTCTTAATTCCTTCTCTCATGCTCAACCATTGTATTAACTCTTGATTGCTTCTTCTAGATGGCTCTGGCACTCAGATCTGCCTCTTTCTCCCACTGGCATCCGAAACACAGCAGACCTGAGTTCAGCTCTTGGTCTTCTGGCCTTCAGTCTCATAAGCCTCTGCTCCACCCTCCATATCATATCTGCACCAAAGCACGATACCAGCATTCCCTAAAGGCAAGGGTTACTGGGGGCCATTGCAGTGGCTGCCTGCCACACTCAGTATCTCACGAATTTATTTATGTTTTGTTAAACCATAAGTGTGTTCAGATTGTTCTCATGTTGTAAATCATTTGTTGTCTTTGCATTAGCTGCTACTGTTCTCTCCCTATTTCCTTGCTCTTCTGGAAGTATTTCTTCTTTGTGATATTCATCCTGAGCATCCTAGGAGATACTCTAGGATTTGAAAATAATTCTTATTATCTAAAGGGTGAAAGCAACATAGGACTTGAGTATATACTTTCTCATTAATATAAGGACATAAATGAAAAGACACCATCTATTAAAGATAATAAGAAATGTTCACAAATAGTATATGGCATTCATTATGGAAGTTGGTAGAAGCTCCAAGTGTCATGCAAAATGTGCTCTGCAGAACTGCAGAGGAGGGAGGGATCTCTTTCAACTGGGGTGATTGAGATCATGAGGAACTGGTATTTGAGTTGGTCCCTGAAAATTATGCAAACCACTTTGTAGAAAGAATTGGCTGATGCCTGTAAACCCAGCACTTTGGGAGCCCGAGGAGGGCAGGTCCCTGGAGATCAGGAGTTCAAGACCAGCCTGGCCAAAGTGGTGAAACCCTGTCTCTACTAAAAATACAAAAATTAGCTGGGCATGGTGGTGCAAACTTATAGTCCCAGCTATTTGGGAGGCTGAGGTGGGAGAATCGCTTGAACCCGGGAGGTGAAAGTTGCAGTGATCCAAGATTGTGCCACTTCACTCCAGCCTGGGAGACAGGGTGAGATTCTGTCCCCCCCTCCAAAAAAAGAAAGAAGAGTCAGAAAGAACCTAGTTTCCAGCATCTATCACCAAGCAATTTGGAGAGTGAAGTTGATATTTACAGAAAAAGTGATGTAAAGATTGGTTGAGAACATTGGGGAAATGGTCCAGACTAGAGATGAAGATGGAAGGTAGCTGCATGCAGGCATAGATAACCACATCCCAAAGATCATATGAAGCCAGCAGAGGCCCACGAGTAAGCATCTGGAATACAGTTAGGAGCATGGGAGCATCAACTGGCCTTTCCCCATTTGGGAAATGCAGATAAGTGTATCAACATTATTAAATTACTGCATGATTCAAATGAAATAAATGCAAGTAAATTGCTTAGCACAGTGTCTAGAACATAATATGTGCTCAATAGATCTGTTACAATGACGTGACAATGATGATAAGGAGGAGGATCATCATCATCATCATCATTATGATTGCCATGAAAATGTTAAATTCTTGAAGATGCTCCCTTTTGGGGACTTCAGGGACAGGAGAAGGAGGAAAACTTCCATGATGAATCAAAGGCAGTAATGGGAAGGATAGGAGGAGACAATGGAAAGCGGATGTCTGTTATATCATGTTACTGTCAGCTTGTATCTTTTTCCATTAGACTGGGAAATAGTGAAAATTCAGAGCCTAGAGAGTAAATATTGTTTATCTTTCTTTCCTGCACAGCACCATGTCCTAAGACCCTAATACAGAGCAGATGTCCATGAAGTTCTCTGGACGTTGAATTGAAATTGAGGGATAGGTTTCTGAAAGTGGCCTTACGAGGCACATGTTGCAAAACGGTCAGGTTGGAAGATTACAGACAAAAAACTCATTGAGCTGGGGATGTAAAAGGCTTGGCTGGACTTAGGAAGAGTAGTTTGGACAGATTTCTTGAGATGCTAGGATGCAAAGAATTTAGGGACAATGGGGTGATGGAAAAGGGTACACACCTAAGTATAGACCACTACACATGAGTGTAGATCACCAATAGTCAAGGGATGACTCTGAGAGCAGGCAGAGAAATGACTGGACATGCTGGCTTCAGGTCACAATGCTGCAATTCACTACAGCATGTCATTCAACCTCTCTGAGCCTCAGTGTCTTCATCTATAAAATTGGAAAAATGTCTGCCTTTATTTGTATAACTTATATAATGGTGGTTGTGACAAGATTAATGGCTGCAAAGGAGAATGGCTGAGCCAACCTTCATCTTAGACTATGTCAAGATGAAGAAGAGTTGACACCCTGGATTCCCGTGCTGGGAGCCCATGCCAGAGTCTTGATATTGTTAACCGAGGGTCACGTGGGTGATACTTGGGTGATACATGGGTCACATGGTAATTTGCAATGTACAAGTCAATTTCACACCATTAACTCATAGGGCTTTCACTGTGACCTAAACAGGAAATGTACTGCTCTCTGTGCTTTGTTGCTGAGTTACAGATGCTCACAAAGCTTAGGTAATTTATTCAGGTAAACCCACGCCATACACGGTAGGGCTGAGTGATGGCCCAATGACCCCTCACTTCAGACCTGGTGCTTGTCTTCTACATAGCTCTGCCCTTTAGCCACAAACTTGGACCAATCACATCTCGGCTCCACATTTTAAGAACAGGATTTAAAAAATAATAATTAAAGGGAAGTCTGACATGAACAAAGGTGATAAATAACTAAAGTTTCTCTTCCTCGCTCAACCTAATCAAAATTGTCGAAATGCTGGCTGTGAGAGCTACAAGGAAACCAAGCACATGGGTACAAAAATTTGCAGGATCTGCAGTTCCAAGTGCTGTGACTCAGAGCCCAGGAGCAGGGAGTGACAAGACCCAGCTCTCGTTAGTGTTGTGAGGCTTCAGACACATGAATCTATTCACCCAACTATTAGACAGCACATGTGTACTTCTTATCATTTGAGAGGCTAAAAGTATTTATGACATAAAAAGGATTATAATAAGCCAAAAAGAGGGCAATTCACAGTTGTCAGTGGCTCCCTGGAGTAGAGAAGTAAATTACACAGTCTCTCTCTTCTATTGTTTGAAATTTTACCATAAAAATGCATTACTTTTATAATTTTCTTAAAACAGGTAAGTCCCCCTCAAAACGGATTTTGTGTGTCTGGAGTATGTCCAAACTTGAAAAGGCTGATTGTCACAGCCCAATCTCCAATTCCCAGCTCCCAAACTAGTTGACAAGAAAAAGTGGCATTTTTCCTCACCAAGGAACTTTTATGAAATAGTGGTGTTGCCATAAAAATGCCTCCCAGTCTATGAAGGAACAGGTTAGACCAGGGGTTCACCTGTGGAAGTCTATTCTCCATGTGGAAAAGCAAGTCATCTCCAGCGTCTGACTGTCTTCACCCCAGGCTGAGAGCTGGTGCTAACCCTCTACAACGCCCAATGCCATCGTTATGTCTGACATAGTAAGACTGTGAAGTCAGCACCCATCCCACCCACACTCACCTCCTTCCCCCATTTATAAATATCTCCAATTGCTTTGTCTCAAATCATGAACTAAAGAGGAAAGTTAGATTTTAAAAAGTAGCATCTACCTATCTAAAGTCTTAAATCTGCTGATTGAGCTCCACTCTTGGCTCAAAGAGTTATCTTTGAGTTATGATGAGTTATCTTTCTTCTACGTTTCTGCAGCCCTGTGCTTGAAATCTTCCTATGACTCCCATTAGAATTCATCCTAAATTTATCATTTGACTGTCTGCCCATCTACCTGGCCCTACATGGAGCTTCTGGAGAGAAAGAACCAAGACTGGTCCCTCTTGGTATCTCATCCACTTCACCCTCACCTATGCTGAAGACATGATACTTGTCCCTTCCTATAGTATGTGTTCAGAGTTTTCTTACTGAATCTGACAGGTGTGGTGCACCCAAATTCTGAACACACACTCCCAGAACTAACACACCCTTGATCCTTAGTGGATCCGTTATAACTGCATTCACACGAAGCAGCAGCTAGGAGACATCACGGTGACTTCAGCTCCCAATTGAATTGTCATTGACTTACTTAGTTCCCAATTGATAGTCAACCAAATACAACCCATCCATTGGATTCCTGAACATTTAAGTATAATAGCTGTTTTTTTTTTCTTTTTTAGCATTTTTCCCTCTAAACGTTGAATCTATATGCAGGGGAAATCATCTGGCCCCTGGACTGCCTTGAATGCTCCTGAGCCAAGAGTAACTTGAGGTCTTAAATGTCTATTCTGAAGCCCCTCTTTTGCACAGGGACAGTCATTGACTAGGAGGAGATGCCAGTCTATTAAATCTATCATCCCAGCATCCTCTTTCTCTGATGAAGTAAAATTAAACACCTTCTTTACTCACAAATTTGGTAGGTTTTAGACAATGATGAAGAATCGGACATGGGCCGCACACAGTGGCTCATACCAGTAATCCCAGCAATTTAGGAGGCTGAAGCAGGAGGATTGCTTGAGCCCAGGAGTTCACATCTGGGCTCGAAACCAGTCTGGGCAGCATAGTGAGACCCCATTTTATTTTCTACAGAAAATTTAAAATTTAGCCATGTGTGGAGGCATGCGTTTGTGGTCCCAGCTACTCAGGGGGCTGAAGTGGGAGGACCTCTTGAGCCTGACAGCTCAAGCTGTTGTGAGCTGTAATCATGCCACTGCACTCCAGCCTGCACAAAAAAGTGAGACTCTGTCTCTCAAAAAAAAAAAAAAAAATGAAAGAATGAGACATGTTTCACTCAAATTAGAGCACCCCATCATAGGCCAAGGGCCAGCTGGTCAGCTAACCTTGAATGTAGCCCATTTTCCTCCCTTACCTCACTACCAAAAAGCCAGTCCTATTGCCAGATATTGAATATGTCCAGGGCTGGATTTATTTGGTCCCCAGGAGGGTCTTAGACTCTCCCAGCATTTTAGGAAGAGAAAAAAAGCTCCAAAGCAGCAAAGTACGGACAAGTCAGCCCCCAGCCACATGCCCTGAGACTATTCCCCAAAGGGGGCATACTTGCTCATGCCAGCCCTATCTGTACCCACAACCCAATCTGACCCACACCCAGACAAGCCCCTGGAGTCCAGAGAGCACCCGGACAGCCACAAATCCATAGGGAGCTCTGCCTTACCATTGGGTTCCTAATTAACTGAGTGAGTGGGTGTGTTCTGCATGGTGAGAGGCATTGGAATGATGCATCAGAAAACATGTCATAATGTCATCACTGTAATATGACAAGAATTGCAGCTGTGGCTGGAACCTTTATAAAGTGACCAAGCACACCTTTTCATCCAGTCTCAGCGTGGGGTGAAGCCTAGCAGCTATGAGGATCCATTATCTTCTGTTTGCTTTGCTCTTCCTGTTTTTGGTGCCTGTTCCAGGTAAGATGGGCTGGGAAATCTAAGGATTGATCTAATTGAGAATATATAATTCAGAGTCAGTATTTCTCCATCCTTCAGAGTGCTTTGGACCAAGCAGGTTTGTTGTATGGGAACTAGGCATCACCACTTTTTTTTCAGACAAGAATCATTAAGAGGCCAGGTGCGGTGGCTCATGCCTGTAATCTCAACACTTTGGGAGGCCGAGGTGGGCGGATCACGAGGTCAGGAGTTCAAGACCAGCCTGGCCAAGATGGTGAAACCCCATCTCTACTAAAAATACAAAAATTATCTGGGCACAGTGGCGGGCACCTGTAATCCCAGCTACTCGGGAGGCTGAGGCAGAGAATTGCTTAAACCTGGCAGGCGGAGGTTGCAGTAAGCCGAGATCACGCCACTGTCCTCCAGACTGGGTGACAGGGTGAGAGTACGCCTCAAAAAAAAAAAAAAAAGAAAAGAATCATTAAGAAACTAAATAGCTCCCCAAAGCTATCTCTTTCCCCAACTCTTCAAGGGAAGATTATTATACCAGCTGATGAGACATGAATCAGACATAAAAGTTTAATGTAGCAGGAAAGATTGATTTACTCTGAGAATAGAAGCACAGGCTCCTGTTCTACTAAGTGCAATGGTTGGAGGTGGAGTGTTGGGGCTACCTCTGAGGACACCACAGCCTCAGCACCCCCACTGTTCCTGCGGCAGTCACAGGGTCACGCCACTTCCCCGGTGCCACTGTGGGTCCACAGCTGAGCTGCAGCCTTAGAAACATTGTCTATGGGTTGTGTAGTCATACCTTCATCTTCCTCCTGATTTTATAGAAAAAGGAAAAAGAAACAAAAGAATACAAGAAAAGCAAGAGATGAGTTATTTGAGGAATTCCACAAGCCTTGTACGTGTACCAAAAGCCTTCCTAAAACCTTTCCGTGTGTGCTGTTTTGTCATTGCAGGTCATGGAGGAATCATAAACACATTACAGAAATATTATTGCAGAGTCAGAGGCGGCCGGTGTGCTGTGCTCAGCTGCCTTCCAAAGGAGGAACAGATCGGCAAGTGCTCGACGCGTGGCCGAAAATGCTGCCGAAGAAAGAAATAAAAACCCTGAAACATGACGAGAGTGTTGTAAAGTGTGGAAATGCCTTCTTAAAGTTTATAAAAGTAAAATCAAATTACATTTTTTTTTCAAAAAAAATTAGGAGCTTGATTTTTTTTTTTTTTTAAATCTGATTATTTTGGTACTTGTTTCCAAACAGACAACTCAGAAAATCTTAAGGACTCACCTTTCGTTCAAAGAAAGTAGAATCTCTGGAGAAATCTATAAGGGAGCCCAACCTTATTATCCAAGGGTTATCAGGTTCTATTCCTACTTTGTGAACGTTATGCCCCAGTGAAGTTGGACTCTTCACTCTCTTGGAATATGCCCTTTGCTTTCATGTCATCCAAGCCTTGGGCCTTTTCAGTCCCTCTACCCCAAATGGCATCTCTCCACCAAATCTATCTCTAAGGTTTTCATGCATCCCTCAGGGGCTATCCCAATTCCTTCCAAAAACTTTGTCTTCAGAGAAATAAGGAAACTGGCTCTTCCTCAGATATTCACTTTGCTTTCTCTCACCCATGCCTCTGCTCTGGTTGACCTCATGTCTGCCTCACTCCTCCAACTTCATCTCTAAACTTTAACCTGTCCTTCAGGGACCGTCTCACATTTTATCTCCACCTTAAAAACACAGGTGATTTCCCAAATGCTTACAGTCTTTCCTCTGGTTCACCACAGGGTTCTGACTTGAGTCCTCCATCTACAACCCTTGCTTGGTTTTTACATTGCGTACAGTGACATATTGCCAATCTCCATATTAGATTTTGTGAGCCTTAAAAGCAAGGAGTTTGTCTTAATTCTTCCTGTACTGCTTGTAAAGTGCCCTGAGCATGAAGGCTGCTCAACAAGTATTTATGAATTGAAGTACATTCAAACGATTTATTGATTGAATTATCTTTAATCATTCAAATGATTTGGAGGTACTGCAGTTTAACTATCTAGTGCTCTCTCAACGTTGACGCAGTAGGATTCCAGCAAATGGAGTGTGTGGTTTTTCATACCTGACACCAGACCCCAGTCATGGCTCCATGTATGGAGAAAAGACAATACAACAAGGCTCTTAGGAAGAAAGGCTCAAGGGCTCAAAAAGATGAGACTGCTCCTCACTTTACATCCAAAATGGACTCACTGCTATGGGAATCTCCCTCTGACAGCAGACAAAAGGGAACCTGTCAAGATGTGTGACAGCTGTGTTCAGACATTGGATAATAAGCAGTGCAACAGACCAATGAAGTGAGACTTTCGATTGCCCCCAGCTCACTACAGCAGCAGGGTCCAGACCACAGCACACAGAGGAAGACTCAAACGAAGTCCAGCAATCCTGAAGCATTGAAGAGACTGAAATCAAACTTCCCAAAGCACAAGACACCCCCACTTCCAGGGCAGAATAGCAGAGAGAGGGTGCCTAGAAGGAAGCAAGGCCCCGAAGTGTTGGTGGTGGGGGCAGGGACACATGGTAAATCTTCAGTCCTGGGCTGTGTTTTCATGTGAGCACGCTTGGGGTAAGACTTCACAAGGCTAGAGGCAAAGAAAAACACCCAAAAGGGATTGGATAACAATTTTAGGAGCACTAAAGGCTGGAAAAATTTTCATTCCCACTAGCAAAGTGGAGAGACTGCAGAGTCCTTGGGCAACTAACACATTAGTAGTAGTGCTATTTGGCTCTAGATTAAATTGTTCTGCAACCACTCTAACAAATTTTTTTCTAAACCATTCTTGAAAGGACCAGACTGATCTATGAGAAACTTAAATGTGGGACAGAATAAAGCCTAACGTTCTTCAAAGAAAAACAACTAAATCCATCACTCAACAGTTTGTGCTTTATAGCACACTGAATCTAATAAAAAATTAGCTGCTATGCAGGAAAATATGGTCATAATCAAGAGAAAAATCATTCAGTAAAAACAGATCCAGAAATGACAAGGATACTAGGATCAGCAAAAAAAGATTTAAATGAGCTATTATAAATGTTATAAATATGTCCAAGTTTGAAGAGAAAAACTGTTCATGATGAGTGAGAGATATAAAGAGACAAATGGAATTTCCAGAGATTAAAAATAAACATCTGAGTAAAAGATACTATGAATTGGATTGTGGCATATATTCCAAAATAAAGATCAGTAAACCTGAGTTTATATTACTACAAATGAATGAAGAAATAGTACAAAGAGAGGAGAAAAGGGCTGGAAAATAATAAGCAGTGACCTGTGCAGAAACATCAAGCAATCTAGCAACTATGTGTGTTTAGACAGCCAGGCGTGGTGGCTCACACCTGTAATCCCAACACTTTGAGAGGCTGAGGGTGGATCACAAGGTCAGGAGTTCAAGACCAGCCTGGCCAATATGGTGAAACCCCATCTCTACTAAAAATACAAAAATTAGCTGGGTGTGGTGGCGTGCACCTGTAATCCCAGCTACTCTGGAGGCTGAGGCAGGAGAATCGCTTAAACCTGGGAGGCAGAGGTTGCAAGTAAGCCGAGATCACGCCACTGCACTCCAGCCTGGGCGACAGAGCAAGACTCCATCTCGAATAAAAGAAGAAAAGTTTTGAGAGAGAGGATAGAGCTAAGGAAGGAATGGCCTATTGTTTTCCAAATTTGGTGAGACTATAAACACACAAATTTACCACATGAAGACATCCAAGTTGAAATATGAAACATGAAGAAAACCACATGAAACATATCATAATCAAATTATTTTAAATCAGTAATAAAAAGAAAATTTTAAAAGCAGCCTGAGGGCGGGCACAGCGGCTCATGCCTGTAATCCCAGCACTTTGGGAGGCCAAGGTGAGCGGATCACCTGAGGTCAGCAGTTTGAGACCAGCCTGGCCAACATGGTAAAACCCTGTCTCTACTAAAAAAAAAATACAAAAATTAGCCAGGCATGGTGGCACGCACCTATAATCCTAGGTTACTCAAGAAGCTGAGGCAGGAGAATCTCTTGAACCCAGGAGGCGGAGATGGCAGTGAGCCGAGATCACCCTACTGCACTCCAGCCTGAGCAACAGAGAGAGACTGCGTCTCAAAAACAAAAATAAAACTAAAAAGCAGTCTGAAAGGAGACATATTACTTACAGAAGAACAAAACGTTAAGTGTTATCTTCAAATGCCGAAAGAAAAAAAATGTTCTCTTAGAAATCCACCCCAGCAAAAGTATATTTCTAAAAAAAGGGTAAACACATAATCAAATAATAAGTAAAGGCATTTTCCAGTAACAACAATAAAAGCTAAGAGAATTCCTCACCAGCCAGTCTGTACTATAAAATGCAAAGATAAGTTTTTTTGGCAGAAAGGGAAGATGCTAGGTAGAAATTTGATTCCATATGATGAAAAGAGCATGCTGTGAACATTCTAGAAGCTCCTTAAAGAGAGAGATTGTCAGTTCAGTAAAAAGCAAGACCCAACTACATGCTGTCTATAAAAACCCACTTTATATATAAACTTTAAGAACAAACTTAGAGTAAAAATAAAAGGATGGAAAGAGATATAATATGAAAACATTAGTATAAAGAAAATAGGATTGGCTATACTGGCTCATTGACATAAATTAGGGTAGATTTTAGAGCAAGGGGTATTATCAGTAATAGGGAGAGATATTTTTCCTAATGATAAAGTGGTTACATCACCAAGAACAGATATTAATATTAAATCAGTGTGTGCCCCTAATAACAGAATTTTGAAATTCTTAAAGAAAAATCAATAGACATTAAAGAAATAGACAAATTAGCAATTGCAATTAGACAATTCAACACTTCTCTTCCTGTAAGAGATTTTTTAAAGCAGACAAAATATTAGTAAAGGTAGAGAAGTCTTGAGCAACGCTACCATCCAGCACAACCTATTTGAGATTTATAGAACACTCTACCAAATAACAGCAGAATGCATTAAAATATTACCCATTAGAGCTCATACTAACCTATGAAACGTCTCAAAAAATCAACATAGTTTAAAGTTATACAAAAGACAGTGTCTATCTACAGTGGAATTTACAAAACTATCAATACAGAGAGTCATCTGGAAAAATCTCCATATATTGGGACATCAATGAACATGTATCTAAATGGTCCAGAGGAGAAATCACAAGATACTTTAGAAAATATGTTCAACTGATAGAAAATGAAACCATAACATATCAAAATTTGCGGAAGTGCCACTAAAGTGGCTCTTGGAGACAAATTTATAATTAAATGCTATTATGATAGAAAGCAGAAAAGCTCACAAATAGACAATTTAAGTTTCCACTGTAAGAAACGGTAAGGGAAAAGGGAACAAACTAAACCCAAAGTAAATAAGAAAAAGAAAAAAAAGAGAAAAAGAAAAAGTGAATAAAAAGAAACTGGACACAAAAAACATTAAAAATTAGTAAATAAAAGCTGATTCCTTGAGAGGATCCATACAATTGTGAGAACTCTCAATAGGTTCATTAAGGGGTAAAGAAATTACTGTAAGTCTCAGGTGCACACCCAGGCTTCAGGCAGGCAGGAAACAGATTACATCTGCGTTTTAGGGTCATATAGACGAGCCGCCACGAGGTGGCAGTAACTGCGCACTCATTCCCTCACCTCCTGCAAGACCAGGCCAGCCCAGGCTCTGGACTCACCACTCAGCTCAGAAGATGGAAGAGGGTGACAGTAGCTCCATGGACTTTGGCTTTAGGCAGAGCGTTACTGTAGCTTTGGGGTTGTAGGAGGATGAAGAGGGGAGGTTATCAGGACACCATGATGATTGTGTGGCGCTGGTTAGGAACATGGGCTTTGAAGAGAGGGGGATTTTATTTCAAATTGCATCTTTGCCACTTAGTAGCCAGGTGACCTTGAACGTGTCCTCCAACATTTCCATGCCCCAGGACCTGCCTCTGTAAGCTTGCGTAATACCTACCTGGCAGGCTTGTTTCTGAGGATTTAATAAGATAACTAATATAAAAATGGCCATAGCAGGGCTGGCCGCAAAATTCCTAAGTTTCAGTGCGAAATGGAAATGCAGGGTACCATGGTTTAAAGAGCAGAAAAAGAAAGTGTAATGAAAGGCAGTAGGATATTAAGCTTTTTCAAAGAAATATTTTTCATTGTTTGAAAAATGTAATAGTTATACAGGAGTAATGACAGAATCTTACAAATCTCCACCAGAAATTAATTTCATAGTTTTAATAGAATAAAAATTCTACTCTATTAATTGGATTTAGATGAATCATACAATTTTTCTGGCCCACTTTTCTGTCAAATAATATATTAGGACAACAAACTTTATACCTTGAGCAACTTCATTTTATCTTTTGGGAAGAATCTGCTGAAGCAACTGTTTCTGGAATATATTCCAAGCTGTGACAACATGAGGATAAATTATTTTGAAACAGATTTTAGTATATCTGGAGCTGGTGATTCTTGTGAAACAATTTGTCTCAAAAGATTTAACTCTTTAAACAAATCAGTTTCATGTAAATTTGAATCTAATTTTAAGTGTCAATTTCTCCAGCGGAATTTTGATGCATCTTCTGACATGTTCTGTAAGTTGCAGAGGCCCACAGCAGACCAATATGGCATCATGATTTGTAACTTATTCAAAACCCCTGTTTATGAATTCTATTGCTATGTATTTATTAACAAGAAAAACTTAATTTTTAAAATTGCCCTCCTTGTTCATAATTGATTAATCAGAAGGTTTTTGTTTGTTTGTTTGTTTGTTTTTTGTTTTTTGACAAGGTCTGTATTTTTCAGGCTGGAGTGCAGTGCTACGATCATTGCTCACTACAGCCTCAAACTCCTGGACTCATGTAATCCTCATACCTCAGCCTCCCAAGAAGCTAAGGCTACGATCATGTGACACTATGGCCAGCTAATCTTTATTATCTTTATTATCATTATTTGTAGAGATGGTGTCTAGTTATACTGCCCAAGCTAGTATCCAACACCTGGCCTCAAGGAATCCTCTGACCTGAACCTCACAACGTGCTGGGATAACAGGCGTGAACCACCATGCCTGGCCCATCAGAAGTTTTATACAAATATAGCATCCTTCTCTGTTGAATGTGACTACTATTACATGTTTAATTTCCATTTCTGAGCCTTGGATAATGCCTTAAAGAATTCTAAACTCTCTGAAGAATTCCAAGAACTTCCTGGTATACTTTATTGCAATGTCCATGGGCACACTTTTGTTTTGTGCTTCTCTCCTCCCAGTTTGCTATCTGAGCACCTATGGTTCCTGTCCTGGTGCTCAGGTCAGGGGGTAAATCTTTGTGCAGAAGCTCCAAGGATGACTCTGAGAATGCACAGGCACAGAGGTGTCAGTGCTGCCTCCACACAGAGACACTCCATTCACCCCAGGGCTGAGGACACCTGCTGCTGCTGCTGCTGCTGCCACCTCCCATCCCAGTCCAGATGTGCCTGGGCTGCTCCAAGAATGCCTATGCTCAGGGCAGCAAAGCTCTAGAACGTCCCTGGGCCTGAGCCTGCCCAACTTGTCTCCCTTCATAGCCACTCTTCCCATGTGCCTGCTCCATTGTCCTCAGTAAGCTTCACTTACAAAACACAAGTTCAAAGAAAAAACTAAGAAAGTCAGGGAGCTATCAGCAGAGCCTGACACCAGGTACCGGCCCTTCTCAGAGCAGATTCGTGTGTCACTGCCCTGCCTTCAAGCCCATGAAGCTGGCTCTGCCTCCAGAATTGAGAACCAGTAAAACTGCTTCTGTTACTTAACATTGAGGACATAATGCAGAGAAACTTTGTTTTCTAAATCATAGAGATGAGAGAGTTTGCTTTCTGGGAGCCTATCTATAAGAATGAGGCTTCCCACTCTTGCCTGGGGAACTGAACCATTTTGCCACAAAGAAACAGCCTGAAATTCTCTCCCCAGTTATAGAGATAGGTTTGGGGACACAGCACAGGTCATGTTTCATTAAAAGACAGCATAGTGAGTCTATTTGTCAGTTAGACTTGATGGTTCCCATTTTACACACAACCTGGCTTTGCTTTTAGCTCATTAAGAAAAAGAAAAGTCATGTATATTTTACCAAATCTTGACATGTCCCCAAATCCTAGAATTGCTGCATCTCTGGTTTTGGTGAAGAGCCCCATGGTTCTGCCAGTGGATGGTCTTCCTTGCTGAAGCAAGATCATAACCCTACCTTTAAAACAAAGATGCCCCTCTATTGGTCCTTATCAAACACACTTCATCACTAGGATGAACACAGCTGTGAAGGAGTCACACTGGGCTGTGCCAGGAGAAAAGAAGCAGCTGCAACCGTAGGAATCTTCATGGGAACAGTCAGCCCAGCTGTCCTTGAGCAACCAGGCACATATTCCCTAAGCCTTGGTGGCTTCTTCCCCAGGGACACAGGTGCTGCATTTCACAGTGACTTTCCTATTTCAGAGTAATTTCACCTCCTTCTCTAACAAGGCCTCACAAATGTACTGAGAGCTAGAGAGGACAACAAGTGAAAAACCACAGTGCTATCGGTGGTTCCTGGGATTGGAACAGGTTTGTAGGAAAAATTCACTCTCTTTTATGGGTGAGTTTTTAAATGTGAGTGTATTACTTTTATAATAATAATGTTAAGCATGGTAGTCATTAAGAATGTATCGATCAGGAATGAAGTCTCACGTGAAAAAGATGGCAACCAGGCCCTTAATTCAAACTCTAAGCCCCAATAAGGTTCTTCTCATAGTACCATGACATTTCCTTAAGAATATTTACTCAACAAATTAAGAGACATGACAACCTGATTTGATGTGCAAATCTAGATTAAACATGTATCCAGAAACATCAACAGCCATGAAGCCATGGTTGGAACAATTGGAGAAATGTGAAATATTGACAAGATAATAAATAACATTGAGGAACTAGTTTTCTTAATGTGTGTAAATTGTATTGTGTTTGATGTGGAAATGTCCCCTCATATGTAAGAGATTCTGCTGAGATAATTACAGTGAAGTGTCATGATGTTTGCGTCTTTCTTTTTTAACTTTAAACACATTTTTAGTACACAAAGGTTGTCACATAATTGGAAGTTTCTCTACTTTGTACACAATTATTCTCACTCTGCACAGAAAGGCTGCTTAACTTCTCATTTGGTGGTTGCAAGCACTAAAATCCTGATTTTAACAGAATAGACTACTATTCATTTTTACTAAAAAATGCCTCAGTGATTTAAGTTGAAAACAGTACATCAGTACATGGCTCTTGTACCCAGTGTCAGGAATGTACAAGATCTTTCTATTCAAAAATACAAACTAAATTATCTGTAGGCATGGATGACAGCTGTAAACCATTATATATTTTGTCAGTTGAAACCAGTAACTGATGGTTATAGTGGTTTCTTAAACATCAGCCAGCCTTTTCTTCTTTTTCTCCAACTGACTTCTCTGAAGTTATTGGTGAGGAACACTGCCTTGGGCTTCCTATCACAATTCATTAATAAAGGTAAAGCACTATTCTAGGAATTAGAACAGGCCACCTCCCATTCCACACATTGCACCCATTCCAGGGCTGTTCCCTTCTTTAGGAATTTCTGTGACTACAACAGCTGCTGTAGTTAATAGAGAGGCCATGCCAGCAGCATCCAATGAAGCAGTTCTCACAACCTTTGTTGGGTCAATAATGTCTTTTTCCACCATATTCACGACATCTCCTAACATAGTATCATAACCAACTTCTGAGGAACTTTACATAATTTTCTCAACTATCAAAAATCCATCAACACCTGCATTCTTAGCAATTGTCATTGCTGGAATTTTGAGTGTTCTTTTAATAATTTCTATACCAATTATTTTATCTTCATTAGCTGGAGTGAATGAGTCCAAGGCTGGAATGCATCGAAGCAGGGCACAACCCCCTCCCTAAACAATGCCTTCTTCAACAGCAGCTCTTGTAGCATTAAGTGCACCTATAACTCTGTCTTTCTCTTCATTCACTTCAACATCACTTGTCCCACCAACCTTCAGCACAGCTACTCCATCTGAAAGTTTCTCCACTCAGTTTTTCCTTTTCGTATTCACTAGTTGTGACATCTGACTGGTCAATGATTTCTTGAACACATTTTTCAATTTGAGACTTGTTACCTTTTCCTTTTAAGAGCATGGCATAATCTTTGATCACAGTGACCTCTCCAACTTCTCCTACGTCACGAGGCTGAACGTCTTCAAGATTTAGTGTCAGCCCTCTTCTCCAAACACTGTACCACCAGTAGCAATAACCGTATCTTTAAGCTGGTTCTTTCTATTGTCACCAAACCCTGGAGCTTTGACTGCCACAACCTGAAGACCAACCTTTAGCCTATTCAGGATGAGTGTAGTTAGAGCTTCTCCATCAATGTCTCCAGCAATTATGACCAAAGGCTTACAGTAAGCATTGGCAATTTCAAGAGCAGTTACAATGGACTGGACACTAGAAATTTTCTTTTCATGCAACAGAACATAGGCATCCTGGAATTCACATTTCTCACCTTTTGATGTATTAATAAAGTATGGAGAAATATATCCTCGATCAAATTTTCATGCCTTCAATAATTTCTAATTCATCAGTCAGTGTTTTTCCATCCTTTACTGTGATGATGCCCTTTCTTCCAAACTTTTTCATTGCATCAGAGATGATGTTACCAATTTCTTTGTCTCCATTTGCAGAAATTGTAGCAACCTGTGCAATTTCTTCAGGTTTGGTCACAGGTTTAGACTGCTTTTTAAGTTCAGCAATTACAGCATCAACAGCTAACATCACACCTCTCTTGATTTCCACTGGATTAGCACCTTTGCTAACCTTCTGGAAGCCTTATTTGGAAATAGAGCATACCAGTACAGCAGCAGTGATAGTGCCATCCCCCAGTCTCTTCATCTGTGTTATTGGCAACATCTTGGACAAGTTTAGCTCCAATGCTTTTATATTTATCCTTTAAGTCAATTGACTTTGCATCAGTCACACCATCTTTTGTTACTTTGGGACTTCCCCAGCTATGTTCAATAATTACTGTTCTTCCCTTTGGCCCCATTGTAATGGCTACAGCCTCGACAAAAAGTCTACACTTTGAAGCATTAAGGCTCGGACATCAGCACCAAATTTTACATCTTTACCATCACTTCAAGTGAGGTGAGGAGCCAGTAGCCTGGACACTGGTCTCATCTGGTGAAAGACTGTGGGTAATGGAAGCATTTCTGTGGGGTGCTGGCAGGACATGTGCATGGCGAGGCAGGTCATCAGCAGCAAGTGAGAGCTGCCTCTTACTTTCTAAAGGTGACATAGCAAATATACAAAAAAAAATAAATAAATTATTAATTTAGGTAGAGCACATAAAGGCTTTATTTCATATTCCATTTCTCTGTATGCTTTCTTCACCAGGAAGAAATAGTTTTAGTGTCAGGAATGAATGAGTCTGCCCCTCAATTCCAGCCTGCTCAACACACAAGGAAACAAAGCCCTGACAATCAGAGTGACTCCCTGGTGACTAAGCTCCAGTCCTGGATGCATATTTGTTTAGCAGTTCTGACAGCATTTGACCCAGCCCTCTCTTTGCATACCCCATCAGAACCTTCTTTTTTTTTTTTTTCTTTGAGACTGAGTCTTGCTCTGTCGGAAGCGACTCCTGTGCCTCAGCCTCCCAAATACCTGGAATTATAGGCGTAAGCCATCATGCCTGGCTAATTTTTGTATTTTTCATGGAGATGGGGTTTTGCCATGTTGGTCAAATTGGTCTCACACTCCTGACCTCATGTGATCCACCTGCCTCAGCCTCCCAAACTGCTGGGATGACAGGTGTAAGCCACCATGCTAGGCTCAGAAATTTCCTTTTATAAAAATGTCATTAAGGATCTTGGCTGCACAATATCGTTACCAGCTTCCTTTAAATCCACCTCTGGCCTGCCAGGAATCAGGGTTCTTCAGAACCTGACATTTTAAATGAAGAGGTCAGGCAGGTCATGAGGAAAGCCTCATTGTCCCCATGTCTCTGTCACTGCTGCACCCCTGAGACATCACAGACATGGACACTGGGGCCTGCTTGTTTCTCAAACTGCCCTTAGATCGAAAGAGGGAGGAACCAGGATGAATGCCACTCATTTTCCCAAGAAAGGCCCTCTCCTGAGTGCCCGGGATGGGGCTCTGTCCATTGCCTGGGGCCGCCAATTGCTACTCTGGGTTACGGAGGAAGGACAGGGTCCTGAGAGACACCAGAGACCTCACACAGCCCTGAAAACATGGGGCTCCTTCATAAGTGTTTCCCATCACCAACAGGGAGACCACGTGGAGGCCTTGCAGCCCCACTCGGTGCTTCTCCACCAAATCCCAAGGGCAGTGACACTGACGTCTGTGGAAAGCAGAGAAAGCCCTGGCTCCCAAAGCCCTGAAGTCCTGTGGAGCTGACATTCCCTGAGTGACGGTGTGAATGGAAGGAACTCAAGTGCGGGTGGTAGGCCACCTCCTGGCCCAGGCCTGGGTGAACTCTGAGGGGACACATGTAGTCACAATCCCATCCTCCCATTCTCCTTCTCAGAGGAAGGAAGTGGGCATCCATCTGCCTCATCTCTCTCCCGTGGGGAAGATGGGGAGTTTCAGGGGAACTTTCACATAAATTTCACCAGCTCAGATCTCCTGTGAGGATGGGGCCCACCATGCTCCCGGTGCTGCCAGAGGCCCTGAGCCCCTCCCAGGGTCCCTGGGTTTGAGCCAGCCCTGTATCATCCCCAGGAGCTGAATGTCCGAGCAATGGATAGAATTAGATGGAAAGAGCTCTCAATTTGGCCTGAGACTGTCCCCAGATACTCAGGAAAAACAGGACGTCGCACAGAGTGGGCAGCAGGTGAGTGGCAGGTTATAGGTCCTGAGTTTGAGTTTGTTCTCACGTGAGACAGACCCAGCCCCTCACTCCATTCACACACTGGGTTTTAAATGGTGCAAGATAGGAGGAATTTTCTGGTCCCAAGAGCAGGAGGAAGGGATTTTCTGGGGTTTCCTGAGTCCAGATTTGCATAAGATCTCCTGAGTGTGCATTGTTCTTTGAGGACCATTCTCTGACTCACCAGGTAAGTGGCTGAATTCTAACCTCTGTAATGAGCATTGCACCCAATACCAGTTCTGAACTCTACCTGGTGACCAGGGACCAGGACCTTTATAAGGTGGAAGGCTTGATGTCCTCCCCAGACTCAGCTCCTGGTGAAGCTCCCAGCCATCAGCCATGAGGGTCTTGTATCTCCTCTTCTCGTTCCTCTTCATATTCCTGATGCCTCTTCCAGGTGAGATGGGCCAGGGAAATAGGAGGGTTGGCCAAATGGAAGAATGGTGTAGAAGTTCTCTGTCTCCTCTCATTCCCCTCCACCTATCTCTCCCTCATCCCTCTCTCTCCTTCCTTTCTCTGTGTGTCCCCTCCATCCTTTTCTCCTGCTTCTCTCTCTTCTTCCCTCTCTCTCTTTTTTTCTGTCTTTCTTTTTCCTCTCTCCCTAGAGCATGTCTTTCTTTCTTTCTCTTTCCTTTCTTCTACCCACACTTTTAGACTGAATGCCCTATTTAATTGAACCAAGCATTGCTTCCTTCAATAGAAAAGGAGTTTGAGAACCCAATGGACACCTCACTCGTTCTTCTAAACCAATATGAAGGAGCCCAGTAGCTTGTAAATATCATCTCTTCACTGCTTTCCATGCTACAACTGCTGAGACTATGGTTGAAACCTGTTAGGTGACTTTTTAAATAAAAGGCAGAAATTTTGATTTTATCTAAAGAAAGTAGTATAGAATGTCATTTTCTAAATTTTTATATTTAAAGGGTAGATACTGCAACCTAGAGAATTCCAGATAATCTTAAGGCCCAGCCTATACTGTGAGAACTACTGCAGCAGACACTCTGCCCCCAGGACTTTTCTGATCAGAGGCCCTGAGAACAGTCCCTGCCACTAGGCCACTGCAGGTTCACAGGACAGGGACAGCCCATTGAAACCAACTTTTAAACCTGGATGCCTAACCTTCATTTTCTCCTTGATATTATGAAAATAAAATAAAAACCATGAAAGGATAAAAGAGGGAGAGTGGAAGGGAAGGATGGAGAAAGGGAAAAAGAAAATTTGAGAGTAAATCCTAAAACAATTAATCTAATAGATATCATCTTGTGAAATCCTCATTTTACCAATCTTATTTATGAGTCCTGGGTTTTGTGAGAACAATGGGGTTCTGAGAGGCACCAGAGACCTCATGTTTTCCAAAACCTAGAACAGTATAATGAAGGAAGGCGGGGAGGCAGGGAGGCAGGGAGGCAGGGAGGCGGGCAGGTGGGGAGGGAGGGAGGGAAGGAGGGAGGGAGGGAGGGAGGGAGGGAGGGAGGGAGGGAGGGATAAAAAAAGAAGAATGAGGTTGAAACCAGGACTTAGATATTAGAAACAAGCCATTACAAAATTTATTTCTATGGTTAATTGTGGTTTTCAACTGTAAGTTACTTGGTGTTAATTTCCTATTAAACAATTTCAGTAAGTTGCATCTTTTTATCCCATCTCAGATCAAATACTTAACAGACTAAATGATTTGAAAAAGCAAAAGTTTACTGGCTTGTGTGTGTTAAAATGGAGGTATGGTGGCTTTGATATTATCTTCTTGTGGTGGAGCTGAATTCACAAGAGATCGTTGCTGAGCTCCTACCAGACCCCACCTGGAGGCCCCAGTCACTCAGGAGAGATCAGGGTCTTTCACAATCAGGTTCTACAAAAATAAACATCCCCCAAACCACAGCAGTGCCAGTTTCCATGTCAGAAACTTAGATCCAAATGACTGACTCGCGTCTCATTATCATGATGGAAAAGCCCAGGCTTGAGAAAGAAGCCCGCTGCGGATTTACTCAAGGCGATACTGACACAGGGTTTGTGTTTTTCCAACATGAGTTTTGAGTTCTTACACGCTGTTTGCTCTTTTTGTGTGTTTTTTCCCTGTTAGGTGTTTTTGGTGGTATAGGCGATCCTGTTACCTGCCTTAAGAGTGGAGCCATATGTCATCCAGTCTTTTGCCCTAGAAGGTATAAACAAATTGGCACCTGTGGTCTCCCTGGAACAAAATGCTGCAAAAAGCCATGAGGAGGCCAAGAAGCTGCTGTGGCTGATGCGGATTCAGAAAGGGCTCCCTCATCAGAGACGTGCGACATGTAAACCAAATTAAACTATGGTGTCCAAAGATACGCAATCTTTATCCTAGTAATTGTGGTCATTGGGTGATGTTGGTTTGGGCAGGCCATCTCTAATATCCTTGAAACACCTTTTTCTGCTCTCCAGGAAGGGGTCAGGGCTGCCACAGCGGGGCTTGGAGTGCTTTCCAGGGTCACAGGCATCTGTATTCTTTGGATTCCTTGACCTTCCCCATTTATTCCCGGCATTTTCCTAAAACGTGTGCTTTGCTCCTCCTGCATCCTCCCCTTGCATGCCCTCACCTACCCCACATCTTCCCTAAAAAAAGCAAGCCCAACTCAAAGACCAGTTCCCTCATGGAATCATAGTGGATCTGCCAAGGGAGGGGATGCCCAGTCCTCTGTTCTTCACAAGGACTCCCTTCTTCTGGCTAAGGTTTCTTATGCAATTATGCCTCCTACAGAGGTGCGTGAATTTTTAATTCTCCATTTAGCTATGAGATTTCTACTAGTGTGGACTTTGTCTTATTCATTTATGTGCTGGCCATTCATAAACTATTTCATTAATTGGATGGCAAAATGCAGTTGTACAAGGGTTTCCTTACATACAAACATAATAGGATCCAAGTAAATGCTGTTAAAAACAAGTCTCTTTGAGGGCACAATTAAATGAGGACAATATGGCATGGGACACAAGCAGAGGGGAGCAAACCTCAAGAAGAAAGACTCATCGACTCTAAGGGGGAGCATCAAGATAGCTCCCTGGCCCTGCTCTCTCTCCTTGGGAGGGTTTGGTCCTTAAATCATGAACTCTGTGGGTGTATCCTAGACGCATAAGAAGCTCTCTATTTCTTCACATTAGCTCTGCACTGAATGTGCATATCATCTACGTCTGGGAAAATGCACCTTAGTTCCAAAATAATCCATTGTCTTTCCTAATCTCAAGATTGAAAAAAGTAACCAGACCTTGTTAGAGTAAAAGCATTTTTATCTGGATATAGATTTTATCCAGACGTGATGACAGAGCCAGGACTAGGGCGAAGCGAGGGAGGCTCTGGCCTCAGGTATAAAATGTAAGCACTAAGATATCCTGTACTTAAGATAGATGATCTTATAATGCGATAGATTTTTAAAAAATAATATTCATGAAAAAATCACCATAATTAACAAACTCCCCAAAATTTAAACCAAGACAGGGTCTAATCCTGTGATTGTCCAACTCAGTCGCACTCACCTACCTTGATGCCAGGATAGTCAGACCCTGCCTTTATTTAGTCATTTAATATTCATCGTATATACGTTGTTATTTTGAATAAATTAGTGGATTTCTTGATTCCTGGAAGCATATATCATTTGACTGTATAAAAGAAGTGAAGCTTCACACACACACAAAAAGTAAAAGTCACCATGACAATGACATTCATTCCTATGTTCTAGGGGAAACAGCACAACTCTCTTAGGAAGAAACTCTCCTTTTATTTAAGAAGGCCCTTTAATGGCTGTTTAGGTCTTGGAAGATAGGACACCTGACTGCATCTGTGAAATAGAGATACAATCCATAAGCGCTAAATCATTCTACAATTCTAAAAATAAAATGTTAAAGGTTTCTTGGCCCTCAGAGATTAACAATGAAAGGAGTTCTGGGTTCCAAAAGGAGCAGGTATACCTGTAACATCAGGGCACAAAGTAGCCTGTAGAGGTTATTGCCAAGAGTGGCTGAACTCTTTAGCTAGAATGCACTCTGATTTCTATTCTTATTTTTAACAGTTCTGTGCATTAACCACCCGTCATTATCCTTATGTTTTTGCAAAACTGTGTCTCAATCAATTGCTGTGTATTTGAAAATTCTTGGAAAAGGGGGAAAGCCTCAGTAATTCTTAATGCAAAGCTACAAAGAAAATGGGTAGTTGGTTGCAGGAGTGAGGTGGAGGTGGCCAGAGAATGTCACACAGAAGACAGAAATAAGAATTTGCACAAGATATTAGGAGCATAAGCACCTGTAGGGAGTTCTGAGAAACATTTGGCTGTCTACACTAATGAGGAATGGGAGCTGGAGCTGTTTAATTTGGATGGTCAAAAATAGGATAACTCCGGGAGTTTACAGAATTCACAGAATCCATTCCAACCAAGTGAGCTTGCAAGTCATACTCTAAGTCTCTGAACCTGTGAACTCATGACATAACAGAATAAAATTGTTCCCATTTCATCGTGCCTGAAGACTCATAAGAAAAAAAAAAAGGTATTAATTTTAAACACTGAAGCTCATTCATCATTTTATTGAATTCACCTGGCTACAAAATTAGCAACTGATCTTGTTCCAACTATATTTAAAGCAGATGAAGAAACTCTCCAAAGAACAGGGTTTGTCTGAGACTAGTCTAGGTAGAGTTTACTTTTGACACATCCTCTTGGTGTTTTCAGAGCTTTTTGAATATGTGGAATAATATCATTGCTTTGAGCAGATTTTCAGCCATTAGTTCTTCAGTTATTGCTGCTGTCCCTCGCTCATTTCTCTTCCTGGAAATAGAATTGTCTAGATAGATAGAGAATTGGTCCAAAAGTAATTGTGGTTTTTGCCTTTAAAGGTAATGGCAAAAACTGCAATTACTTTTGCACCAACCATACGTATGTACACAAACACATATGCAATATGTGTGTATTGCATATATACTCAATGCAAACACACAGACACACATATACAAAGCATCGTTTTACTGTGTCTTCACATATATATTTATGCAATTTTTTGTATTTTTCATTATTTTATATCTCTGCACTTCAACCTGAAAATTTTCCACTGACTTGTATTCTTACTTTTTTTTTTTTTTTTTGAAACAGAGCCTTGCTCTGTCACCCAGGCTGGAGTACAGTGGTGTGATCTCGACTCAACTGCAACCTCTGCTTCCCAGGTTCAAGCAATTCTCCTGCCTCAGCCTTCTGAGTAGCTGAGATTACAGGTGCCCTCTACCACATCCAGTTAAATTTTTTTTTTTTTTTTGTATTTTTGGTAGAGATAGAATATCACCATGTTGGCCAGCCTGGTCTTGAACTCCTGGTCTCAAGTGATTCGCCTGCCTTGGCCTCTCAAAGTGTTGGGATTACAGGCGTGAGCCACCGTGCCCAGCCCACTGACCTGTGTTTTAATTCTTGGATCCTCTACTCTGCTCTGGTCACTTTGCTATTAATCCCATCTATTGTGATATTGACTTCACATATTGTATCAAGTACTAGAATTCAATTATTTAATATTTTTACATAAGACAGGAGAGTCTATTCAAAAATGAAAAGGGTCAGACATGTTTCAGATGCCCCAGCCTTCTTGGGATATGGGCTTTTTCATGTTAACATCTGTCTCTTAATGAATCCAAAATGAAGGAGTGTTTGCTTTTAAAAGAATACATTTCAGTGAAGGTCTTGATCAAAGAGAGATAATTAAAAAAACACTAAAGAAACATCAAAAAGATCTAATTGTAGGGTATCTGGGGGATGATAACACATCCAGGAAACTTTTTCTGAGAGACCTGTGATAGAACCTTAAATGTACTTTTCTTTGTTTTGCTCTCATATGTGAGCAACTTAGAAGAAACATGTATTTGTTTGTATTAATCCTACATGACTAGGGTTGACAGATTTAGCAAATAAAAGTATAGGACACTCAGTTAAATGTGAGTTTTAGATAAACAACATCCAGTTTATTGTGGCATTATCTATCTCATACTATTTGGGATTAAATACACTAAAAAGTTCTTCATGGTTTTTCTGAAAGCCAAATTGAACTTGGCCTCCTATATTCATCTAATAACACTATGAATCACTGAAAACATTTTTTCTTTAAAGATATTTTTCTTGGTGAAAGTATTTATTACGTCACTGAATTTTATTTTACTAGGTGTAGTAGGTGTAATAACGGCATCCCAAAGATGTCCATGTCCTTATCCCTAGAACCTGGGATTATGTTACACTTTACGGCAAATAAGAACTAAGACAGCAGATAGAATAGTTGGCTAATATGCTGACTTTAAAACCGGGAGATTAACTTAGATCATGTGAATGAGACCAACGTAATCCAAGAATCCTTAAATGTGGAAAAGAAAGGCAGAACAGTCAGTGTCTGGGTGATGCGATGTGGGAACGACTCAACAGCCATTGCTGGATTTGAAGATGAAGGAAGGATCCACAAACCAAGGAACATGGGCAGCCTCTCAGATTTGAAAAGGCAAAGAAGAAAAAAAAAAAAAAAAGGAAAGCAAACTCAGCTTCTTAGAACCTCTGGAAAGGAAAAAGGTCCTAAGGACACTTTGATTTTTCATGTTTGATCCCCAAAACAGCAAGATAATTTGTGTTGGTTTAGGTCACTAAGCTTATGACAATTTGCTTAGAAACAGAACACAAATACAATTGCTCCTCAGTATCCATGGGGGATTGGTTCCAGGACCCCCTGTGTATACCAAATGCCTCAGATGCTCAGGTCCCTGATATAAAAGAGTAGTAATTTCATATAATCTTCACACTCCTTGCATATACTTTAAATCATTCCTAGATTTCTTGTAACACTGAACACAATGTAAATGCTAAGTAAGTAGGAGTTATGCTGTATTTCCTAGAAAATAATGGCAAGAGAAAAAGGCCTGTGCATGCTCAATTCAGACACAATGTTTTTGTAGAACGTTTCCTGATGTGGAACACACGAATAGGAAGGGCCTACTGGTTTCAAATTATGAACTGAGCATAAAATTAGTAACACAAAAAAGCTAAGGCTACATTTCTGTAATGGAGAACAAAGATGAAAACCTACCAACATTTTACGGAATTTTATGTATATCTTTCTCAAATTCTGAAGGCTTATATGAAAAGACAATGAGGCTCTCAGGAAGAAGGGACAAAAACTGAAAAAGTTGAGCCTGTTCCTCAGTTTCCATCCAAACGGACTCACTGCTATGGGAATTGCCCTCCTACAGTAGACAAGATGGAACTAGTCAGCAGGTGTGAGACAGCTGTGTTCATATATTGGATAATAAGCAGTGCAACAAACAAATAAAGTAGGATGTCCTTTTGCCCCTAGCTCTCTATAGGGCCAGGTTACAGGCCACAGCACAGGGAGGAAGACTTACATGAAGACCAGCACCCTGTAGCATTGAGGAGACCAAGGTCAAAGCTCACACAGCACGATACGCCCTGTGTCAGTCTGTGTGTGTTGCTCTAAAGGAATACCTGAGGTGGGATAATACTTCAGGAAAGGAAGTTATTTGGCTCACTATTTTTGGCTGTGTGAGAAGCATGGTGCCTGCATCCGCTCCTTGTTAGGACTCCATAAGCCTTCAGTCATAGTGGAAAGTCAAGTGGGAGCAGGAATATCACGTGGTAAGAGTGGAGCGAGAGGGTGCAAGGAGGTCCCAGACTCTTTTAAACAACTACATGTTGTATGAACTCGGAGCAAGAACTCACTCATTTTTGTGATGAAAGCAGTTAGTCATTCATTAGGGATTCAACCCCACAACCCAAACACTTCCCACCAGATTCCACTTCCAACACTGAGGATTAGATTTCAGCAGGAGGTTTCGAGGGGACAAACATCTGAAAAATATTATTCTTCCTCTGGCCCCTCAAATCTCATGTCCTTCTCACATTGCAAAATGCAATCATCCCTTCCCAATCACTCCCCAAAGTTTTAACTACTTCCAGCATTAACTTAATCAAAAGTCCAAAGTTCAAAATCTCATCCCCTGAGACTCAAATTCCTTCCGCCTTTTAGCCTGTACTATCAAAAACAAGTTATGTACTTTCATGTTACAATGATGGCACAGGCATTGGCTAGACACTACCATTCTAAAAGGCAGAAATTGGCCAATAAAAGGGATTACAGGCCCCACACATGTCAGAAACTCAGCAGGGCAGCTATTAAACCTCAAAGTTTGAAAATAATTCTTGATTCCATGTCCTTTATTCTGCTGTGAGGGTGGGCTCTGAAGACCTTGGGCTGCTCTGCCCCTGTGGCTTTACAGGGTGCAGCCCACATGGCTCCTGTCACAGGTCAGAATCTGATGCCCGTGGCTCTTCCATGCTGAGGGTACAAGCTGTCAACAGTGTTACTATTCTCAGGTCTGGAGGGCAGTGTTCCCCTTCCCTCAGCTCCACTAGGCAATGCCCCACTGGGGACACTGTGTGGGGAATCCAACCCCACGTTTCCCCTTAGCACTGCCCTGGTAGAGTTTTTCTCTTGGTACTCTCCCTCGGCAGCAGTTTTCCGCCTGGAGAACCAGACTTTGCCACACATCCTCTGAAATCTCGGTGGAAGCTGCCAAGCCTCCTTCCTTTTTGCACTCTGCAGACTTGCAGGCTTAGCACCACATGAACGCTGCCAAGACGTTCTGGCTTTCACCCACTGAAGCAGTGGTCAATCTGTACATTAGGCCCTTTGAGCTGAGGCTGGAGGCTGGGCAGCCAGGATGTGTCTTGAAGCTGAGCAGGGCAGCTGTGCCTGGGTCTGGCCACTGAAACCATTCTTTCCTCCTAGGCCTGTGGGCTGTGGTGGGAGGGAATGCCTCAAAGTTTTCAAAAATGCCTTGTAAGCCTTTTCCCCATTGTCTTGGCTATTAGCACTTGGCTCCTTCTCAGTCATGCACATCTCTCTAGCAAGTGGTTTCTCCACAGCCCCTTACAGTCCTCTTCTGAAAATGCTTTTTCTTTCTCTACTAAATTTCTAGGCTGCAAATTTTCCAAATTTTTATGCTTTGCTTCTTTCATGCGCGTCCGTGTGAAGAGACCACCAAACAGGCTTTGTGTGAGCAACATGGCTGTTTATTTCACCTGGGTGCAGGCGGGCTGAGTCTGAAAAGAGAGTCAGCAAAGGGAGATAAGGATGGGGCCGTTTTATAGGATTTGGGTAGGTAAAGGAAAATTACAGTCAAAGGGGTTTTGTTCTCTGGTGGGCAGGAGTGGGGGTCGCAAGGTGCTCAGTGGGGTTGCTTTTTGAGCCAGGATGAGCCAGGAAAAGGACTTTCACAAGGTAATGTCATCACTTAAGGCAAAGACCGGCCATTCACACTTCTTTTGTGGTGGAATGTCATCTGTTAAATTGGGGCAGGGCATATTCACTTCTTTTGTGATTCTTCAGTTACTTCAGGCCATCTGGGCGTATATACGTGGAAGTCACAGGGGATGCGATGGCTTGGCTTGGGCTAAGAGGCCTGATATTCCTGCCTTCTTATATTAATAAGAAAAATAAAACAAAATAGTGTTGAAGTGTTGGGGTGGTGAAAATTTTTGGGGGGTGGTATGGAGAGAGAATGGGCGATGTTTCTCAGGGCTGCTTCAAGCGGGATTAGGGGTGGCGTGGGAATCTAGAGTGGGAGAGATTAAGCTGAAGGGAAGTCTTGTGGTAAGGGGTGATATTGTGGGGATGTTAGAAGAAACATTTGTCATATAGAATGATTGGTGATGGCCTGGATACGCTTTTGGATGAATTGAGAAACTAAATGGAATAACAGAAGGAGAAAAACAGGTATAAAAGGTCTAAGAATTGGGACGACTCAGGATATCTGATTAGAGAGTGCCTAAGGAGACTCATCATAGTCCTGCCAGCAAAGATTATTTATTTACTTCAAGAGTTAAGAGCGGCAGTTTGGGGATAGCACCAGGAGATATCAGCTGTGATGGCTTGGAAAAACTGTGTAAAACGGCCGTGTAAACAAGAGCAGGGCATGTATGAGTAGTTGAGAACAGTGAATAGGAGTATGACTAGACAGAAGATAGTAGGGATGACAAGTTTTTTGGGGCACAGTTTAAGTTGGTCTGGTGTCTGGAATGAGACTGGGGCCTAATAAAAAGGAGCGTCTATACAGGAGCTTAAATGGGCTGTACCCTGTAGCATTCCGAGGACAGGCCTGAATTCTGAGATGGGAGAGTGCTAAAAGTATTGTCCAGTCCTTTTTGGTGGCTGAGCTTGGTGAGGTGTGTTTTTAAAAGACCTTTAGTCCATTCTCCTTTTCTTGAAGATGGAGGACTGTAAGGAATATAAAGGTTTCACTGAATACTAAGAGCCTGAAAAACTGCTTGGCTGATTTGACTAATAAAGGCTCATGTGTTATCAGACTGTATGGAGGTGGGAAGGCTAAACTGAGAAATTATGTCTGACAGAACCAAAGAAATGACTGCGGTGGCCTTCTCAGACCCTGTAGGAAAGGCCTCTACCTATCCAGTGAAAGTATCTACCTAGACTAAGAGGTATTTTAGTTATCTGACTCAGGGCATGTTGAGTAAAGCTAACTTGCCAGTCCTGGGTGGGGCAAATCCTTGACTTGATGTGTAGGGAAGGGAGGGGGCCTGAATAATCCCTGAGGAGTAGTAGAATAGCAGATGGAACACTGAGAAGTTATTTCCTTCCTTGAGGATAGATTTCCACGATGGAAAGGAAATAAGAGGTTCTAAGAGGCGGGCTAGTGGCTTGTACTATAGTATAACCTGCTTTTGCTGGTGTGTGGCAATTAGGCCTGGTGGAACTGCCATCAATAAATCAAGCGTGATCAGGGTGAGGAACAGGAAAGAAGCAAATATGGGGAAATGGGGTGAATATCAGGTGGATCAGAGAGATACAGTCATGGGGGTCAGGTGTGGTATCAGGAATAATGTGGGAGGCCAGATTGAAGTCCGGGCCAGGAACAATGGTAATTGTGGGACTTAAAGAGTGAGTACAGCTGAAGGAGCCGGGGAGCAGAAAGTATATAAGTCAAGTATGAGGAAGAAAATAGATTTTGGAAGTTATGAGAACTGTAGAGAGGGAGTTGAGCATAGTTTGTGATTTTGAGGGCCTCTAAAAGTATTAAAGCAGCGGCAGCCACTGCACGCAGACATGAGGGCTAGGCTAAAACAGTAAGGTCAAGTTGTTTGCACAGAAAGGCTACAGGGTGCTGTCCTGGCTCTTGTGTAAGAATTCTGACTGCACTAACTATGCCTAGGAAGGAAAGGAGTTGTTTTGTAAGGGATTGTGGTTTGGGAGATTAATCGGACATGATCAGCAGGGAAAGCACATATGTTTTCATGAGAACTATGCTGAGATAGGTAACAGATGAGGATGACATTTGGGCTTGACTGAAGTAATAGGGGCTGTCTATGAAGCCTTGCGGCAGTACAGCCTAGGTAATTTGCTGAGCCTGATGGGTGTCAGGGTCAGTCTAAGTGGAAGCAAAGAGAGGCTGGGACAAGGGGTGCAGGGGAATAGTGAAAAAGCATCTTTAAGATCAAGCACAGAATAGTGAGTTGTGGAGGAAGGTATTGAGGACAAAAGAGTGTACGGGTTGGACACCACAGGGGGGATAGGCAAAACAATTTGGTTGATAAGGTGCAGATCATGAACTAACTTGTAAGGCTTGTCTGGTTTTAGGACAGGTAAAATGGGGGAATTGTAAGGAGAGTTTATAGGATTTAAAAGGCCATGCTGTAGCAGACGAGTGATAACAGGCTTTAATCTTTTTAAAGCGTGCTGTGGGATGGGATATTGGTGTTGAGTGGGGTAAGGGTGATTAGGTTTTAATGAGATGGTAAGGGGTGCATGATCGGTCACCAAGGAGGGAGTAGAGGTATCTTATACTTATGGGTTAAGGTCGGGGGATACAAGAGGACGCAAAGGAGACTTTGGATTGGGAAGAAGGGTGGCAATGAGATATAGCTGTAGTCCAGGAATAGTCAGGGAAGCAGATAATTTAGTTAAATTGTCTCGGCCTAATAAGGGAACTGGGCAGGTGGGGATAACTAAAAAGGAGTGCTTAAAAGAGTATTGTCTAAGTTGGCGCCAGAGTTGGGGAGTTTTAAGAGGTTTAGAAGCCTGGCCATCAATACCCACAACAGTTATGGAATCAAGGGAAACAGGCCCTTGAAAAGAAGGTAATGTGGAGTGGGTAGCCACCGTAATGATTAAGAAGGGGACGGAATTACCCGCCACTGTGAGAGTTACTCGAAGTTCAGCGTCCGTGATGGTCTAGGGGGCTTCTGAGGCGATCGGGCAGTGTCAGTCTTCAGCCACTAAGCGGAGAAGATCTCTGAAGGAGTCAGTCAGAGAGCCTTGGGCCAGAGTTCCAGGGGCTGTGGGAATGGCTGCCAGGTGAGTTGAACAGTCCGGTTTTCAGTGGGGTCCCACACAGATGGGACGCGGCTTAGGAGGAATCCCAGGCTGTGGGCATTCCTTGGCCCAGTGGCCAGATTTTGCATATGTAGCTAGCTCCTTGGGGAGGAGGTTCTGGAGGACTGCCTGGCTGCTGTGGTTCAGGCATTTGGAAGTTCTTGTGTGCTGGAGATGTGGCTGGGGTTTGTCTCACAGTGGAGGCAAAGAATTGCAACTTTTTTCTGTTATTGTACGCCTTGAAGGTGAGGTTAATTAAGTCCTGTTGTGGGGTTTGAGGGCCAGATTCCAATTTTTGGAGTTTTATTTAATGTTGGGAGCAGATTGGGTAATAAAATGTATATTGAGAATAAGACGGCCTTTTGACCTTTTAGGGTCTAGGGCTGTAAAGTGTCTCAGGGTTGCTGCCAAATGAGCCATGAACTGGGCTGGGTTTTTATATTTGATGAAAAAGAGCCTAAACACTTCTGATTTGGGATAAAGAAAAAGGAGCATTAACCTTGACTATATCTTTGGCTCCGGCCACCTTTTTAAGAGTAAATTGCTGGGCAGGTGGAGGAGGGCTAGTCACGGAAGGAAACTGTAAGCCGGACCAGGTGTGAGGAGGGGAGGTGATAAAAAGATTATAGGGTAGAGGAGCAGAGGCTGAGGAAGAATTGGGATGTAGCTTGGCCTGGTGAGGAGCAGCCTGGGGAGGAAGGGAGATGTCAGATTGGTCTGTAGAAAAGGAAGATTAGAAAGACTCAGCGACACTTGGGGTTGGTACTGAGGGGACAGGCGGGAGGGAAAGAAGGAAGATTTGGGATGAGTTGCACTGGGCACAGAGACTAGGAAGGGACTGATGTGTAAAAGAATGCCTGGACGTCAGGCACCTGAGACCATTTGCCTGTTTTACAACAAGAATTATTTAGATCTTGTAGGATGGAAAAATTCAAAGTGCCATTTTCTGGCTATTTGGAACTACTGTCGAGTTTGTATTGGGGTCAAGTGGCATTGCAGAAGAACATAAGGCATTTAGGTTTTAGGTCAGGTGTGAGTTGAAGAGGTTTTAAGTTTTTGAGAACACAGGCCAAGGGAGTAGAAGGAAGAATGGAGCATGGAAGGTTGCCCATAGTGAAGGAAGCAAGCCTAGAGAAAAGAGAGAGTAGAGAAATGGAAGGAAGGGGTTTGGGGGTTCTTACCTTCCAGAAAAGTGGGAAAAGGGGTTGGGGCACAGAGATAAGAGGTCAGGGCATGGAAATAAGGGATTGGGGTGCAGAGATATGAGGTTGAGGCACTGAAATAAGGGATTGGGGCACAGAGATAAGAGGTCGGAGTGCAGAAATAAGGGATTGGGGTGTAGAGATAAGAGGTTGGGGCATGGAAATAAGGGATTGGGGTGTAGAGATAAGAGGTTGGGGCATGGAAATAAGGGATTGGGGTGCAGAGATAAGAGGCTGGGGCGTGGAAATAAGGGATTGGGTGTTCTTGCCCCATAGAAAAGCGGGACTTGCCGCTAAGGGTGAAGGAGAAGGGGTTGAAGGGTACTTGCCCCTCTCCCAGAAAAGCAGAGAAGGGGTAGAGACAAGGCGAGAAGGAGTTGAGGTACTTGCCCCTTCCCCAGAAAAGCGGGAATTGCCGCTAAGGGTGAATGACCAAGGCAGGTGTTCCTGCATGGTCAGACACCCTTGAAACGTGGGTGTATAATCAGAGAGGCATCCCTGCAATGATTAAACACCAAGGGAAGGCTGCCTTCCCAGTCCGTGACCAGTGCCGGAGTTTTGGGTCCATGGAAAAAACGTGTCTCCTTTGTCTCTTCCAGAAAATGAAAGGAATTGAAATTAAGAGAAGGGAGAGATTGAAGAGTGGAAAGGAGAAAGTGGTTGAGGGACAGTGAGAGAGGTTGCAGAAGAGAGTAAGAAGAGGCCGCTTACCTGATTTAAAATTGGTGAGATGTTCCTTGGGCTGGTCGGTCTGATGACCTGAGGTCATAGGTGGATCTTCTCACGGAGCAAAAAACAGGAGTACAGGGGATTGATCTCCCAAGGGAGGTCCCCCGATCCAAGTCACGGCACCAAATTTCATGTGCGTCCGTGTGAAGAGACCACCAAACAGGCTTTGTGTGAGCAACATGGCTGTTTATTTCACCTGAGTGCAGGTGGGCTGAATCCAAAAAGGGAGTCAGTGAAGGGAGAAAAGTGTGGGGCTGTTTTATAGGATTTGGGTAGGTAAAGGAAAAATACAGTCAAAAGGGGTTTGTTCTCTGGCGGGCAGGAGTAGGGGTTGCAAGGTGCTCAGTGGGGGTGCTTTTTGAGACAGGATGAGCCAGGAAAAGGACTTTCACAAGGTAATGTCGTCACTTAAGGCAAGGACCGGCCATTTACACTTCTTTTGTGGTGGAATGTCATCTGTTAAGGTGGGGCAGGGCATATTCACTTCTTTTGTGATTCTTCAGTTACTTCAGGCCATCTGGGCGTATACATGCAAGTCACAGGGGATGCGATGGCTTGGCTTGGGCTGAGACGCCTGACAGCTTCTCCTTTAAGTTCCAAATTGAAAGCATTTCTTTGCTCCTGTATCTGATTGCAAGCTTGTAGAAGCAGCTACATATCTTGAATACTTTGCTCCTTGGAAATTACTTAGACCAGATGCTCTAGCTAATCACTCTAAAGTTCAACTTTCCACAAATCCCTAGGACGTGAACACAATGCAGCCAAGCTCTTGACTGGGGTGTAACAATGGGGACCCTTGCTCTAATTCCCAGTAACTTCCACTTTTCCATCTAACAACTTGATAGTGTGGACTCCACTGTCCATATCTCTGTGAGCATTTTGGTCACGTACATTTAACAAGTTTCTAAAGAGTTCCAAACTTTCCCTCATCTTCCTATCTTTTGCTGGGCCCTACAAACTCTTTCAACCTCTGCCAGTACCCAGTGACAAAGCCACTTCCATATTTTCAGCTGTCTTTACAGCAATGCCCCCTGCACAGTATCAATTTTCTGTGTCAGTTTGTTTTTACTCCTATAAAGGAATACCTAATGCTGGGTAATTCATAAGGAAAAGAAGTTTATTTTGGCTCCCTATTCTGTAGGCTGTATGAGTAGCATGGTGACATCATCTGCTCCTTTTGAGGCCTCAGAAGGCTTCCTTTTGTGTAGGAAGGGGAAGGGGGAGCAGGAGTATCACAAGCCAGGAGAAGGAGCCAGAGTTGGGGAGGTGCCACACTGTGTGAAACAACCAGATCTCCCATGACTCAAAGAAGGAGCTCACAGATTATCTCCAGGACAGCACCAAGCCATTCATGAGGGATCCACCCCAATGACCCCAACACCTCCTGCCAGGTCCCACCTCCAAGACTGGGAATTACATTTCAACATAGTATTTGGAGAGTACAAACATCCAACCTGTATCAGACCCCAATTTCCAGTGCACATATCAGAGAGTGGGCTACTGAAAGGAAGCATTGATCTTGAGTGTTGGAGAAGAGAAGAATGCCTTCACTCTTAGGCTATGTTATGATGTGTGCACACTTGGGCTAAGACTTCCCCAGGCCAGAAAAAAGTAAAAACTCCATAAGGGAGTGAACGGCATTTTCAGGAGGACAGACAAGTCTTGAAAACTTTGTATCCCCACAGCAAAGTGGAGAGAACTCAGAACCTCAGAAAGCCATCAGCAAGTAGTGGTGCTAGTTAGCTCTAGATTAAACTGCTCTGCAACTGCTTCAAGAAATTTTCAAGCCATTCTTGAAAAAACCAAATGAATGTATAGAACCCCCAAAATGAACCAGATGATGTCTAGCATTCTTTGGGGAAAACAACCAAAACTGTTACTCAACAATTCAAGCTGTCCAGGCCTGGCGGTTCATGACTGTAATCTCAGCACTTTCGGAAGCCAAGACAGGTGAATCACTTGAGGGCATGAGCTCGAGACCAGCCAGGCCAACCTATGCCTACTAAAAATAGAAAAATTATCTGGGCGTGGTGGCACAGGCCTGTAGTCCCAGGTACTCAGGAGGCTGAGGCAAGAGAATTGCTTAAACCAGGGAGGCAGAGGTTGCAGTGATCTGAGATTGCACCACTGCATTCCAGCCTGGGCAACAGAGCAAGACCCTGTTTCCAAATTAAAAAAAAAAAAGGCTTTATAATATACTGAATCCAATAAAAAATTTCCAAGCATGAAAAGAAGTAGGAAAATATAGCCCATAACTAGGAGAAAAGTCATTCAGTAAAAACAGACCCAATAATGACAAAGGTACTAGGATCAGAAAAGGGAATGTAAAGGAGCTATTATAAAAGTTATAAATATGTCAAAGGCTGAAGAGAAAACCTTTTTGATGAGGAGGAACACATAAAAAGAACCAAATGGGCCTTCCAGCAGTAAAACAAAATGATGAGAACAAAAAAATTTCTGAATTGGATTAATGACACATGACAGTATAGAAGAAAGGATCAGTAAGCCTGAGTCTACATTAACACAAACAAATGAGAAAATGAAGCAAAGGGAGAAAAAAACTCTGGATGAAAAATAAACAGTGCACTTCACAGAAATATCAAGCAATCTAGCACCTATGTGTGTTTGAAGGCAGAAAGAAATTCCAGGAGAAAGCATAAAGTTAGTGAAATAATAGCCTATTTTTATAAATTTGGTGAGACTGGAAACATACAAATTTGGTATTGAAAGACATCCAAGAAGAATAATTATTTAAAAAAAAAAGAACAAGAATATCATAATTATACAAGTTCATTTTCACACTGCTATAAAGAACTACCTGAGACTGGATAATTATAAATAAAAGAGGTTTCTTTGACTCCCAGTTATGCTGGATTAACAGAAAGCATGGCTAGGAGGCCTCAGGAATCTCACAATCGTGATGGAAGGTGAAGCAGAAGCAAGCAAGTCTTCCACAGTGTCAGACGAAAGAGAGAGGGAGAGAGAGAGAGGAAGAGAGACAGAGCACAAGAGTAAGCACAGAAGGAAACTGCCATTTATAAAACCATCACATCTCTTGAGAATTCACTCACTATCATGAGAACAGCAAGGCAGAATTCACCTCCCCATGATCCAATCACCTCCCACCAGGTCCTGCCCCCCAACACTGGGGATTATGGGATTATAATTCCAGATGAGATTTGAGTAGGGACACAGAGCCAAACCATATCAATAATCAAATTGTTTTGAATCAAAAATAATGAGAAAATCTTAAAAGCATGCTGAGAGAAGACACTGCTTACAGAAGTAGAAAAAATAAAGTGACATATTTAAGTACCAAAAGAAGAAAAATAAGTCAACATAGGACCCTGACAAGCAAAAATACATTTCTAGATTAATGCTAAACACATATTCCAGTAATAAGTAAAGGCATTTTCTTTTCCTTTTTTTTTTTTTTTTTTTGAGACGGAGTCTCGCTGTCACGCAGACTGGAGTGCGATGGTGCGATCTCGGCTCACTGCAAGCTCCGCCTCCCGGGTTCACGCCATTCTCCTGCCTCAGCCTCCCCAGTAGCTGGGACTACAGGCGCCCGCCACCATGCCCGGTTAATTTTTTTGTATTTGTAGTAGAGATAGGATTTCACCGTATTAGCCAGGATGGTCTGGATCTCCTGACCTCGAGATCCGCCCACCTCGGCCTCCCAAAGTGCTGGGATTACAGGCGTGACCCACCGCGTAAAGGCATTTTCTAATGACAATAACAAAAACTAAGAGAATTCCTCACTAGCAAACTTGTAGTATAAAACAAGACCCAAATACACGCTGTCTATAAAAACCCAATGTCTTTATCAAATATAAGGACAAAGATAGGTTGATAGTAAAGGGACAGAAAGAGTTATAGTATGGAAACATTAATCTAATGAAAACAGAATTAGCTGTATCGGCTAACTGACTATAAATCAAAGTAGATTTTACAGCAAGGTGTATTATTACTGATAAAGAGCCTATGTTTTCCAGTGATAAAGTTGTTAAATCACCAAGAACACATATCATTATTATTAAATTAGTATGCACCTAATAAGAGAATCTCAAAATTTTTAAAAAGAAATTGATAGAACTAAGAGAAGAAATTGAAAAATTAAGAATTACCATTGAATATTTCAACACTTTTTTCTTTGAAATAGTTTTTTTAGCAGCAAAGTATAAATAAAGATAGAGAGAACTTGAACAACAGTATCATCCATTATGACCTATATAAGCTTTACAGGACACTCCTCCCAATAACAGTAAAATGCATTGAAATATTACCTAAGAGAGCTCATATTGGACTAAGAAACAAAAAAATCAAAACAATTTAAAATCATATGTAGCGTAATGTCTATCCACAGTGGAATGTATGAAGCTGTGACTAAAGGAAAATAGCTGGAAAATTCCTCACATATTTGGACATTACTCAACATATTTCTAATGAGTCAAAGGAGAAATTTAAAAATATTTTCACATGACAGCAAATGGAAACATAACATACCAAAATTTGTGGCAATACAACAAAAGCAGTGCTTGGAGGGAAATTGATAACATTAACTGCTATTATGATGCGAAGTCGAAAGCTCAGAAATAGACAATCTAATATTCCATTGTAAAAAACCTGGGGAAAAAAGAACTAATTAAGCTGAAAGTAAATAGGAAAACGAGTGAATAAAAAAGAATGTGGACACAAAATAGAATATTAAAAATAAATAAACGAAAGCTACTTGCTTGAGAGAATGCATAAAATTGTGAGAACTCTCGATAGGTTCCTTAAGGGGAAAAAGGAAATTACTAGAAGTCTCAGGTGCACACCCAGGCTTCAGGCAGGCAGGAAACAGATTAGGTCTGCGTTTCAGGGTCATGTAGTCAGGCCGCCACGAGGTGGCAGTAACTGCGCGCTCATTCCCTCACCTCCTGCAAGGCCGGGCCAGGCTGTGGACTCACCGCTCAGCTCAGGAGATGGGAGAGGGTGACAGTAGCCGCGTGGACTCTGGCCTTACGCAGAGCGTTACTGTAGCTTTGGGGTTGTAGGAGGATGAAGAGGGGAGGTTATCAGGACACCATGGTGATTGTGTGGTGCTGGTTAGGAACATGGGCTTTGAAGAGAGAGGGATTTTATTTCAAATTCCATCTCTGCCACTTAGTAGTCAGATGACATTGAACATGTCCTCTAACCTTTCTAGGCCCCAGGACCTGCCTCTGTAAACTTGGGTAATAACCCCCTGGCATGTTTGCTTCTGAGGATTAAATGAGATAACTTGTATAAAAATGGCCACGGCAAGGCCGGCTGCAAAATTCCCAAGGCTCAGTGCAAAGTGGAAATGCAGGGCGCCTTGTTCAAAGAGCAGCAGAAGAAAGTGTCGTGAAAGGCAGGAGGGTATTCAGCTTTCTCAAGCCAGTATGTTTCATCATTTGAAAAGTGTAATAGGGATAATACTTCTAGAAGAGTAAGAACAGAATCATATAAATCCCCACCAGAAACCAGTGTCACAGTTTTAATAGAATAAATAATAATACTTTATTAATTGGATCTAGATGAATCAAACAATTTTTCTGGCCAACTTTTCTGCAATTAATTTATTAGGTCATCAAACTTTATACCTTGAGCAACTTCATTTTTTCTTCTGAAAAGAATCTGCTGAAGCAACTGTTTCTGGAATATTATCTAAACTCTGACAATATTGGGATAAACTATTTTGACACAAATTTTAGTATATCTGTAGCTGGTGGTTCTTGTGGAGCTATTTTTTTCAAAGCATATAACTGTTTAAGCAAATCAGTTTTATGGAAGTTTGAATTTAATTTTAAGTGTAAATTTCTCCAATGGAATTTTGATGCATCTTCTGACATGTTCTGTAAGTTGCAGAGGCCCACAGCAGACCAAATGTGGCGTCATGATTTGTAACTTACTCAAAACTCCTGTTTTTGAATTCTATTGTTGTATCTTTAACAAGAAGAACTGAATTTTTAAAATTGCTCTACTTGTTAATAATTGATTGATCAGAAGTGTTATTTTCTTTTCTTTTCTTTTCTTTTTGAGGTAGGGTCTCCATCTGTTGACATGATCATGGCTCACTGCAGCCTCAGACTCCTGAACTCGTATGATCTTCCTACCTCAGCCTCCCAAGTAGCTAAGACTACGGGCATGTGCCACTGTGCTCAGCTAATCTTTTTTTTTTTTTTTAATGTTGGGGTCTAACTATACTGCCCACTATACTGCCTATGGTGGTCTCCAACAACTGGCTTCAAACAGTCCTCTAACCAGAGCTTCACAATGTGCTGGGATAACAGGTGTGACCCACCATGCCTGTCCCATCAGAAGTTTTGTGACTATCATTATATATTTAATTTATATTTCTGAGCCTTGGATAACTCCTTGAAGAACTCTAAACTCTCTGAGGAATTCCAAGAACTCCCTGGCATACTCTTTCACAATGTCCATGGGCACACTTTTGTTTTGTGCTTCTCTCCTCCCAATTTGCTATCTGAGCCCTATGATTCCTGTCCTGGTGCTCAGGTCAGGGGGTAGATATTCGTGCAGAAGCTCCAAGGATGACTCTGAGAATGCACAGGCACAGAGGTGTCAGTGCTGCGTCCACACAGAGACCCTCCTTTCACCCCAGGGCTGAGGACACCTGCTGCTGCGGCTGCCACCTCCCATCCTGGTCCGTTGCCATCTTCCTTCCCAGTCGAGATGTGCCTGGGCCGCTCCAAAGCACCCGTGCTCAGGGCAGCAAGCTCCAACATGTGGCCTTCATGTCCCTGGGCCTGAGCCTGCCCACCTTGTCCCCCCTCATAGCCACTCTGCTCATGTGCCTGCTCCATTGTCTCAGTGGGCTTCACTTACAAAATGAAGTTCAAAGAAAAAAAACTAAGGTCAAGAGGGTGTCGGCAGAGCCTGCTACCAGGCACTGGCCCTTCTGAGGGCAGGTCCCTGTGTCACTGCCCAGCCCTCAAGCCCGTGAAGCTGGTCCTGGCTCCAGAATTGAGAGCCAGTAAAACTGCTTCTGTTATTTATCATTGAGGACACAGTGCAGAGAAACTTTGCTTTCTAAAATTATAGATATGAGAGACTTTGCTTTCTGGGAGCCTATCTAAAGGAATGCCCACTCTTGCCTGGGGAACTGAGCCACTTTGCCACAGAAAACAGCCTGTGGTTTGGGAAAAAACCCATATCTGTGCTGGTGGATAGTCTTCCTTGCTGAAGCAAGATAATAACCCTACCTTTAAGACAAAAGTGCTCCTCCCTTGATCTTTATCAAACACACTGTATCACCAGGATGAACACTGCTCTGAAGGAGTCACATCGGGCTGTGCCAGGAAAAAAGAATAGCTGCAACCATAGGAATCTTCATGGGAACAGTCAGCCCAGCTGTCCTTGAGCAACCAGGCCCATGTTCCCTAAGCCTTGGTGGCTTCTTCCCCAGGGACACAGGTGCTGCATTTCACAGTGACTTTCCTATTTCAGAGCAATTTCACCTCCTTCTCTAACAAGGCCTCACAAATGTACTGAGAGCTAGAGAGGACAACAAGTGTAAAACCACAGTGCTGTCAGTGGTTCCTGGGATTGCAACGGGATTATAGGAGAAATTCACACTCTTCTATGGGTGAGTTTTTAAATGCAAGTGTATTACTTTTATAATAATCATGTTAAGTACAGCAGTCATTAAGGACGTATCAATCAGGAGTGA
This sequence comes from Homo sapiens, assembly GCF_000001405.40. Lineage (NCBI taxonomy): Eukaryota > Metazoa > Chordata > Mammalia > Primates > Hominidae > Homo > Homo sapiens. Next base: position 824,205 of record NW_018654717.1, read on the forward strand.
TGCCACACATGAAAAAGATGGGAACCACTCTCTTAACTCAAACTCTTATTTACATATAAGAGTTACGTAATAACTCCAGTAAGGCCCCTTGCCACATACCATGGCATTTCCTTAAGAATGTTTACTCAACAAGGAAAGAGGCGTGACAACCTAATTCGATGTGTGAATCTGGATTGAACATGTACCCAGAAAACTCAACAGCCACGAAGCTATTCTTGGAACAATTTCAATGTCTATGCACTGACTTCTGTTTTGCAATAATTTACTGACACTTTGCTTCCTGAGCACCTACAGCTGCTGTCCCAGTGTTCAGGCCAGGGAAATTTTCTTGTTAATGTGCATAAATGGTAGTGTGATTGATGCGGGAATTTTTTTCTTATTTATAAGAGATACATGCTGAGATAATTAGGGTGAAGTGTCATGACATTTTCCTGCTACTTTCAAAAGGTGACAGCGACATAGAAAGTATATTTTTTAAATTATTTATTAATTTAGACAGAGCACATATGTGCTTTTTTTTTTTTTTCATTCAGTTTTTCTATTTGGCTTCCTTGGCCAGGAATAGTTTTAGTGTCAGGAAATGAATGAGTCTGCCCCTCAATTCCAGCCTGCTCAGCACAGAGGAAAACAAAGTTCTGACAAAGGGAGTGACTCCCTGCTGAGTCAGCTGTAGCCCTGGATTCAGATTCCTTTAGCAGTTGTGAGGGCACCCAACCCAGCCCTCTCTTTGCCTACCCCATCGGAAACTTCCTTTCATGATAAGAAAGACATTAAAGATCTTGTTTATAGAATCCATTGCAGCTTTCTTTAAAAACACCCCTGGCCTGCCTCAAACTGTGAATTCTTAAAGTGTGACATTTAAAATGTAGACCATGGCTCAAGGCTCATTGTCCCCATGGCTGTCACCGCTACACCTTGGTGTCATCGCTACACCTGACACTGGGGCCTGCTTGTCTCTCAAGCTTCCCTTGGATCCAAAGAGGGAGGAACCAGGATGAATGCCACTTATTTTCCCTTGAAAAGCCCCACCCCTGAGCATCTGACACCAGGGGCTCTGTCCATTGCCTGTGGCCACCGATTGCTACTCTGGGTTATGGAGGAAGGACAGGGTCCTGAGGGTCCCCAGAGACCTTGCACAGCTCTGAAAACACAGGGCTTCTGCAGAAGTGGGTCCCATCACCAATAGGGAGACTGTCAGACCTCTGAGCCCAAGCTAAGCCATCATATCCCCTGTGACCTGCACGTATACATCCAGATGGCCTGAAGTAACTGAAGAATCACAAAAGAAGTGAAAATGGACTGTTCATGCCTTAACTGATGACATTACCTTGTGAAATTCCTTGGCCTGGCTCATCCTGGCTCAAAAGCTCCCTCACTGAGCAACTTGTGACCTCCACCCCTGCCAGCCAGAGAACAACCCCCTTTGACTGTAATTTTCCATTACCTACTCAAATCCTGTAAAACGGCCCCACCCCTATCTCCCTACGCTGACTCAGCCCACCTGCACCCAGGTGATTAAAAAGCTTTATTGCTCACATAAAGCCTGTTTGGTGGTCTCTTCACACGGATGCACGTGAAAGACACCACGTGGAGGCCTTGCACCCCCACTCCGTGCTTCTCTACCAAATCCCAACGGTATTGAGCTCACTTAGCACTGACGTCTGTGGAAAGCAGGGAAAGCCCTGGCTCCCAAAGCCCTGAAGTCCTGTGGAGCTGACATTCCCTGAGTGTCGGTGTGAATGGAGGGAACTCAAGTGTGGGTGGTAGGCCACCTCCTGGCCTGGGCCTGGGTGGACTCTGAGGGGACACATGTAGTCACAATCCCACCCTCCCATTCTCCTTCTCAGAGGAAGGAAGTGGGCACCCATCTGCCTCATCTCTGTCCCATGGTGATGACGGAGAATTTCAGGGCACCTTTCACATGAATTTCACCAGCTCAGATCTGTGAGGACGGGGCCCACCATGCTCCTGGAGCTGCCAGAAGCCGTGAGCCCCTCCCAGGTCCCTGGGTTTGAGCCAGCCCTGTATCATCCCCAGGAGCTGAATGTCCCAGCAATGGATAGAACTAGATGGAACCGGCTCCCAGTTTGGCCTGAGACTGTCCCTAGACATTCAGGAAAAACAGGACATCCCACAGAGCAGGCAGGTGATCTCCAGTTCACAGACCCTGAGTCTGTTCCCCTGTAAGAAAGACCTTGCCCCTCACTCCATTCACATCCCAGGTCCCAAATGATACAAGACAGAAAGAAGCCCTGGTCATATGAGCAGAACGAGGGGATGTTCTGGGGTTTCTTGTGTCCAAATTTGCATAAGAGCTCCTGGGTATACTTTTCTCTCAGAGGGCCATTTGTCTGATGCCCCCAGTAAGGTGGTCAGTTTCAATCACTGTAATTACTGATGTGGTAGGCAATACCTGTTCCAAATTCTGCCCAGTGACCAGGGGCCAAGACCTGTTTAGATGGAAGGCTCGGTGTCCTCCCCAGCCTCAGCTCATGGTGAAGCTCCCAGCCATCACCCATAAGGGTCCTTATCTTCTCTTCTTATTCCGCTTCATATTCCTGATGCCTCTTCCACATGAGATGAGTCAGGGAAATAGGAGGCTTGGAAAAGTGGAAAAATGGGGTAGAGGCTCTCTCTTGCCTCTCTCTCACCTCTTTCTCTCTCATCCAAGTACTAGTTAGGCCCACTCCTGCTTAGCTTACAAGATCAGAGGAGATCAAACATGTTCAAGGTGCTATGGCCGTAGACACTCTCTCTCTTTTTCTCTGTCTCTCATGTCTATATCTCTCCTTTGTCTCCTTTCTCTGCCTCTTGTATTTCTCTCAGTGTCAGGGCACTCCCTCTCTCCCTGTCTCCCCTACAGCTTGACTCCCTTTGTCCCTTTCTCTCTTTCTTCTACTATCACTTCTAGACTGAGTAGATTGCATGCCTTGCTTTGTTGAACCAAACTCCATTTCCTTCAATATGAAAGGAGTTTAAGAGCTTCATGGCCGCCTCACTCCCTCTTCTAAGCCAGAGGGGCCCAGTAGCCTGTAAATCTCATCTCCTCCCTGATCTTCACTCTATGACTGCTAAGACTATGGTTGAAAACTGTCAGGTGACTTTTATTTTTCAATAAAAGTGAGAAATTTTGATTTTATCCAAAGAAGTAAGTACAGAATGTCATTTTCTAAATTTTTATATTTAAAGTGTAGATTTGAGTGACCTAGAGAATTTCACGTAGTGATAAGGCGCAGCCTGTACTTTGGGAAGTTGTGTTTGGGACACTGGCCCTTCGTCTTTTCAGATGGAAGGCCCTGGAGAACACTTGCCCTCTGTGGCTGCTCTAGGTTCACAGAACAAAAATGCCTATTGAAAGCCACTTTTAAAATGGAATGCCTAATTTTATTTTCTCCTTGATGTTATAAGAATAAAATAAAAGGGTGAAGGAAGAAAAGGAGAGTGGAAGGGAGGAAGGGAGAGAGAAAGATAATTTGAGACTAAGACCTGAGATGTCTAATCTGATAGAAATTACATAGAAAAAGCCTCATTTTATCCATATTGTTTATGGATTTTGGGTTACAGAGGAGCAGCAGGGCTCCTGGAGGCACAGACATTGGGCGATATTCCACCACTTAGGAGAGTATGAAGGAAGAGACAAAAGGGAGGAAAGGAGGAAAGGAAGGAGGGAGGACAAATGGAAGGGTGAGATTGAGAAGAGAATTTAGAGATTAGAAACAATTCATTACAAAGGTTTACTTCTACTGTTAATTATTGTTTTTAATTGTAATCTACTTTCTTTTATTTGTCTTTTTTCATTCCCAGCTCCCCTCCCCCTGCCCCTCCTTGCCCCTCCTTCTTTTTTTTTTTTTTCTTTTTTTTTCTGAGACAGAGGCTTGCTCTGTCACCCAGGCTGGAGTGCAATGGCATGATCTCGGCTCACTGCAACCTCCGCCTCTTGGGTTCAAGTGATTCTCCTGCCTCAGCCTCCTGCGTAGCTGGGATTACAGGTACCCACCACCATGCCCAGTTAATTTTTGTATTTTTAGTAGAGACAGGGTTTCACCAGGTTGGCCAGGCTGGTCTCAAACTCCTGACCTCAGGTGATCCACCCACCTAGGCCTCCCAAAGTACTGGGATTAGAGGCGTGAGCCCCTGGGCCCGGCCCTAAGTTACTTTCATATTAAATTCACATTAAACAATTTCTGCCATTTGAGCCACATCTTTTTCTTGCATCTCATTTTAAAAACTTAACGGACTTCATGATTTGGAAAGCAGAGGTTACTGGCCTGTGTGTGTAAATGGAGGTAGGGTAGCTTTGAGGTTATTTTTGTGTGGTGGAGCTGAATTCTCAAGAAATCCTTGTTGAGCTGCTACCTGAGCCCATCTGGAGGCCCCAGTCACTTAGCAGAGATCGGTCTTTCACATTCTGGTTCCAGGAACTAAACATTCCCAAACCACGTCAGGGCCAGCCTCCTTTTAAGAAACTTAGGTTCACGTCATCATTCACTCATGTCTCATGATCATGATGAAAATCCCAGGCTTGGAAAAGAAACTCACCAGAGATTTATTCAAGTCAACACCGACACAGGCTTTGTGCTTTTCTGACATGGGGTTTTGAATTCTAACACCCTATCACTCCTATTGTCCTTTGATTTGCTTATTGTTTATTGCTTCTGGGTTTTTTTTCTTTTTTTTCTTTTCCTTTCTTTAGGTTTTTCTAAAGATATAAGAAATCCTGCTAGCTGACACAGGAATAAAGGTGTGTGTGTGTGTTCTGAATGTTTGCTCTACAAGCTTGAAACAGATTGGCACCTATGGCCATGACAGAATAAAATGCTGCAAAAAGTAACGAGGAGTCCAAGAAGCTTCTGTGACTAATGTGGATTCAGAAAGGGCTCACTCAGCAGAGACGTGCCGCATTTAAACCAAATTAAGCTACGGTGTTCGAAGACATGGAATCTTTATCCTAGTAATTGCAATTGTGATTGTGTAATGTTGGTTTCGGACAAGCGAATCTCTGACATCCTTGGAATGTCCTTCCCAGCTCTCCAGACCAGGGGTCAGGGATGGCACAGGAGGAGTTTTTTGGGTTGCTCCTCCAGCAACCCAAAACCAACAGGAGCAACGGGATGTTAGAATTCAAAACCCCATGTCAGAAAGACACAAAGTCTGTGTCAGTATCATCTTGAATAAATCCACGGTGAGTTTCTTTTCCAAACCTGAGCTTTTCCATCATGATCATGAGATGTGAGTGAATAATTATGAGTCATAAGTTTCTGACAAGGAGACTGGCACTGCTGTGATTTGGGGGAGGCTTAGTGACATCTGTTCCCTTTAGGTCCCTTGACCTTCCCCAATTATTCCCATTGTTTTCCTATAACTGTGCTTTGCTCCTCCTACTTCCTCTCTTTGCGTGCCCTCACCTACCCCACATCTTCCTGGAAGACTGTGCCTCATTAATGTCCCAACTCAAAGGCCTCTTTCCTCCTGGAATCAGGGTGATCCACTAAGGAGGGAACGCCCTATCCTCCTGTTCTTCACAAGCACTCCCTCCTTCTGGTTTAGCCTACTTATGCAATTGTGCTTCCTGCTCATGTGGTTAATTTTTTACTTCTCCAATAGTCTATGAGCTCTCTACAGGTATGGACTTTCTCTTATTCATGTATGTAGTGGTCATTGAGGAAGAGTTGTTACTTCATAAATTATTATACATTTAATGGCAAAGTTGAGTTGCACAAAGCATTTCCTCACATCTAGACATAATTTTGATTCATGTAAAAGCTCTTAAAAACAGGTCCTTTTTGAAGGTACAGTTAAATGAGGGCAATATAGCGCAGAACACAATGAGAGGAGAGCAAACCTCAAGAAGAAAGACAGTATAGACTCTGAGGGGAAGCATCAAGATGCCTGCCTAGCCCTGCCCTCTCTCGTTGGGCAGTTTAACTCGTTTGATAGTTAAATCGTGAACTCTGCAGGTATACCCTACATGTCTATGAAGCTCTCTGTTTCTTGATATTAACTTTTCTCTTAATGTGCCTACCATCAACCTCTAGCTAAATGCATTTTTGTCTAAAATAATCCATTGGATTTCCTAGAGTATCAAGATTGGAAAAAAAAAATCAGACCTAGAGATTTTTTGTAGATCCTTTAACCAGGCCAAGAGGTGAGGGAGGCACTGGATGCAGGTGCAGAATTTGGGGATCAAAAAATTCTGCACTCAAGATAAGTGATCTTATAATGTATGTGTTTTTTTTTTTTTTTTTTTTGTAAAAAAAAAAATTGATTCAAAAGTAACACATGATCTACAAAATATTCAAGTTTTAAATAAGGACAGAATCTAATCCTGCTATTGTCCAACTCAAACTTACCCACCTCACCTTGGTCCCAGGCCTGTCCGATAGTCTTATTTATTTAATCATTTAATTTTTATAATATGTGACATTTTTAGTTTGAATGAATTTGTTGCTCTCCTGGTGCCTGGAAGTTTAGGTAGAGTTTACATTATATATCCCATGATATTTGCAATGTCCATATACTAAAAAGTTATTCACAGACATTTTTCTCCTTAAAGACAATTTTTGTGGCCAAAGTATTTATTTGCTACACCGAGTTTTATTTTACTAGGTGTAGTAGGCATAATAATGGCCTCCCAAAGATGTCCATGTCCCAATTCCTAGAACCTATGATTATGCTTCTTTACATAGCAGATAAGAATTAATGTCAGCAGACAGAATTAAAGTTGCTAATCAGCTGACTTTCAAATAGGGAGATTATCTTAGATTAGGTGAACGAGACCAATGTAATCAAAAGGATCATTAAATTTGGAAAGAGACAGAACAGTCAGTGTCTTCATGATGTGATGTTAGAATGACTTGACAGGCATTGCTGGCTTTGAGATGAAGAAGCCACAGGCCAAGGAAGTTGGGCAGCTTCTAAAGCTTGAAAATGCAAAACAAAACAAAAAAGCAAACAAAGATTCTCACTTAGAGACTCTAGGAAGGAACACAGTCTTGCTGACACCTTGATTTTGGATATTTTATTCCCCCAAACTGTAAGATAATTAATTAGCATTGTTTAAAGTCACTAAGGTTAATGACAATTTACTACTTCAGCAGTAATTAACAAATATAGTTGCTGCTTGGTATCCGGGGGGGATTGGTTTCAGGTCCTCTGTGGATATAAAATTCCTCAGATGCTGAAGTCCTTGATGTAAAATGGCATGGGTATTGTCATATAACCTTTGCATTTCCTCCTATGTACTTTACATCATCTCTAGATTACCTGTAAATCCTAAATCGATGTAAATGCTAAGTAAATGGGTGTTAACTTATATTGTTTAGGGAATAATGACCAAAAAAAGCCTGTATATGTTCAGACCAGACACATTTCTTTTTTCCTGAGTATTTTCAGATCAACACAGAGGGTCGACTATATCCTAGTTTCAAATCATGAATTGAGCATAAAATTAGTAACACAAATGACCTAAGCCTACATTTGTTTAATGGAGAAAAAATGATGAAAAACTCGCAACAAGTTACTGAACTTTCTATGTTTTTTTCCTAGAAATGAGCAAGGCTCATATGATAACTCTTCCTCCCTCAGAAGGCACTCTGAGCTCAGTATTACATGAATAGCCCATTTATTTCAGATCTGTAGCTTGGAATTTATTGTGAACAGATTCAGTCTTAGGTGAGGGTGGAAGACATATGTATCCATTCCATGATTTCATATCTCCAGGATATTCCTACACCAAAAGCACTTCCTCCATAGAATTTGCAAAGAGTAAATATGTACTGTCAGAGATTTATTCTTCTGGTTCAAGGTCTAATTCTTTATTAATCAATCACACACCTCCAAAGTGCTATTCTTAAAAAAAAAAAAACCAAAAAAAAAAAAAAAAACCCCAAAAAACAGCAAATTGCTGCCTTGCAAAACATCAGGCTGCCTTTAATGCCTTCAACCCTCATCTGAGTTCCAGAAGTGAAAGATCATAATCCATAAAAACCTGAGGTCAAAAATGTACGTTCTTAGAATCTGCATTTGTGTAGAAAGTGTCAGACTCTTAAGAAGGTAGCAATCTTGGCTTGTCACTTGGCTGGTCAGCCACCAGCTATGAATGTCGGTTACCTGCTCTTCACTTTGCCATTTTTGTCCTTGCTGCCTGCTCCAGATAAGAGGGAGCTGAGAAACAAGAGGGTTGACATAAATTGAGGTTAGATTGTAGTTTATTACTAATTCTTTCTCTAGACCAGATAGACTATTTGAACAGTTTGTGAAAACTAAGCACCTTCCCTTTAACATTGAAGGTACATATAGCTTTAGAGGAGGTTTCAGAGTTTTATGTTTTCATGGCCCAACCTAACAGACTGAAATTACCTGTGATGATCCCATCGCTTTTTCTTGGCAAGACTGGGGTGCCTATATTTAAGGGATAAGTGCCATTTTAAATGGAAGTAAAATGATTAATTTTATTTCAAGGATAGAAATTCTGGCTATCTCTTTACGAGTATATCCTTTTATAATTAAATGGAAGAGTTTTGGGGCACCTAGAGAAGCTCATAATATATGCCTGGGGCACTTTATACGGTGAACCCTTGCCATAAGTGCCCCATGTGGTCTCTTCACTGTTCTCCATCACAACTTTGGCTTTCAGATGACTTTAGCTTCGCTATTCCTTTATTTTGTCCCGGCATGTATTGAAAGAGAAGTTAAAAAAAAAAAAAGACAGGGCACTGAAAGAGAGAGAGAGAGAGAAAGAATGGTAAGAAAAGACAGAAGGGATGGAAAAAGGAAGAAGGAAAGGGAGGGGGAAAGGAGAGGGAGGAAAGCAGGGAGGGAGGAATAAAGAAAAGGGAGGGAAGGAAGGAGAGAGGAAAGGAGGGAACAAAGGTGGGAAGGGTAAAGAGGGAAGAAGAGAGAAAGGGTCGTAGATCGCATTTCCTTGCTTACTCATAGACAGGACTCGTATTAGCCCATTTCACACCGCTATAAAGAACTGAGTAATTTATTAAAAAAAAAAAAAGATAGGTTTAATTGACTCACAGTTCCGCAGGGTTGGGGAGGCCTGAGGAAACTTACAATCATGGCAGAAGGCAAAGAGGAAGTAGGCACATCTTACATGGCAGCAGGAGAGAGAGAGAAGAGGGAAGCACCATTTTTAAACCATCAGATTTCATGAGAACTCACTCACTATTACAAGAACAGCATGGGAGAAACTGCCTCCTCGATCTAATCACCTCCCACCAGATCCCTCCCTTGACATGTGGGGATTACAATTAGAGATGAGATTTGGGTGGAGACACAGAGCCAAATCGCATCAGGACTCCAGCAATTCTTTCTCTCACCTAATCTATCTCTTATTCCCCTCTACTGCATCTATACCAACTAAAAGAAAAACACTTATTGGACACACAAGAGCTCTCATCTTTTGCATTTGCCCAGCTTTTCAGGGAAACCCTATGAAAGGGGTGCTACAGAGTCCCCACATCCTACCACCCTTCTTTCCCTCACTGCCACTCAAACCTGACTTCTGTCAATAGGGTCACAATGCCTTCTGCATGACCTCACTAAGCTCTGCCTCTGCCCATTGATATGACCCCTAATTATGTGGTCACTGGAGCTGCTTTCAGGTGTCCTTGTCCCAAGGGACATACAGCACACAGCCTGTGGAGGGTGGAGGAACCAACTGCAAGGTGGGTTTCCAGTAGGGCCAACTGGTTTTAAATAAGGGGTGGGAGGCAATAAAGAGGCTTGCTTTCAGGGTGTAAGTGTAGGAGACAGGAATGTAGACAACAGATTTCAGCCTCCACTTTACTTTCTAGTGGTATTATTATTATTATTATTATCAGTAGTATTATCACCATCATTATTTGCTGTGGTATGAGTGTTTGTGTCTCTCCCCCAAAATTCATGCTGAAATCTAATCCCCAATGCAATAGTATTAAGAAGCGGAACATTTGGGAAGTGATTAAGGAGCACTGACCTTTACCCACTTGGCCCACCATGACCCACCTGATGCAGACTTTCCCCCTTTGTTAGGGAAGTGCAATTCAGACAACCTTTTATGCACGACCCTGTTCATTCTCTGAACCTCAAGCTCTATTGCTGTCAAACACACAGAACTAGTTTATCTCACTAGAGATGTGTTCCTTTATTCAAAAAATATTATCTTTCTTTTTTAGCAAGAAAGACTGTAAAATAAGCAAAAGTTTTGATTGTGGATAGTTCAAATCCCAGCTCAATCACTAGTTGTATAACCTGCATTGACTTGCTCAGAGAAAATATCTATCTCATATAAAAGTTATGTCAACTAAGATACCACTTTCAAGACTCATGGTATGTGATAGGTGTTCAAGAATGTTCATTCTTACTGGAGTGACAGAGGAGTTTCTATATTATTTTATTAAATTATGTAAACTTAAGTTATGCTAACATTTAATAAGTGAAATTCAGTGTGTTCCTACAATTTTAGGCCTTATCTACGACCATCTTTCTCCCACACCCAAAATGGCCAAAGTTTCCCTACCAGCCTCTAATTCCATGGGCCCTAAAAGGCAAAGTTGTCCTTATTAAGTTTTAAATTTTAGGGATTTTTTTGAGACATTCCAGGCTTTATGGAGGAAAGTAGTATCTTGTGTGATTTCAGGTATCCAGAAGTTGACTTAAAAGTTCCTCTTACAGGTTAGGTTCATTTGCATTTCTCTAATGACCAGTGATGATGAGCTTTTTTTCATGTTTGTTGGCTGCATAAATGTCTTTTTTTGAGAAATGTCTGTTCACATCCTTTGCCCACTTTTTGATGGGGTTGAAACTCTTGTGGTGATCCTAGTTAAAACACAACTCTGTGTGGATAGGTATTGGGTAGCAATTGACTCCTCCTAAGATTTTTTTTTTTCCTGAGACAAACAGTAGGAGGTTGACACTATAGCCATCACCAAATAAACAGGAGACACTGGAGCTTTGAAAGGTTGAATTATTTGCACAAGATCACTCAGTTGATGAATGGCAGAGCAAAAGTTTTGAAACCAGGGTTATCTGACTTTAGAGCTCTTTTATTCTTAGGTACAAAAAAAAATTGTCTCTATTTTTGCAAAGACCACAGCTTACATCAGAGCTTGGCTGATTTCTCTGATGTCTACATCTCATCAACAATCTACCTTTTGGCTTCTCAACACATACTGATTATTAATGTAGGGTGACCACTGTTAGAGAGGTCGAAAGGTATGCATCCCTGAGTTTCCTCCCTGCCTTCCTTCCTTCTTTTCTTCCTTCCTTCCTGCCTTAGTCCATTTGGGATGCTATTAAAAAGTAATATAAACAGGGTGGCTTATAAAGAGCAGAAGTTTACTTCTCACAGTTCTCGAGGTTGGAAGTCCAAGATCAAGACACCGGCATAGGTGTCTGGAGAGAGCTCGCTTCCTTCTCTGTGTTGTTATGTGGTGAAAGGTACAAACGAGCTCCTTCAGGCCTCTTTTATAAGGGCAGCAATCCCATCACAAGGGCTTCAGCTCCACGACTTAATCACCTCCTCAAAGCCCGCACCTTGTAATATCATCACCACTTTGGGGGTTGGCATTTCAACAGATGAATGGGGAGACACAAATATTCAAACATTCAGGCCACAGCACTTCCTTACCTCCTTCCTCCCTCTGTCAATTTATTCATTCATGTATTGATTCTTTCATTCAAGTTTCATTTGTTTAAACAAATACGTGAGTACCTCGTCTCTGCTAGGTACTTCTCAGGGGCTGAGGAAGTAAGGTAATCAGACAGTGCCTGTTACTTTAGAAGCTCACAGTGTAGAGAAGAAGAGAGATGTAGAAACAATATAAAGCAACACAGATGTGGAGGGGAAAGAGAGAAGGAGGAATTTCAGTGTTTTACCGTGTATACTTTCTGCTGTTTAATTCCTTTACCATAAAAATGCATTGCACTACATGATTAAGAAACTCTTTGGCCCCTAATGTGTCACCTAGTTGTAATCTATGCAGAAGTTTGACATGGTAAGAGCCTGCCTAGAATTATCGCTTTTAACCAGGTAGCAAAAAAAAAAAAAAAAAAAAATCAAACATTGAACTCAACCAAGGAAAAAATGTAATTTCCATTTACAGAATTTCTTCTCCTTTTTTAGCTTCTAAAATGGGTGGTTTTCCAAAAAACCAAGTGCTCTCATTTATAAGTGGGAGCTAGGGTATGAGTTCAAAAAGGCATACAGAGTGATATGATGGATTTTAGAGACTCAGAAGGCCGCAGGGCTAGGAATACAAAACTACCTATTAGGTACAATGTACTCTACTCAGGTGACAGGTGTACTAAAATCTCAGAATTCACCACTATGTAATTCATCCATGTAACAAAAAACTATCTGTACCCCAAAAACTACTGAAATTTGAAAAGAAGAGAGAGAATTTAACCTCTCCTTAATGATTCATGTAGCACTTTCAGATCTTGAAATAAGGTAATGTCAGTGGTATTAAATGTTGGTTAATTTAATCCATAGATGTGTGGAAAGAGGCAGTTGACAGAAAGTAATCTTGCATGAATTCAAAATGCAATTTTAATCAAAACGCAATTTTAAAATAGCTGCCCTTACATGGTCTGGCATTAAAAATAAACTTTTTTATAGAATGGAAGAAATAAAAAATGTTTAAAGGGTGGTTTTCTTTATATTTCCAAAAAGAAAGTTGATAGATGCAGAGACATGAAATGAATGAGGATAAATGAATAAATGGATGAATCCTCAATATCACTATTTTATAATAATTTATTCTGGGGAAAAAAGGCACCAAACCTCAGAGCCATAAGCAGAAATGAAAATCCACCAGAAAATGCAAAATTATTGTGAAGACTTTCTATTTGAATAGGAGGAGACTTGGATCTGTAATCATGAGTCCATAGATGGAACATTCTCAGGTTACAGCCATGCCATAATTTGAACATTTGAATCAGGAATGCAAGCTTTTTCTCTCTAGATGAATTGTTGTCGTTGTTGTTGTTCTTCTTCTTTTTAAATTTTGCAGTGATTTACTTTGAGTGGAGTCATTTGCTCTTGAGAAGAAGCATCACCACTAAAGGATGCTTTATTTTATTTCTGAAAGGCATTTGCAGGTAGCTCAGCAGATCTGTTTTGCCACTTTTGTATCACGCCCTTGTGTGCTTAGCCACATACATGTAGAAATTGGCTAAAATGAAACAAAAGTGCAATAAACTGCTGCTTCTGGATTTAAGTATTAGTTACCCAAAATTATTTCAAAAAAGATCCATTTACTCTATGTATGTTCATTTTTTTAAAATTTCAACTTATTTTAGATACAGTAGGTACATGCGCAGATTTGTTACATGGGAATATGGTATTATGTGGTGGTTTGGAGTATGGATCTCATTACCCTGGTACTGAACATAGTACCAGATAGGTAGTTTTTTAACCCAACTCCTCCCTCCACCCTCTAGTAGTTCACAGTGTCTATAATTCCCATATTTATGTCCATGTCTGCTCAATGCTTAGCTCTTATTTATAAGTGAGAATGTGCAATATTTGGTTTTCTATTCCTGTGTTAGTTTCCCAGCTGAATTCAAACTCATTCCCAGATCACTTGTCCTCCTCAATTGATGTACACTGAAGAAAGAGCCACCTTCAGGCTGTAAGGTCATCGTATAATCCTGACCACTCATTTCCCATCATGACACTGCTGTTCCTTCTCTTTCTCCTTCTTGGATGTCTGATACAAACAGCCTCAGGTAAGCTACAAGTCCACCTGGAGGATGATGAAGTGGATGCCCTTGGAGCTGACGTAGGCCAAATTGATTGATCAGCCAAGGAAGCACTGAAATATGGAATAACTGAACAGCTGCATAGCTGAGAAAAACACAGCATGTACAACAAATTTCATTTTACAAATCAGGAGAGAGAAGCTTAAAGAAATTTAAAATTTTTTCCCAAGATTACATTCATCTAGTTGTTGCAATAGATACCAGACATAACTAACAATTGTGATAGATAACATTAATAGTAGGCATCACAGCTTACAAACCATTTCCATGTGAATCAAAGCAATGGCAACGACAACACTAATACTAATAACAAATAATGCTGACCACTTTCTGTTTACCAGACATCACGGCAAAGATGTGTTGTGTTTTTTTTTTTTTTTTTTTTTTTTTTTTTTTGTTGTTGTTTTGAGACAGAGTCTAGCTCTGTAGGCCAGGCTGCAGTGCAGTGGCACAATTTCAACTCACTGCAACTCTGCCTCCTGGGCTCAAGCAATTCTCCTGCCTCAGCCTCCAGAGTAGCTGGGATTACAGGCATGCGCCTCCATGCCCAGCTAATTTTGTCTTTAGTAGAGATGGAGTTTCTCCATGTTGGTCAGGCTGGTCTTGAACTCCCGACCTCGGGTGATCTGCCCCCCTCAGCCTTCCAAAGTGCTAGGATTACAGGCGTGAGTCAGGTGGCTTTCTCAAGTGCCAGCAGTGACAGTGGTGAGCTCGGTAGATAGGCATGCCCTCAAGACCCTGGGAGGCATGTGTAGCATCAGCAATTGCAGTAGTCATAGCAGGTCAACTCTCGTGACCCCAGATGGCATGTGCAGACACCAACAGTCATGGCAACATGATGGACAGAGTAGTCCTCAGGCTTTCACCTGGTGCAAATATGTGGGCACTGGTGACAGCTGTGATGGCAGGCTGGGAAGTCCTATCCTTAAGCTCTCAGGAGACACACAGGTACTTGATGGTGATAGGCATGGTGGATTAATTCCCAGGCTCCCAGACAATGTGCACAGGCACCACCAGGCTGGGTGGGCTCATACTCAGTTCACAAGAAGGCATGCACAGGTGCCAATGACAGACAGCAGTGTGGGTTGATCCCCAGCCTCCTGGACAACGACCTTGGGTAGTGGTAGTGACAGCAATGGGTGGGATGGGCCTGTGCTCTGGCCCTGGAATAGTGCTCAGGCAGGTGAGTCCCCAGGTCCCCTGAGGATGCCTGCAGGTGTGCAGTGGCCCTGCTCCTGGGGGCCAGGATTGCTGTCAGTGTCAGTGGTCCTGGGAAGGTGACTCTCCACTTGAGAAGAGTGCCTGCTTCAGCTCCCTTTGTTCTGGGGGCAGCCTCCCTAGTGAATGGCACAGCCAGTTCCCTGGAGTGTAGGACACTGTGTAGGCTAGAGTGATGGGGACCAAGCTACACTGGTGAGTTCAGCTGGTATTGTGACTCTGCAGGCCTCTGGATGGACATGAGGGAATGTCACTGAGGGTCCAGAGATGTGGAGATGCAGGGGCTGTTGGGCCCCAGGGCAGGATGTAGTCTTTTGGGGGCTGGGCTCTCAAATTGGCATTGTGCCACAGCTGCCTGTGTCTGGGGGCAGGTGCAGACGATCCAGTGCCAACTCCTTCTCTGGGACAATGACCATCACCTAGACTCCAGGCAGCTCCCTATAGCAGTCTCAGGGCCTGCGAGGGCTGAGAGACTGTCCCTTGGCTAGGATTGCAGTGTCCACAGTGGGAATATGGACCACTGGGGCTCTCTTTTTTACCTTTTCACCACACTGGAGAGCCTGTCCTGGCTTTAAGCTGATTCTGGCTGGGCAGCTGCTTCATTTTCCTTCCTTCCATACCTCAGAGATTCCTCATCACTTTGCTGCTGAATTCTAGTGCCCTCTTTCATGCCCTCTTCAAGGTATGATTATCTACTTGCTGTCTTGGTCTTTCTTTGGGAGGACACAGTGCCTGGTACCTCTAGTCAGCCATCTTGAAGACCGCCTCCTAGCAATGAGAGGATAATATTCTATGTGACGGCTTTAATATACGTGTCCAAACTGCTTCTTTTCTAAGAAATAAATGTTATATAGTGCAAAAATATATTAAAGGGACAGTTGGTGATGCAGTTTCAAGAGTGCACTGAGGAAAACTTGGCACTTCCATAGGGTTGAGTTGGTTGGAATATATCTCAATCTCCGAGATTTTGAACCCAATGTTTTGAACTTTTTGAGATTTCGAGTAGTCCATGTGACATAACTTAACATTGTTTCTTGGCCAAATCAGGCATAGTGAAAAATAAAATCCAGCTAACATACTTTTAAATATCTTGATTCTATACTCTTTCAATGACCAAGGGGAGGCCCCCCACTACTTTACACAAAAAAGAAAACTCTATGAATGAGAATCTCTTCACACAAAGCCACTAAAGTTGTGTCTAAATGGAGGAAAATTGTGACAGGTGGTAAAAGCACTCAGTGGCTGTTGTAGGCAGAATAATGTCCCCTCTGTCTCCCGCCAAAGCTATCCACATCCTAACTCCTGGGTCCTGTGAATGTGCCACCGTGTAAGCAAAGGGGAATTGAGGTTTCCTGTGAAATTAAGGCTGTTAATCACCTGACCTTAAAATAGGGAGATTATCTTAGATTATCCAGGTGGGCCCAATGTAATCATGAGTCCTAAAAAATGGAAGAGTGGGGAGAAGATGAATTCAGAATGATGGAATGTGAGGACTCAACGCTCCGTTGCTGGCTTTGAAAATGTATGAAGGAAGCTATGGTGCCCAGGAGTAACCTGCCATTGCTGGGATAAAGGTGCAGGAAGAAAACTGCAGAGCTTCCAGAAGAAAGCTCAGCCCTGCTGACACCTTGATGTTGGCCCACTGAGATCCATCTGAAACCTGCAGCCTATAGAACTGTCAGATAATGCATTTGTGTTGCTTTAAGCCACTAAGTTTGTTGTAATTTGTTATAGGAGCCGTAGGAAGCCAATACAGTATTTTAAAAGATGGAAGAAAATGCTGAATGATTATGCCCAGTGAAAGCTGGGAAGCAAAGGAATTCCCTGAATCTTGGCCAGGCATACATGTACAGACCCAGGGAATTGCCTCCGAAAAGGGTGCTGAAAAAATTGCCTTTAATCTGAGTGCAACTCTTTTTATAATTTAGATTTCTGGTGAAGTCTGGTTGACGTGATTGTGCAATTTTCCCATGTGCTGCACCTTTATCAGGGAGAGACAGACCCCCGCAAGGCTGCATGGAATAGGATGGCGCATTTTCCTAGTAAAAAAGGGGAGTGGTCTTCCCACATGCAGGGTGAAGGGTTACAGTGCTAGACAAAAGCAATGGGTATGATTGAAAGTTCCCCCACCCTGCTGTATGTCATTTTCAACTAAGAGCTCATCTAGATGGGATAGAAGGATACTGGAAACCAAACAGTAATCAAGTCATAACATGTAATATAAACTTTTTTTTTTTTTTTTTTTTTTTTTTGAGACAGTGTCTTACTCTGTCACCCAGGCTGGAGTGCAGTGTTGGGATCTCGGCTCACTGCAGCCTCCACCTCATGGGTTCAAACGATTCTCCTGCTTCAGCCTCCTGCGTAGCTGGGATTACAGGTGCCCGCCACCATGCCTGGCTAAATTTTTGTATTTTTAAAAGAGACAGGGTTTCACCATGTTGGCCAGAATGGTCTTGATCTCCTGACCTCATGATCCACCCACCTTGGCCTCCCAAAGTGCTAGGATTACAGGCATGAGTCACCGCACCCAGCCAGTAATATAAACTTTTAAAAGAGGTTTTGTGCTGGTTGGTTTTGGTTTATTCTTTTTTGAGGATTCAATAAAAATCCCTGTGAGAAAAATGGAGAGAGGGAACGGGAGACAGGGAGACAGGGAGAGGGAGAGAGAAAAAAGAGAACCTAAAACCTCCAGAAAACAACAGGCTTCAGTCCTTTTTGGGTGTAGTGCTCTCAATTCTTGGTTGATGCCCCAGAGGCAGGCAGCAGGGTCGGCTATTTAAACATCTCCCTACATGGATTTCTGTTTCGAGGCAAAAGTCCCGACAGGAGCCATTTGGACGTTCACAGATCTCCTTGAATTTGCCCTTGGCTACATGCAGAAGGGGTTATTGTAACCATTCATCAGTCTTTCTTTACTTTGTATTGAATTACATGGACGTAGGGGGCAGTGCCTGAAAATAATCTTGTGTGGATTTGTGTGTGTGTCTGTGTGTGTGTGTGTGTGTGTGTGTGTTATTTGATTTCTTAAACACTTAAAAATCTGCTGCCACACAAAAATTTGGATTTTTTGGTGTTCTTGAAAAATCTGAGAATATTGGGTGCACCTACATGACAAAAGGCTGGAGGTGAGTAGCCTGCTTCCCTTTACAAGTTCTAGAGCATACAAGTTTCAGTTTATTTCTTCCTTATTGTCTTCTAACACTGATGGGAGATGTCAGCCTTTTAAGAAAATATAATGTCCTGTACTATGGATTTTCCTGGAGTGAAAGAGAAGAAAATCTCTTTTGGATCAGCTGTTTTTATTCCTACACACACACACACACTCTCTCTATATGATAGATTATAATAGATGTATCTTTCAAAAGTAGAACTGAAATATAGACCTAAAAGATAATATACTTCAATTGTTAGAGAGGATATTTTTCCTGTGGAAGGGAACAATATTCCTATGTGTTTAATACATAAATATATCTGTGCCATTACTTGTTACACCCTGAGACTTCACTCACTACTCATATCTCTGGCACTGGTCTTTGAGGTTGCAATTTTTCTCTAGAAACCATTGCATATATTAAGAGTGAAACATTCAAGGTCTTCTTAAAGGCTCAAAAACTATACTTGTTGAAAACATTGAATAGTATTTCATTTATGTCCTAAGATATCACCGCTCTGGGGATAGGCCACACACTCTGAGGTACTGAGTTTGAAAAGTGTTTTAATTCTGAGCAGTCTTTGTATGTAACACAGAGCACCTTTTCCATGATAACTTCTTGGCAGTAAGAGAGGTATAAAAACCAGCACTTTTTTTTTTCTATTCTGGAACACAAAAGCCAATTCTAGAATAGCTTTCAATCAGTACAGCGATTTTAATAAACATTCAATAAATGCCTATTTAATTTACCTGAAATCCAAATGTATTAGATTCCATTTAACTTTTCAATGGTCACAAAGCAGTTAGTGGATTGATGTGAAGACCAAATATATGCAACATCATATTTATATCTGTAATGCAAATTGGGAAATAAAGGTCATGCTTTTCTGAAGACAATGGTAATTGTAAATGTTGACCACTTGGTAGAAACAAGCTGAAATCTGAGTTTTTTGATCCCTGAGCTTTCCATCTCTTCCTTTTATCTGTAAGTAGTCAGCTACTACATATAGTAGTACCCAAGCCCACTGGCCTTGTGCTAAAATTGGCCCTTTGCAGCTGGAAGAGTCATAAGAGATTAGTATAGTGTAGAGGATGAACCACTGACCTGTCTTGTGATATGTGATAAATCACTCTTGAACATCCCTCTGTGGTAGTACTTCTTGCATTCTACTATGGGTGGTGTTTTCCCATCTGACCTCAATTCTTGATAATGAATTTCTTGAGGGCAGGAATAGTATCTTATTCTCCTCTGTATGTATATTCCAGAATCTGATTAAAGTCTTGGCTTATAATAGCTATTCAGTAAATGATTGTGGAATAATTGATTAAAATACAGCTATTTTCTAACTTGCAATATGTTTGTGCAGAAATTTGTTGTTACTCTCGGTTCAGAGGTCTTTGAATCATGTGTACTATTTTACTATACCTGATTCTATTGAGCATTATATTTTCAAACCACTTTTCGAGAAACTTAATACAGAACTAACATTTGACCCAGTAATCTCACTACTGGGTGTATATCCAAAGGAAAATAAATCAGTCTTGTAAAAAGACCTAAATCTGTATGTTCATCACAGTGGTATTCACAGTAGCAAAGGTATGGAATCAAACTAGGTGTTCATCAACAGTGGATTGAATAAAGAAAATGTAGTACATATATGTCACGGAATACTATGCATCCATAAAAAGAACAAAATTGTGTCCTTTTCAGCAACATGGGTGCAGCTGGAGGACTTTATTCTAAGCAAATTAGCTCAAGAACAGGAAGACAAATACCACATATTCTCAGTTATAAGGGGGAGCCGAGCAATGAGTGCACATGGACATAAAAATGGGAACAAGAGAGATTGGGTCTTACCAGGAGGGGAGGGAGAGGGAGTAAAGTCTGAAAAGCTACTCTTTGGGCACACCCTACCTGCGTGACAGAGTTATTCATACCCCAAACCTCAATATCACACAATATACCCATGTAACAAATCTGCACATGCACTCCCTGAATCTAAAATAAAGGTTGAAGTTATTTTTAAAAATTGAAATTACAAAAGACTTTTTAAAATTATGATGTACCATTGTTCATTTGTAAGAATTCAAGTAACATTAGGGATTTTAAAAATCTTTCGTTTTCATTTGTTCTTTCTTGTAAACCTTGTGTATTGCATATTGTGGACACTATGTCTTTTCCGGCCATTTGCTTTAGGAACAAAAGATAGAGTTACAATGAACATAGGCTGTCTTGTCTAGTCACCTACCTTAAAGTTGAGGAAATAAGCTGATGGAAAGGAAGAAACTTGCCCAAGATTACCCAGTGATCGAGTGAAGCAGATGATAGGGACAGCACTAAGGCTTGGTATTCTGAGCCTCATTCTGTTTTCCACTCTTGCCCTCTCTCTGTGTCCTCCTCTCCTCTCTAGCCTTCTACAAAAAGTTGGCAGTTCTGCTTCAATGTCTACCTAAGGACATCCAGAGGAGATGCCACCTTTCATTAGGGTGCATTCTTTAGCACCATCCTGTGTTTTCTTCTCCAGGCTTGTTGCATCCCATTTTTGACTGTGAGTCATGCTTCTGCCTGTGCTGTTCTATCCAATTAGTTGCTTCTATTTTGATTGAGTAACAGTGAAAACAAAACAAAACAAAATGTGTTTATCCAAATTTGGAATTTTTAAACCTTGATTAAAAGCATTGATTTTCTGGGGTTATATATGTAAGACACATATTTTAAAATATTTTTAACTGATTAAAAAAAATCAAACCCATGTATTTAGCCAGGATGACTATTTAACAAGTACTAGTGAGACAGGAATTTAGTAATGCCACAAGGATAATAATCTTATGTCAGTCCCCGATGTTGTGTGCTACCGAGTTAATATAATTGGATATGGTATCACCTTTTTTCAGGCTTTAGAAAGTAATACAAAGGAACAGCACAACAGAACTCTAGGGTGGGATGTATAGGGAAAGCCAGGATATTAAAACAAAGTGTTGACTCTGACATTTACCCCACTGTTGGGAAAAACAGTTCAGTTTCCAGGGCCTTAATTTTTTTCTCTATAAAACAGAAAAAATAGAGGCAATAAGTTGCTTATTCGTCCTTGAATACACATGTTCAGGAGTTCCAGAAAATTTTTGAATCTACTTTGGGTATCTGGTAACCACCTTGGGCCAATCCAAGAAGTCCTATACACACTTCTCCAAAGCATGTCTGTGCAAGGGGCCTTATACCTGTGATTAATGTTCGCATGCTGAATGCAGTAGGCTATGCTCTGGTGTGGGATCATCCCTGGTTCCTGTGTTTAAATTCTACATTACAAGACTAAATGCTGAGAAGGAAGAGGGACAGCCAGGGATGGAGATGGAGCCTTAAGGGGAAAAGTCAAGCTCCAGGGACCAACAGTATCGGGGAGCAATAGGTTAAAGATTTCTTAGATTATAGTAATATTTTCAAAGAGACTTCTTCCACCAATCCCTTCTGTCTGAGCCTACCACAGCTTTGGCATAGCTCTTATGCCAGTTCTTAGGATAACTGACTTTTGCCGAAAGAGGAGCTTTGGAGACAAAAATTTAGTAGAATAATGCCTGATTTTTAATTTTTGAGGTCTAGTAACTGCTAGTAAACTTGCCTAATTTGGAGATGGAATAAGAGGGTTTCAAAGACTTGAAACACCATTGACTTCATTTAACTGGGTTGCTATGGAGAATTAACGAATTAGATGGCTGCAGGCCTCTCAGCCAATGAGTCTTCCAGGTTTCCTATGAGACCCCCTTTTCTGGTCATAGGTGATGGTGATTTCTCTTTGAGTACTGAATCCCTGTAAGGTGTTAGGCACTCTACTCTTACCAAGTTTATTTTGTTACCTGGTAGAACTTGGCTCATAAAGAAGAAAATGGTGAAGAAGAGGACAGCAATCCTCATGGCTGAAGAAAGAAAAAAGTTTGGCTTCATTTCCAGGAGGCAGAGAAAACTTCCGTCTGTGGCTCTCTAGCAGCAGTGGAATGTCTCTGTTTGGATAATAAGAGTCTTTCTGTACCTCCTTAGGGATATTCATAGATAGAGGTGTTCTATGCACGCAAAATTGCTTTTATGGGAAGACTGAGAATCCTTTTTTTTTATTGGACAGCCAGTTCATTAGAATGATGTGGGTGCACAGTTTTGGCCAGAAAACCTTGTTAAATGGGGACATAAGCTACATTTTGGCAAAAGATGAAAGTTTATGAACAAACAACCATTTATATTGTTACAATAAATTAGACTGTGTTGAGAAACCAGTTGGTTTCATTAATGACCAGACATTTTGTTAGTGAACACTTCCCAGACTTTACTAGCCCTGCTAAGAATTAATCACCCCACTTGCTCCTGGTCTGAAACTCCAAAGTGCTTTGTTTATGTTACAGTACTTACTGCCTTGTATGTTAGATTAGTGAATGTATATTTGCCTCATCCACTACTGTATGAACTTCTTGCTTGCTAGGACAAGGCTATATTCCTCAGAACTGAGGAGGGAGTTGAATCATGTGGCTATTTATTCTCAAATCCTCTTCACCAAGTGGAACAAAACAACAGCGAAAGACCACCGCACGTGGAGGCAGGAGGTTTGGATTTGGGTTCTAGATCTCTAGATCTATTACTAACTGGAGGTATGGATATAGTCAGGAAAATTGTCTTCCTTAGGTGCTTCCTTGATAGCACCTATAAAGGTCGAGATCTATTGGATCTAGATCAGGGGATTCTCAATCATTACTATGCAGAAAATCAACTGGGAGAGTTACTTTGCAATACAGATGCTTAGTTCCATCTCATGATATTTTTATTTTTTTTTAAATTGGTCAAGTATTTTTCATTAAATAATGTAAACTTTCTTAGTCTACATCTAACAAAACTCCCACCAGCATACAAATACATTGAATGATATTAGCAGCAGAATCTTTAAATAAAGTAACCATACACAACTATGAGGCCACCTTATTTTCATTGCTTATTATTTCATGCTATTTGTCACCATTGTCATCATAATCAGCCTCATCCTACATTGTTGAACACCCATCATGGACCATATGGCATAAACATTTTTCCTACTCATAAAGGAGCATATGTTCTCTATATGTATATAAAATTAATGTCTGAACAAAGTAGCTTAAACAAGGCAGAAGTTTGTTTCTCCCTCACTTAAATCTATAGTTCTACCTACCATGGCTAGTACAGATACCTGCCAAATTCATTAGGGATGCAGGCCCCTTCCAGCACTCTGTTCTGCTATAGTGTAAAAGAGGCTCTAGTTTGGCTGCTAAATCCCCACCTATCATTTTTGAATTCCAGGCAGCAGGTAGGAAAAAAGCCAAGAGAAAAAAACAAGGGAACATCTACCCCTCCTTTTAAGTTTTTTAACCAACCCCCTCTTGTTTTATTTTAACCGACTTTGTTGAGCGATGATTACATTTAAAAAGCTGTACATATTTAAGGTGTACATCTCAGTGAGCTTGGGGATAAGTATACACCATGAACACATCACTACCATCAAGATTATAACCATATCCTTCACCTCCCTAAGTCCCCTCCCCTTTATTATTATTATTTTTTTGGTAAGAAATATTGGTAAGAATACAAAATCTACCCTTTTAGCAAATTTTAAGTATGTAATACAGTATTCTTAGCTGTAAGCACTATGCTGTAAACGAGACCTCCAGAACTTACTTACGTGGTATATCTGAAACTTTGTGCTCTAACCACATCTACCCATTTCCCCAGCACCACGGCCCCTGGCAACCACCATTCTACTCTCTGCTTTTGTGAGTTTGTCGATTTTAGATTTCAAATACAAGTGAAATCATATAGTAATTGTCATTCTGTGGTTGGCCTATTTCATATAACCTAATGCCCTCCAAGTCCATCCATGTTGTCACAAATGACAGGGTTTCGTTATTATGTAACACTGAACAATATTCCATTGCATATATGTATTAGCCATTTATCCTGATACTCTCCCTCCACCTGCCTCCCAACAGGTCCCAGTGTGTGTTGTTCCCCTCCTAATATCCATGTGTTCTCACCGTTCTGCTCCCACTTGTAAGTTAGAACGTGCAGTGCTTGGTTTTCTGTTCGTGGGTTAGTTTGCTGAGAATAATGGCTTCCAGCTCCATTCATGTTCCTGCAAAGAACATGATCTCATTCCTTTTTATGGCTGCATAGTATTCCATGGTGTTTACATACCACATTTTCTTTATCCAGTCTGTCACTGATGGACATTCGGGTTGATTCCATGTCTTTGCTGTTGTGAATAGTGCTGCAATGAACATATGTGTGCATGTATCTTTATAATAGAATGATTTATATTCCTTTGGGTATATACCCAGTAATGGGATTGCTGGGTCAAGCGGTATTTCTGGTTGTAGGTCTTTGAGGAATCACCATACTGTCTTCCGCAATAGTTGAACTAATTTACATTCCCACCAACAGTGTAAAAGTGTTCTTATATCTCAGCAGCCTCATCAGCAGGTAGTTTTATTTAAAAAATTTTTGAGAAACCTTCATACTGTTATCTGAAATGGACATAGTAATTTGTATTTCCACCACAAGTATACAAGGGTTATCTTTTCTCCACAACCTCACTAATACTTGTTATACATCTTTTTGATAATAGCTATTCTATCAGGTGATATTTCATGGTGGTTTTTATTTACATCCCCCTGATGATTAGAGATGGTAAGAATTTTTTTCATATATTTGTTGGCCATTTGTATCTGTTCTTCTGGGAAATGTCTACTCAGATCTTTGCATATTTTTTTTTTTTGAGATGGAGTCTCGGTGTGTCACACAGGCTGGAGTGCAGTGGCGTGATCTCGGCTTGCTGCAAGCTCCGCCTCCTAGGTTCACGTCATTCTCCTGCCTCAGCCTCCCAAGTAGCTGGGACTACAGGCACCCGGCACCATGCCCAGCTAATTTTTTGTATTTTTTTTTTTTCCAGTGGAGACAGGGTTTCACGGTGTTAGCCAGATCTTTGCCCATTTTAAAAAAAAAAATTCAACTTTTATTTTAGATTCAGGAGATGTATGTGCAGGTTTTTACACTGGCACATTGTGTGATGCTGAGGAGTATGAATGATCTTGTAACCCAGATAGAAAACATAATACCCAATAGATAGTTTTTCAGGCCTTTGTCCCCACCTTCCCTTCCCCCTCTAGTAGTCTCCAGTATCTGTTGTTCTGATCTTTACGTCCATGTGTAACCAATGCTTTGTTCTCACTTATAACTAAGAACATATGGTATTTGGTTTTCTCTTCCTGCATTATTTTAGAATAATGGCCTCCAGCTGCATCTATGTTGGTGCAAAGGACATAAATTTTTTATGGTTGTGTAGTATTCCATGGTGTACATATACTGTATTTTCTCTATCCACTGTAACATTGATGGGCATCTAGGTTGATTCCATGTCTTTGCTATTGCAAATAATGCTATAATAAATATATGAGTGCACACATCTTTATGGTAGAACAATTTATTTTCTTTTGGATACAAGGGTCAGTCCCCATGGCTGCTGTCAAGGGCCAGTGTTGAGTGCCTGCAGCTTTTCCAGGCTCAGGGTGCAAGCTGACAGTGGATCTACCATTCTCGGGTCTGGAGGATGGTGGCTGTCTTCTCAGAGCTCCACTAGGCAGTGCCCCAGTGTGGACTCTGTGGGGGTTCCAACGCCACATTTTCCCTCTGCACTGCTGTAGTAGACATTTGCCATGAAGTCTCCACCCCAGCAGACTTCTACTGGACATACAGGCTTTCCCATACATCTTTAGAAATCCAGGCAAAGGCTTCTGATATGGTTTGGCTCTGTGTCCCTGCCCAAATCTCACCTCAAATTTTACTCCCATAATTCCCACATGTTGTGGGGGGACCCAGTGGCGATAACTGAATCATGGGGGCAGTTTCTCCCATGCTGTTCTCGTGGTAGTGAATAAGTCTCACGAGTTGTGATGGTTTGATAAGGGGAAACCAGTTTTGCTTGGCTGTCATTCTCTCACTTGCCTGCTGTGATGTAAGACATGCCTTTTGCCTTCTGCCTCCCCCCAGCCATGTGGAACTGTAAGTCCAATTAAACCTCTTTCTTTTGTAAATTGCCCAGTCTCAGGTATACCTTTATCAGCAGTGTACTCCTGTACCTTGTGCACCTGCAGGTTTAATACCTCATGGAAATTGCCAAGGCTTGTGGCTTGCACCCTCTAAAGCGGTGGCCCAAACAATGTCTGGGGCCCTTTTAGCCATGGCTGGAGCTGGAGTGGCTGAGACCTAGATTGCTGTGAGCACTGTCCTGTGCTTGCACTGGGCCCAGCTCACAAAATGATTCTTCCCTCCTAGGCCTCCAGGCCTTTGAGGAGAGGGGCTGCCACCAGCCAAGGTCTCTAAAATGTCTTTGAGGCCCTTTCTTCATTTTCTTCTATTAGCATCTGCTTTCCTTTTAGTTACCCAAATTTCTGCAGCCTGCTTGAATTTCAGACAATACCAGTGGTCTTACAAGTACTACATGACCCCTATAACACTTCCTGACTTCATTTCTGCAATATATTTTATTTTTTTACATCATCATGAACATTGAAACTTTTTATATCTATTCGCCTTCCATTTGTTTTCAAGTCCAGTTTACCTCCAAAGAATTTTAGAATATAGAGTCTCCAGAAGACTCTAGTTTGTCTGGTTTCTTGTTGTATCCCTTGACTGCGAATGCTTTCTAGTACATATAATACACTCAAAAGTACTTATGATTAAAAAAAGGAATTAATGTTCATATTTTTCCTTCAAAATAGCCTTAACTCTTTGGTTTCCAACTTTATGTGAGAGTTTTTAGTAGTAGTCTCAAAAATCCAATCAGATTGAACAGGGAGTGTCTCCAGAATGAAGTTTTTGATTAGATTCAGTGTCTGTGCAATCAGGGCATGTCTCTTGGAATGTAGTGGTGATTCGGTTTATTAATTTTTTTTTCATATATAAGGGGAAGCCAATCAGAGGATGCATTTTCCCAGAGAAGGAGCATCTGAAGACTTTAAGACCTTGGGGAAAGAGTCTTGCTGCTTGCTTGTGGGACTTGCCTTGGAAGGTAGATATGTTCACTGCATCCTCCAACTTTTTATTTTTGGTGAGTTCTCCAAGCACTGAGATGTGAACTGGCCTCATTCCCTTACAATGATACTGTTACCAGTAGAAGAGATTCCAGTTACTGGCAGCATAGCTGCATGGGTCCATAAGCAACTTCAGTCCTTGCCTCCTAGAAGAAAGAATTCGACCGAAGGACTTACAGTGGAAAAAGAGACTGAGCGGTAAGTTTCAGAGCAGGAGTGGAAGTTTATTTAAAAAGGCTTTAGAACAGGAAGGAGAGGAAAATTCTCTTGGAAGAGACCCGAGCAGATGCCTGAAGGTCCAAGAATGAAAAGAGAAGAGCCTTTAACCTTGATCCTGCGTTGGGTTTTCCTCTTTCCCGTGATTCTTCCTTTAGGGAGAGTTTCCAGCATGCACAGTGCTTTCCTTACCCTTTGAAATTGAGCATGCACGTTGTGTTTAGGGAGTTATATGCATGTCCATCTGAAGCTTTCTTTCCTTTTCCGGTGGAGCGTGCCCCCGGAAGATTATGCTTTGCCATTTTTGTCTCTTAACATGCACGCCCAAGAAGTTGCTTCTTCCTGGGGTCTGCATTTAACTCACATTTTTGATGTTAACAGGTGTAGACCATCAGGAAACGGCCTCTCTCTGGTGCTGCCTAATTATCATTTTTAGAGAGGAAATGTGATAATTGACAGGCCATCACCTGACATTTCTAGTGGGTAAGGGAAGAGCCCTCTCCTGCCCTGCTCATGCTCTTCTACCTGTAACAAGACAAGCCTTGTATATCATTAGACATTTGTCCCATCAAGGCAGCATCTCATTATTACATTTTATTGTGTGAATTGTTACTTCGCATTCTCATATTCTGTGTTCACTATTTGTGTGCCTTTTCCATTTTTGTTTTGACCATATCTCATTATTTTAACTGCCTCCTCCAAGATTCTAGATCTGTATTGGCCAAAATAGTAACTACTAGTCACATGTGACTATAAACTGTAAATAAATTATAATTAAATAACTAAATGGCATATCCTTAGTAGTAATAGCCAAAGTCGTGGCCAATCTAGAAATTCTGTAACTACATATGTGTGGTAGTTACTGCATTGGACAATGCAGATATAGAGAATTTCTTTCATCACAGAAAATCATGTTGGGCATGTTGGCTACCACTTATTTTTAAATTCTATTTGTGTGGTTTATAGTTAAATTATATTCTGCTTCTCTATATTCATTTCCTTTCTCAGATTTTCTCAAGCAATGTTTAAATTTCATTCATTTACCTTATTGAGGTAAGTACTTAGATTATTTTTTAAAAATAACGTACAGCAAATAATTTGTCCATGGATATTGTTTTAGCTTTATTGTATTGGTACTTTTACGTACTATACTCAGGTATTATTATTTTTCATCATGTACTTTAAAAATTGCACCAAGTTTCTTTAAAATAGATTTCTCCCTTGATTTTCAGATGTTAGATTCTGTCTTCTATTGCTGTATTTTAATTTAATTTTATTTTATTGTATCTAAATATGTTGCATATTCCTTTTTTTAAAATGTGAGATTTTTCCTCTCTCCTGTTACACAAACTTTGTATGCAGTGTTCATTATGCACTTTAAAAATAAATGTTTTGTTTCAGGGCATGGTGCTTTCACACATAAAACCTTAGAATAATTTTAAATTCCATTCCACTTTCACCATTCCTGAACTGCTTTGAATATATTGGATGTTGGAAGCCATGAGAGGCTTGCAATCCTGTCAAGATAATAGGATTTTCCATTTATAGTGTAATCTGACTTGCAATCCCGTCAAGATAATAGGATTTTCCATTTATAGTGTAATCTGATATATATTCGTTTTGGTTTCATACTTTAAAAAAATCTATTCTCTTTTACTCTGTGGTGATCTTTGCTTTTCTATTTGTTCATTGCTAGAATGTCAGCTGCTGTTTCCCTAGCACCTGAGATGTCATTCAACATTGTATAGCACTGGTGTTGAGAAGTGAGAGAATCTACTAAATAATAGCACTTTTCGAGACTGCAGTTCTGAATTAAAGGAAGGGAAAGGACAGGCAAAACAATATAGACATCAGTTATTTTTACTGAAGATCTGTTGGAGAACATGGTTTTGTTGTCCAGGAACTTAAGACCTAATAATGCATTCCTAATACTTCACTAAGTTGTGTCTAAATAGCCATGAAAGGGCTAGGAAGTCACAAGTCGGCCTCTTAATTTTTACGGGTGTCCTTAAAATATTAAGGTAATATTGAGGATGCAGAATGGTTCCTTCCTCTTGACTTTTTAAGAGATCTGGGCTGGGCACGGTGGCTCACGCCTGTAATCCCAACACTTTGAGAGGCGGAGGCTGGCGGATCACCTGAGGTCAGGAGTTTTAGACCAGCGCGACCAAAATGGAGAAACCACGTCTAGTACAAAATTAGCCGAGCACGATGGCGCAAGCCTGTCATCCCAGCTACTCAGGAGGCTGAGGCTGGAGAATTGCTTGAACCCGGGAGGTGGAGGTTGCGGTGAGCCGAGATCGCGCCACTGCACTCCAGCCTGGGCAACAAGAGTGATACTCCGCCAAAAAAAAAAAAAAAAAAAAAAATAGAGAGAGACATCTGGAGGGAGATACTAAGCTGTGCAGGCTGTCATCTTGAAGTCACCAAATACATAAGTTGTTATTTCTGCTCTGGTGAAAAGTTTGTCAATACATTTTTTTCCATGAATTAATGAAAATTTTAGACCCATAACATAAGTTTATAAGTTTCTCCTAAAGATTGCTTGTGTATGTATGTGTTTTAAAATATATTTAATCTCTACATCTTGAAATAGTTTTTATAGATTCCACACAAGAGTCCTTTATGAAATAAGTATGCTTTAACTTTCTTATAATATTTGTCCTTTTTTTGTCCCTGGCACAGTCTGTATATGACCAGTTAAATGACTTTTCGTTCATGTTTGGGTTATAATTACACACAAATATTCTCTAAAGCCCAAATCTTATTTTGATATTCGAGGAAGAGTTTACTTGGTAATAATATTAAGGGTTACAGCTGGTTTCACTGAAGCTTTGTCGGCATTCTCTAATATCTTATTTTTTTGAAGGAATAGCTGTTCTGCTTGAATTATAGACTACATAATACATGTACTGTCAGGTACATTCATGGAAGGGACAGGCAGATGGAGTCATATGTTACTGGAATCTTGATGAACAGATGTAGAAAATAGTCCAAGGAATAAGAAAAAAGTTGATATTGAAAAGTGTTTGTTGAAGTCTGTAAATGTGCATTAAATGTGGCAGTAAAAATAGACACAATGATGTTTGGGACCTGGGGTCTAAATACTGGAGTCCCCAGAATCATAGAGAACGTTGGTTAGGGGAGTAATTTTGTCAAAAAGCAAGAAGAGGCAGCGACAGGCAGAATATAATTAAAAGTATTGCTGGGTCATTTTCTAATTTTGTAATTTTGTCATATTTTTCAAACTCTGTTGATCATTT
The DNA here is from genome assembly GCF_000001405.40 of Homo sapiens. Taxonomy (NCBI): domain Eukaryota; kingdom Metazoa; phylum Chordata; class Mammalia; order Primates; family Hominidae; genus Homo; species Homo sapiens. The sequence continues at coordinate 854,901 of NW_018654717.1, forward strand.
ATTAAATTGGTAAATAAACTGTAATCAGCAGGGTTATTATGAGGGTTAAATAAGGAAATATATGTACATCTGTAAGCACAATGTCACAATTAATACAAAGTTACTCTTTTTATTTTTCCTGGACTTCATGTACAAATGGGTCAGTAAATTTTTTGTTTATGACACATAATTATCATTTGTACATAAAATATATTTAATTATTTTTATATTTTTAGCAGGGAAATAATACATGCATGTTTCCCCCTGTCTCAAACACATACATTCATATAAACATATGCACCTATATATCTACATATCTATGTACGAATGTATACATGGACATCGGTATTTCTCAGCAAATATGTATCATGATAATCAGAGATATTGCAACTAACAAAGACTAATATAAACCATGATTGCAAGAATTTTAGATACCACGTTAGTAAAATATCAGATTGAGCTGCTAAATTTCTCCCTCTCCTAAGTCATTTTGTATTTTCTGAGCATCCTAGAGGATTGTGACTGTATACACAGGAGAGAAACACCATGACTCGGGGTACTCCTGCTAATTTCTGATGCAGGAGATTTTAAGGGCTATATTAGCAGGATGGGAGTGTTGACCCTCTAAGTGAAATAAATCCCTCAATTGATTATCCCCATCCTAAAACAGATTTTTTTTTTTGAGACAGAGTCTCGCTCTGTCACCCTCGCTGGAGTGCAGTGGTGGGATCTCGGCTCACTGTAATCTCTGCCTCCTGGGTTCAAGAGATTCTCCTGTTTCAGCCTCCTGAGTAGCTGGGATTACAGGCAAGCACCACCATACCCAGTTAATTTTTGTATTTTTACTACAGACGGGGTTTCACCATGTTGGCCAGGCTAGTCTCGAACCCTTGACCTCAGGTGATCCACGTGCCTTGGCCTCCCAAAGTGCTGGGATTACAGGCGTGAGCCACCACACTCCACCCTAAAACAGATTCTTACTTGATTATTTCCACGTTCCAAGGGGAAATACAAAAGTCAGAGTTGAGTGAAAATAAAAGTGGAGTAAGGCTTCAGAAGGCTGTGGTGGGTGTTGGAGAAACGTTGCTAGGGCATAAAGCTAGGATAATAAAATCTGAGAAATCCCAATGTTTATCTATAGGTGGAAATCATATTCCACATGTGGATGGAGTCAGGGATCCCTGTGTTTTAAAATCAGTGAGGGAATTGAATATCTGGACTTGTGCCAATTAACATACAAAACTCCGTGCTTTTGATGTTCTCATTCACAAGATATCTGTGTTCCTTGTTTATTAGCAACCATAGTCATAGGCTTCTTAATTTTGACCACGGGAAAAGAGGAGAGGCCTCTGCATGTTTGTGTCTGTTGGTTAGGCTGTGGTGCAGCTGGTGTCACACTTCAGTGAAAGTCTGGCTTTTCATCACAGATTGATCTGAAAATTGTGCACAAGACTGGTGTCTCACATGTTCTTTCTCCAACCTCAGCTTTTCTTAGTGCCTAAAGTGTCTGCAAGTGGAAATCCAGAGGAAGACAGAGAGAAACTGAGTTCCTGACAATGCATTCACTAGTGAGTAGGGGATGCCTCTTTCTACTGAAATTATACCCATATTGCTGGCAAATGGGCAGTTTTCTCCAATTTGCATGGGTGTTTCATTTTTATTCTTTTTTTGTTTGTTTGTTTTTATGATGTAAAATCCACCCTGCCTGGGTGTTCCAAATGCAATCAGGAGGCTTTCAGGTATCTGGCCCCCCATTAAGTTTTCTCAGGACTCTAGGTTGGGTATCGTGTGTCAAAGACTCCGAAATTATCAATATAATTTCTAATATTACACTACTTTATTCCAGCCCCTATTAAGGCTATTTACAAAAAAAGATATGAGAGGTTTCATTTATATATTTCTTTTTCTTCTATCCATCCTATAATCTCATAGGGAAATAATTGACCCATTAACTATACTGTTGCCTGAAATAGACTTAGGATTGTGATTAATGCAGGCGATAGAGATGAGTGAAGAGCAGAACATCACAGCCCAACAATGAGTCTGATGTTCTAGCAGCTGAGTTCAATAAATCCAGTGTGATAGGACTTGGACAAGAGCTGTGCAGTGTTGAGGGAAAAGAAGAGTTTGATAAAATGTATTTGAGCTTTTAAAAACTTTGTGAAAGGACAACTAAAGAAGTCATTATTATTCTTATCCCCATTCACTTTACCTTTTGGTAATTAACCTTTTTGCCTTCTGGTAAGTAAAAGTAACATATAAGAAATATAATTATTTAATTATGGTTGCACACTCAGAAGAAGGAATATAGTAGATAGAGTACAATTTAGGGTTCTGTGGAAATGCTTTATAAGGGCTGGTTAGAAAAAAAACAATGAAGAGGCTTTTTAAATCTTTGAACAAGTGTAGTGAGAAGGTAAATTTAAAAGAGAAACGATGATAACTGATGTTTGGATTGCCGAGAGAAAGTTGAGAACAGAAGGCTTCATATCACAGGAATCATCGGACTAAGATTTCCTCAGTATAGCAGCCTCAGCGGTCTTGTCTTGTGCTGCTAGACTGTCTTTAAGCCTTGTCATGAATACCTGAATTATATAACATTAGAGAGACTATATATATGAATTGAATCCTATATTCTGCATAAAGCTTGTTCAGTTCTGAAGAATGCTGGAGTCTGGGTCATTACTTTCTAACTTTTTAATGAATAAGGGACCAATGACTTATATTTAATAAATATTTGCTAGATAGGAAACACGTTTTCTATTAGTTCATTAGATTATTCAAAACACATCATAGGTCTTTTAACCATTTGATTGGTGAGAAACCTGTGGTTCATCTGGAGAAATAATTTATTTCATCAGAGTCATGCTTAAGAAGTAGTAAATCATGGTTATTTGCCTTGTGACAAATCTGTAATTTACTTGAAATTCATGGTAAATTTCATTTTATTTATGAATGTTCAAGTGAAAATTTTATAATCAGTTATGTAGAGGTGATTAACACATTACTGAAAAATATCTGGGTTATATTATGCCACACCTCATGTGATATTTCTTTATAGTAAACTTTAATGGATTCAGAGTGGGTATATCTCTGTGAGTGAATCTGAAAGGCAGATACCAGCTTAGTACTGAGAATGAACTGGCTGGAACCCAAAACACTGAGTATTCTGCATACCCAGCTGCTAGCTATGTCATCTCAGCCTTCCTCTTCCGGACACTGAAAGGAATTTCTCTGTCTAAACTAAAATGTCTGTGATGTTTTAGAAGAAAGTGACTTTTGAAGATGTAGCTATTGACTTCACCCAGGAAGAGTGGGCCATGATGGACACATCCAAGAGAAAGCTGTACAGAGATGTGATGCTGGAAAATATCAGTCACCTGGTGTCCCTCAGTGAGTCCCTCAACATTCATGTACATATGTAGAGACACATTCACTCATTCATTCAATAAGTGTTAAAACAGCTTCCCCATATCTCACTCTAATCTCTTCTCTGATTCTCTCACAGATCTCATCTGAAAAAGGTTTGAACTCTCTAAATCTATCTGAAATAAATATCTTTCTTTTTATTTTATTTTATTTAGTTTGTCACTCAATTAGAATGTAGTCTTGACAAGGATTTCATGGTTTCTTTGGTACTCAGTCTCTAATACTCATAACAGACCTGGGAACTTAATGAATATTTTCAGTGTATTAAATTAAATATTTTCTAAATAACTCTTCTGCTTTAGTCTATGATTAGGCTGAGACCAATTAGGGAAAACAATAGCAATATCTTTTCCATATAGAACACCAATTATTTTTGTAAATCGAATGTTTTTTTTTGTTGTGCGTGAGAATAATAGTAAACACACTGTGCAGAGATATAATTACTCTCTTTCTGAAAAGATTGTGTATTATGCATTGCATCTTGGAACTTAGGCATGGACTCAGCATTCATAGGTCCTGACTGTTTTGAATTTCCTTTTCCTGATGGACCTTTGGTTTGGATTTATTTTCTAGTCTCATATTGGGTCAGAAAAATCCTGGGGAGTTTTCTGTGTTCTAGGTCTTGTGGCCTGAGCTGACCTTCACTGTTTTTATTCTTCCTTGATAGCCTGCCTTACACTTGGTGATAATGCACATTTATTGACAGTGAACTCAAAACACATGTATTCTTTCCACTAACAGGGTACCAGATAAGCAAAGCCTATATAATTTTGCAGCTGGAGCAAGGAAAAGAGCTGTGGCGGGAAGGAAGAGTATTTCTTCAAGACCAGAATCCAAGTAAGCAACAGGGTCCTGTGCTCTAATAGGAGGAGGTGCTTTGTCAATGAATAATATCAGTTGAATATTAATTAGTGGTTTTATTAAATGAGTGATAATTTCTAAAATGTAGGTTAGGCTACTGGAGCAGAATTCCTTAGTTGTTATTATCATTTTGTTCATGTGTCAGATGCTACTCTTGTGTCCTCTTTTTTTTCTTTTCTTTCACTTTTGGGAAAAGGATAATTCATGTACTTGGCTGGGGTTAAACTTTCATATGCTGACTCTTTTCCTGATACCCCTGTGAAGACTATCCCTCTTTTTACCTGCCTGATATCTCATCTCCATTTTAACTCTTTTCACATTTTAATTTTAAAAATATTTTCTAATTGCTGACACTGTACAATCTATTTCTTCTATTCAAGTAGTTTCTTCATTTGACACACTTGCCACATCTACGTGTCAATTTTTGAAAAAAGTACGTGGGCCTTGGGGCTTTTCAAACAATTTTATTACCATAATACCAATGTAACAATTTATTTTTCAATTATTTCAGACAGGGAAAGTGCCCTTAAGAAAACACACATGATATCCATGCATCCTATCACCAGAAAAGACGCATCCACCAGTATGACAATGGTAAGTTTTATAGCTGTGTACACCAGTCATCTAAGTTAAAGACATGTTAATGGGTTAAGTTAGTAATGAAGCACAATCACCTGAGTGTAATTAAGCTGGCATTAAGTGTTTTCTAAGCAAAAAAAAAAATTGGATACTTTGAATTTAGTGAATACATTGACCTGTGTTCTAAACCATAACATGAGATCTCTAAAATAGAACAAGTGCATATACATTGCTCATGCCCAGTCATCGAAAGATATTGATATCAACACAATTATGCAATAACGCTGCAGTTGAGATGTTACAGAAGAGAACATATCTGTGTCTGCAGGAGATAATGTGTATGCAATTGTCAATCGAGAAAAATGACAAGACAAGTCTCAATCATTTTAGGAGATTTATTTGCCAAAGTTAAGGACATGCACCCAGGGGACAGGTGTATGCCTTTCTCCAAAGATGATTTTGAAGGTTCCAAATTTAAAGGGGAAAGGGTGGGATATTGAGAAGTACACAATTTTCATGTAAAAGGTGGGTAGAAAAAATAGTCATTCATGCATTTTTCTGGCTCAGTGAATCTGGATTTTTTTACATAAGATGACATAAACAAATGAGGCAGAGGAATAATGCAGGAAAGCTGCATTTTACATAAGACAACATAGGCAAAATGGGGCAGGGAGACAATCAATATGCATTTGTGTCTGGTGAACTGGGGATGACTGCACTTGTAAAGAAAAGTTATCAGTTTGCATTGCCATGGTGCAATTTTAACAGCTCATGAGGAATTTCCTCATGGGCAAAATATGGGGGAGGCGTGTAGCTTTTCATCTTGTAGCCATATTATTTAGGAACCAGAAGGGGGAGGCAGGTTTGTGTGACCCAGTTCCCAGCTTGATTTTTCCCTTTGGTTAAATGAGTTTGGGGTCCCAAAATTTAATTTCCTTTCACACAAGAAACATTGGAAAGCTTTCAACTGGGGTCTACCACTGAATGGTTGGTCTAGGATTCAAAGGTAGTGAAATGAATGTATAGATATATGTGGGTAAACCATTAAGAGCTTTTAATATTTGCCCCAAAGGAGAACTCTCTCATTCTGGAGGATCCTTTTGAATGTAATGATTCGGGAGAAGATTGCACTCGCAGTTCCACAATAACTCAGTGTTTGTTAACTCATAGTGGAAAGAAACCCTATGTCAGCAAACAGTGTGGAAAATCCCTTCGTAATCTTTTGTCCACTGAACCACATAAACAAATTCATACTAAAGGTAAATCATATCAGTGTAATCTATGTGAAAAGGCCTATACTAATTGCTTTCACCTTAGACGGCACAAGATGACTCACACTGGAGAGAGGCCATATGCATGTCATCTATGTAGAAAAGCCTTCACTCAGTGTTCTCACCTTAGAAGACACGAGAAAACTCACACGGGACAGAGACCATATAAGTGTCATCAATATGGGAAAGCCTTTATTCAATCCTTTAACCTTCAAAGACATGAGAGAACTCACCTTGGAAAAAAGTGTTATGAATGTGATAAAAGTGGGAAAGCCTTTAGTCAAAGCTCTGGCTTTAGAGGAAACAAAATAATTCACACTGGAGAGAAACCACATGCTTGTCTTCTATGTGGGAAGGCCTTCAGTCTGTCTTCCAACCTTAGATGACATGAGAGAACACGCACTGGAGAAAAGCCATATGAATGCCATTTATGTGGGAAAGCCTTCAGACAATGTACTAATCTTAAAGAGCATCAGAAAATTCACCCTGGAGAGAAAATTATAAACTTCTTCAGAACATATTCTGACTTTAGATGACACGGTGTTAGGAATGACGAAGGTAAGGAATGTGGAAGAGACTTCAGCTGTAGTTGTAGCATCTAAACATGCCAAAGGACTCACATTTTGAAGAAATACTGTAATCAACATGGAAGATACTTCAGTTACCTTTATTCTTCAGTCCACATCAATAAATTCATATGGAAGAGAAATTGTATGACATGTATGTACCAAAGACTTGTTAGTGATCTGAGCATAAGTGACATGAGAGAGCTGAAACTGTCAATATAATCAACTAAAAGTCTTCAGCAACAGCTATAACTTAAAACATGTGGGACTTTCAGGTAGAGAATCTCTAACTCTGCATTCAGTGTGAAAATGTTTTTATTTGCAATTTATTGTCAAATAACATGAGAAAACTTTACTTGGATGAACCCTTTATTTGTATTTTCTGTGAATGAACATTCAGCCAAGCACCAGGCTTGATGTTCACAAGAGAAGAGTGACAAAATGCTGCTAAAATGGAAAATAAGAGAGGAAAGCCTTCATGAGCTAAATAAGAAGGGAAAATCTTTCCAAGGGCAATGAATTCTCTTGGAATACCAAATACTTCTTACTGGAGAAGTTATGCAATGAAAAATCATGAGAAATCCTTTCTTCATAGAGCAACACATGTGGCACATGTGAGATTTCTCACTGGACAAAACATGGTTAGCATCTTGAAAGGAGAAAATTCTTTAGTGGTAATTCATTTCTTAGTTGACATTGAGTTTCTCACATTGAGGAGCTATCAAACTTGAAAATCACTGTGGAGAAACCTGATAGATTTCTCATCAGAAAAGTGAGTCAAGAAGTTGGACCCCTAGAAAAAACTCTTAACACATACTTTAGCAAAATAATTCAGAAATTTGAGAAAATATCTATTCATAAAAATGTGGCATGTAAATGCATAATAGCAAAGTGACCAGGGAATAAATTGCGTGCAGAATTATATAAGAAATCTCATTAAACTTTTCCAAAAGATCAATACTTACAAATATTGAAAGAATACAATCTGTTGTTGAAAAAACTTAGTATGTTGGCAAAGCCCTTGTTTCATTTATGCGGCCCTAACAAATGGATTTGCACCTGCACTCCTTGGGTGAGATTCTTGGTCGAGATTCTACCCCAACTTCTGAGTCTCCCCAGTCTTCAACAGCTCTTTCCTCACAGCTCACCTCCCTTTACTTCAACGTCCACTAAAACCACTTGTTTCCATCCAACCCTCGAGTTGACACACCAGGGATCTTCAGCCCCACTTGCTAGATTTCTCAGTGTGTCATTGCATAGATTTAGCAGGGAAATGGAGGCTGTATCAAAGACACCTTGTATATGCATTTGGGTGTCCGCAGCCCTTTCCTCTGTCTCTAAGCAGTTAACTGGGATCAGAGAATAAGGCAGCTCTTCTCTTTTATCCCTCAGAAGACTCTTGAAATTTTGTCCCTGGAGCCTCTCTAACTGGAAGTAGCAGTTCATCTCATAACACCCCACATTTTATTCTGGTAAGTCCTGAGTTATTACACAGAGACAGACACAGCTGTGCTCCTTTTACTGCAGTCCAGAAGATAAAACACCAGCATGATAAAACAGCCGAACCTGTCAGCCACCTTGCAAGCCTTTCCTATATTTGATTCAATGTACTTTTCCTGAAGCAAAATGAAAGTTCTCACAGAGGGGCCCTCCTCTGCCTTGTCCTCAGAATTGGAAAATGTATTGTCCATGAAGGAGCCTCACCACTGAACCTAAAACTCAAGAGAAAATGTTTCCTGAATATTAAGTGGGATGACTTGAAATTTTGCCAAACAGGCACAATCTTAATACGATCGGCCTTACTAAGGCTAAATGGCCTTATCCATGGTTGAAGTTGACACATCATTATATTTTAAAATCTCTACAAGTGATTGATTTTACTCTGCAGCCAGGGTTTATGTCAAGTGTGAGGATAATGAGCAAGAAATTCAAGCCCTTGGCAAACTGGTTGGAGAGGCAAGGACTGTGTCCAGGCAGAGCTCATATCATTATTTATTGTTTAATCTATTTAATTAAATATGTAATTTACCCACAAACTGTGACTGACATTATATGTACTCCTGAACCACATTAAGATGTACTATTTGTGCTGTGAAATTCTATGGGATTTGACAAATGCATGGTGGCAGATCTCCAGCCATTATTAAAGCGTAACACAGAATGCTTCTCTTATTCAAGCTCGTCTTCCCTCCACATAGAGGGAATCAATCGGCTTTTGTATACTGATTTTTGAATTTGCTTCTTTATTTCCATCTTCTTTAATTAAAGCACAAGGTATCATACTCAATTTCCATTTGATCTTCCAAAAGAAAAGTACTGAATAATCTACACCTGAATTTCAGTGATTCAGACTCAGGTCCACCGCTAAGGCCAAACGTCCTGTGCTGCCACCTCATGGCCGACAGAGGGCAATGAAACCCATCTTTCCGGCCATGCAGGGCGCATGCGCGGTCTGCCTCCCGCGGCGGGCCGGGTCTCCAGGGAGGACCTGAGTTTTCTTCACCCATGGTCAGGGAAGCGCCATCGCCCTGGCTTTGAGGCTGGGGCCTCCGGGGAGGTTCCGGTAGGGGCTTTGAAGAGGCCGCTGTTTTTGCAAGGCCGAGACGGCGGGCCCTGCGCAGGCCGCCCTATTCCGCGCCCTCAGGGCGTCAGTATCCGCCTGAGGCCGGATACCCCCTCTGGGCCCGGATGCCCCCGCTGGCCCCGGAGCATCCTCGGCGCTGCCCTCCCAGAGCCCCGCAGAGGCTGAGGTGGCGCGGGGGCGGCCCCGGCTCCGCGAGAAGCGGCGGCAGCGAGGGCTGGAGGACCCGGGCTACGGGGCTCCGGGGCGTCTGGCCTGGTTGGGACTGAGCCCATCCAGGGACTGGGACTCTGGGATTCTGGTGTAGGTGGATCCGGGGCAGGCTCAGGACCAAGTCCCTCTCCTTCCACCAAGGAGCGCCCAGAGGCCGGCGGGAGCTCCAGGTTCACCTCCTCCTCCTCCAGGTGTTTACTTTTCCTTTATTTCTGTGAGGCCAGAAATTGCCGCCATCCTTCACATCGGTGAATCGGGACCCTAACACTCATTACCTCAGGTTTATTGTTATTGCCATTAACAGTGTTGGTGGCATTATCACTAAGATCATCATTGTTGTTATTATTGTCATTCATGATTATTAGCAGATGTGTTCATCATTTTGTCTCACTATGCATATATATATATATTTGGGATTGGTTTTGTATGACGTTGAATTGAGCTTCTTTAATCTTGACCAGTGTTGTCAGATTTCTGAAGAGCATTCCGGAGGACATCTCCTGCCTTTCAGCGCAGCCACAGAATTTCGTGGGCACGGGAGAGCACCTAGAATATTCCCCTTTCATTGCACAGCAGCTTTGGGAAATAGTGGCTTCCTGGCTCTGAGATGAGGTAGAAAAGACTGGATACTGGGGCAAGTGTTAGCACCTCCACTGGTGTTTTTATGAAGCTAAGAGCACTGTCTCCCAAGTAGACTTAGAATAAAATCTGATGGCTCTAAAGGGCTATGGCTGCCCTTCCTGGGACTTCCTGGGAACCTTTAAACCTTCTGTGGTTCCTGGAGTAGGTAGGTTGCCAAGTCTGTGCCTCATATGGTAGCACCAGTCTTTTCTGGGCCAACAAGGGCACTTAGAATGTTTCCAGAAGCTCAGGCATGCCGTCTCTGTTCCTCCCTTCTGTTCAATGGCAATTCCCTGGGTCCCTGGCTGTCATAGAACGTCCTGCAGAAGGTTGGGCTTGGGTGACTTCCTGGCCAGCCTTCTCAGGCAGTCATCTTTGAAAACCTTGAAGAGACTCACAGAGGCCATTCACTGGTATTTCATGACTGCAAGTGGGGTTTCTGGATCCTTGAGTTTACTTGGAATATTTGAATGGCTCTGAATGGCCAAGAAACCCTCCCTGGTCTTAGAAGCTGCCAAAAGCTATTACTGGGCCTCTGAAGAGACTTTAAAATTTTTCCAAGTACATTTGGGCATAGGAAACTTTTCCAGGTCTAGCTGAGCCAGCTCAGGTCGAGTCCTGAAAAACTGGTGGGTACTGGGGGATCTCATCTTATGAAAGAGCAATTGGTGGCAAAGCTGGGTCTCCAGGACAGCTGTGTGTGTATATGTCTGTAGAACATGCCTTGTAGTCATCTTTGGTAACTGAACACCATTTGTGAATGGATAAACTATATTCATTGCTGTACAATAATGAAAAATCCATATTAACAATGGCAGTAATAAAAATATTGATGGATATTAACAGGAATAATGATCATCATGATACTAGTACTAATGGTTTTAATAGTGATAATAATACTAACCCTATGGACTTGGGACATATAAGTTTTCCATAAGTGGATAATAGGCATAAATATTTGGCTGTGTACGGTTATTTCAAGTCCCAAAAAGCAAGGATGAACATCTAGAACGAGAAGAAAAACAATCTGGAGGTTAGTATGTGCACACCTGGGGACTCCTGTGTTAACTTCTGGTGTTTCAGCCTAAGAGAGAATGTTAATATAACCCTGGTCCTGGAACACCATGCTGACCAACACCTATCAGCTTTCAGGAGATAAGACAGCTGGCTGATGGGGCAGGGATCCAGAGAAGGCACGGGTCCACACCTGCATATGTTGCCCAGTGGCACAGTTCATGACAAGCAATAAGCCCCAGGACAATGTCATTCCCAGCAACCTGGCTGTCATCTGCTCTTTCATGGCCCCTCTCTACTGGTACCCCTAGACATTGGCATGTCCTCCAGAGGCTGTAGGAGGGCATGATACTCAGTACTCTCCCACGTGCAGGAGGCAAGAAAGATGGAAACAGCTAAATACCATGGCTTCTGGATTTTTTTTGGTGGGCATGGCATATTTTGCATTTGCTTTAATAATGTTGGAACCCAGTCAGTGGCTTGCAATACAGATCTAGATGACTCTGGACACCTGTAGAGATTTTGACAATTTCCAGAAGGTCACAAGTTCTTGGAGGACTTTTTCATGAGTTCTTTGACTGAAAAGGTGGTTCAAAGAGCTTCTATACCGACTTAGAAAATGTTGCAGAGGCCAGGTGCGGCGCCTTATGCCTGTAATCCCAGAACTTTGGGAGGCCAACGCAGGTGGATCATGAGGTCAGGAGTTTGAGACCAGTCTGACTAACATGGTGAAACCGCCTCTCTACTAAAAATACAAAAATTAGCTGGGTGTGGTGACACGCACCTGTAATCCCAGCTACTCAGGAGGCTGAGGCAGGAGAATCGCTTGAACCTGGGAGTCGGAGGTTGCAGCGAGCCAAGATCGCGACACTGGACTCCAGCCTGAGCGACGGAGCGAGACTCTATCTCAAAAAATAAATAAATAAATAAATAAAAAGGAAAAAAAAGAAAATGTTGCAGACACTCTGGTGAACAGGTAGGCCCTCTCCTGCCACTCCAGATAAAAGTTTCTTGGCCACAAACCTGATTTAGCAATATCCCTTCATCTTAGGTGGGTAACAGAAAGCCATTCATGACCTATCCAAGCATGGAGAGGGGATTTGACTTAGAAAACTGTTAGGTGGACTAGTTGGTGAAAGAAAGTGCATTCTAGGGCTCACAGGCCTACACATAGAGTTGCTATCACATAAAGCATATGTACGAATTCTTTCTGAGACCATGGCAAGATGAGGGTGCACTTCATCAGTCTCCTATGCTGGTATGAATAGGTACTTGCCTGAAAAATAAAAGAATAATTCAGGAAGCCCATTCTTCTACAGGACACCAAGCAGTACAGTAGGATTCCTGGGGTTGCTGTGGTATTTATGTTTTAAGGTTGTCTTTTAATCATCTTCAGCAAATTCAACAGTCTTCAGGAACATAAAACAATTATTCAACATTGCATAAAAACGACCACAAATATATCCATGATAAAGAACTGTATCAATATAATAATAACATTAATAACAATCATAATGGTGATGATATAAATGTCAATTTAATGAAGAGAGTAATAGAAAAGCAGATATTTAAGAACATATTCCTGTAAGCCTGTGACAATGTTCCCATACGAACCCTCATGTTATTGATTAGATGGAGAAGCTTAGGGCTACACCTTGAAATATCTTCTGTGATGGCAAAGAAGAGTGGCAGTAGGGAGAATAATTCTGAGCCACATGAGAGCATGGGCAAAAGTGGAGATACCTGTGCCATGTGGAAATGCATTACAAATGGACTATGGCAAAGGGTCTGGCCAGAGTCTTGCCTGACACAGGTCGTACAAAAGCCTTCAGTAGTTCACCCCAAGAAATAGCTGGTCCAGGCTGTAGATGAGAGACACTGGGCAGACAGATACACACACGCCTCCTGAGTCTCAGAAGTCTGGTGTGCATCGAACATTAAGCCCCTAGCCTACTGAGACTTCACCTCCCAGCTGCTCTTCTACCATCTGATTCTTGAGCCCCATCACGTTAGTGTCATCTCCATACTGGAATTGCCAACAATGTCTGATGGAGGGTTTCACCCAGGATACTTGGTACCGGCAGTGTATGAAATACCAGAAGGGAGGCTCCAGGGCTTCCATAGAAGACACATTCAAAAGTTACTCAGGTGATCAAATGGTCATCTCAGAGATTTTCAGTAGAACTGCAGCATTTTGTCAATACCTGAGTGAATGCAGAAACTATCCAGAGGCACGGGCATTCTAGGAAGCTCCCTATGTAAATCAAATACAAGGAATATCTACTTCTGGGCTCAAAAGCTAACTTAGAGAAAAAAAAAAGTGAGATGCTGGCAGAAGGCAAATAACTCCACTTCAGTTCCCAAGAGAAAAATGGTTCTGTAATCTCTGAGTTTATTTGGAAAAATTTTGGAGCCTCAGGAAGACCGAGTATATCATTCCTGATGTTTCCAGGACAGATTGGACTGCTTAGGCCTTTGGGAATATTCTAAGTCCTCTCAGGTTTCCATGGGAGACTGTAACTCTACTCCTAGAGCTCACACCACCCCCGAGCAAGCTCATTGTTTTCTAAATATTCCAAGAAAGCCCATCCAGGGTATGCTTGTATTGGTGAGTTTCACTTTGGACTGGCAGGAGAAGACTGAGAATGATACATCCTGAGTTCACTTGGTAAAGGTAGGGGAGCCAAGAAGTCCAGATCTGGAGAGCACCTGAAACACCAGATGGCAGAAGGACAGTAAGGAGGTAAAGTCAGCTATGGAGTTGGAGCTTCATGTTTACTGCATGTAGGATTCTGAGTTCCAGGACTGATGGGCTGGTGGGGATCAGAGACGTGTCTTCCTTGCAGGGAGCCAGGCCAAACCAACCATCTGGTTGCACTACTGAAAGCTTTTGTGTGCCCAGTGGTGGGCAGGACACAAATCACAGTCCCTTCACCTCTGGCTGGTAGTTCTTGATGAGAGAGGTTTGCACACAAATGTTCATATTAGCCCATGGTCTCCTGCGGCTTGCTTTTCTTTCACCTCCTGTTTTTGATGTTTGCCATCATGGAACACATTTCATAGAGAAATTCTTTGACTCTGACTCCAAATTACACAAGGAGGACACAGTCTGTGAAGTTTTCATATATTTAGGGGAAGCTCCACATTAATTTTTGTATCCTTACATTTATATTGTCTCCAGTATTAAAATTCATACTATTTAGGTCATTGAGTTCATTATCATGATTATTAATTATTTTTCATATATCGTTTCTTTTTATTGATTAATTTTTGTGGCAGCTGTTATATAACAATCACTAGAGTTTCCCTATTCATGAAAGATGTCCAAGTTAATGGAGATCACTAGGAGTGTTACTTTACAGGTATGTAAATACAGATAATCTTGGCTGGACTGTGGCTATATTGTCTGGTGTCCCTTTGAGGGTGAAGCCTCTTGTATTATTCTAAGTGACCTCTGGAGAAAGCAACTGTCTCATAATTGCAGGGACGACTTGAGAAGGCATCCTGAGCCTATGCAGAAATGCAGAAACACTTCCATGATCTAAACAACCTATGTGAAGGCCTGAAAGCCAAAGCAAGATCCTCTTATTACAAAGCTGTCCAACAAAATTTTTCCAAGTAACACTGGAGGTCCATCAGTCACTCTTCCTGGTCTGGAAATGCCAGAAATGTCCTCCTTGGTCCTTCTGAGAGTCAAGATCTTTTCAAAATCACCTCAGGAGCCACAGAACCACTCCATCCTACCTGAAATTGCAGGATGACTCTTCTTTTGACCAGAATCTCAAAAATATATTCGTTGATAGTATTGATTCCTGGGAGCCGCCATTGCTTGCAAAAGATGTGCCAGAGACTAGACATTTTCTGTCTCCTCACTTGTCCAGGGAAGACTGAAGTTTTACTGAAACACAGCGATGGGAAGCTGACCCTCTGAGCAGCCTCAGGATTTTCTAAGTCTTCCAAGCAGAGTGGAAATACTGGTGAGGACCCATTGCACCCCCTGATGGTCTGGAATCACATAGGATGATGCTTTCAAACAACTCTAGGTGGAGATACATTTTCTGAGATATTCCAAGGAGGAGGGACACAATCGGACCAGATGTTAGAAGGACAGCTGAGCATTAAGTGCCCATGTAGTGTTTGCAGCTTAGTGTCCCATGCAGAAGGGGAACCTGGGCCCTGGTGTTAGAATTCAGTGTAATTCTGGGTTCCTGCTTTCCTTCCAGGAAATCTCACTTCCAACTGGATGTCTGGATGAACTACTGAAAGCTGCTGAGTGTCCTGCAGCAGGTGAGCTGTGGCCAGAGCCCAAGGATGAAGGGGGCTCCCTCACTCTGTGACTGTGAAGAGGAAGCCTGAGGTGTAGCAGGCCCAGGCCCCAGAAGTATGGAAAAAATGAGGTAGGGAGGGAGGGGACCTCAGGAGAAGACTGAGGTCTACAGAATCCCAGGGTCAAGGGGATGGTGCGGTGTGCTGGCACTATCCTTGATGTTTCAAGAGGGGTGAGAATCCATCTCCTGAGTAAAAGCTTCACATGGGGTGAGGAGGGGAGAATTGAACAGAGAGGAAGCAGGGAAGGCCAAGACAGCGACCAGCCTTACAGCAATTTTAACCAGAAATGGACACAGACCCTGGACCCCATCACAGGAGTGCAGGCCTAGGACTGTCTCCAGGTGATGCATAGCTCCCTTGTCAGGTTAGTGGGTGCAGGGATTGTGACGTCTGCAGGGGTGTGGAAGGCTGGGCAATGGGAGCAGCTTACTGGGCTGGACCAGAAATACTGAACTTCTTTTCCATCAGTGAAATCCGCTTCTAGGTCAGAAAAAACTGCGAGTTCTAGAGAGGCAGGGCCTAGGAGGAGGTCAGGTCCTGAGCCTTCCTGGTTTGACCCCTTCCCACCCCCTGTGTTTCTGGGTCTGTCCTCACTTCCACCCAGCGGATCCTGAGTCTCTTCCTTTGAGTCCCTGTGAGTGTGTTGTGTGCAGTGGGGCCGGGCTGCTTCATCCACTGCACGTTAAATGTTTCCAATACTTTCCGGCCAAAGCTTAGAGTTGTCAGACCACTGACTTTGAATGTTGGCCTGGTTCCTTGTGGAACAGAGTAATAGCTATTGAAGTTTAAAGTCACTTTCCTGTGTGGATGGTGAAGAGGCAGGCTGTTCAGGCATAGCTGTCCTCAGGCCTGGAGGGCTGTGGAGGTCACCGTGGGCGGTGGGTGGATCCGGAACCTCTGTGGCTCTAGACTTTCAACTATTTCATTTTTTCTTTTGTAGTTTTTGTTTGTTGCTTGCTTTTTTACAATGAGAACTAGAATGTAAGATGCTAAACTCAGCCTGTGGGGAACATGGATTTTCACAACAGCAACCACAGAACGTGGTTTCCATTTCTATTCCCTGTTCATGTGGGAGGCAGAGAAGGAAATCAGGTGCTCAGTTCCAGGGACATCACAGGACTAGGACATGTGCAGTGAGGGTGGAAGGCAGAGGCATTGCTTTAGGGCAATAAAATTATTGCATGCACACACATATGTATGTATATGGATGTATGTACACAAACATGCATATTTATAGATTCTGTTCTCCCTCTGTCTATATAATTTTTTTATTTCACACTTGATATGATTTCTAAATTTAAATACCTTTGAGACAAAGGTGAATTGTGAAGGGATTTAAAAATGTCAGTGAAAAATGGAATTAACAATAAAAATATAAATATAAACTTTATTTCTCAATATAAGCTTTACTGAGGTCCAGACACTCCATTAAAGGATGATCCCAGCCATTCAGTCCATTGCTAAACAACTGAGGGTAATGGGAATTTAACCGTGTCAATGCAGTCTTCTATTATTAACTAAAGAAAAATGGGTGCCCTTTACAGTTATACAGTTATTTTAAGGTTAGGGAAAAAAAGGTCAGAAGAAACCAAATCAGGACTGTAATGTTGATGCCTAATAATTTCCCATGAAAACTCTTGCAAAATTACCCATGTTTGATGAGAGGAAGGAACAGAAGTGTTGTTGTGGTGCAGAGGGACTCTCTAGTGAAGCTTTACAGGGCGCTTTTCTGCAAAAGTATTT
The DNA here is from genome assembly GCF_000001405.40 of Homo sapiens. Taxonomy (NCBI): domain Eukaryota; kingdom Metazoa; phylum Chordata; class Mammalia; order Primates; family Hominidae; genus Homo; species Homo sapiens. The sequence goes on from NW_018654717.1 coordinate 872,087, forward strand.
GCTAATTTTCTCTAAGAACTCTCCTAGTAAGCAGATGTTATCGTGCTTTGACCTTACAAAAAGTCAACAAGCAAAATACCTTGAGCATCCCCAAAACCTCCATGGCTTTTGCTTTTGAGAAGTTTGCTTTTGCTTTGACTGGACCACTTCTACCTCTTGGTAGCCATGGCTTGAATTGTGCTTTGTCTTCAGGATCTTATTGATAAAGCCAGTTTCACTCCCTGTTAAAATTCTTCAAAATAATGCTTCAGGATCTTGATTCTGCTTGCTCAAAATAGTTACTAATAGCTCTGCTTTTGTCCACTGCTGATCTAGGCACAAGGGTATTTGGGACTCATCAAATGTAAAGTTTCTCAACTTTCACGTTATAGTCAGTATTGTGTAAGCTGAACCAATTGAGATGTCTGTGATGTTGGCTACAGTATCTCTTGTTAATTGTCAATCCTCCTCAATGAGGGCATAGAAACGATTTTTTTTTCTCAAAAATTGGTATGGATGTCCCTCCTCTGTTGACTTCATCTTCAACATTGTATTATCGCTTCTTAGAATAAGGTATCCGTTTGTAAATGACTGATTCTTCAGGTCATTTTTCCCATAGACTTTTCATAAAGAATAATTTATTTCACCATTTTTTGTACCCCAGCTTCACCGTAAATTTGATGTTTGTTCTTGCTTCAGGTTTGACAGAATTCATGTTGCTGCCATAGAGGGGCTCTTTTCAAACTGATGTCTTAAATCTTGTTCAGATATGTTAAAACAGGGCCAGGCATGGTGGCTTATGCCTGTAATCCCTGCATTTTGGAAGGTTAGAAAAAATAAAGTTTTTTAAAATTTTATTTTATTTCATTTTAAGTTCTGGGATACATGTGCATGATGTGCAGGTTTGTTAATAAGTAAATGTGTGCCATGGTGGTTTCCTGTACCTATCAACCCATCACCTAGGTATTCAGCCCACATACATTAGCTATTCATCCTGATGCACTCCCTCCCCACTCACCCACAGACAGGATCCAGTGTGTGTTGTTCCCCTCCCTGTGTCTATGTTCTCTCATTTTTCATCTCCCACTTATTAAGTGAGAACATGTGTATTTGGTTTTCTGTTCCTGCATTAGTTTGCTGAGAATAATGACTTCCAGCTTCATCCATGTCCCTGCAAAGGACATGATCTCATTCCTTTTTATGGCTGCATAGTATTCCATGGTGTATATGTATCACAGTTTCTGTATCCAGTCTATCATTGATGGGCATTTGGGTTGATTCTATGTCTTTGCTTTCATGAATAGTGCTGCAATGAACATACCCATGCATGTATCTTTATAATACAAGAATTTATATTCCTTTGAGTATATATGCAGTAATGGGATTGCTGGGTCAAATGGTATTTCTGATTCTAGGTCTTTGAAAAATCACCACAGTCTTCCACAGTGGTTGAACTAACTTACATTCACACCAACAGTGTAAAAGTTTTCCTATTTCCCCACAGTCTCACCAGCATCTGTTGTTTTTTGACTTTTTAATAATCACCATTCTGACTGGCATGAGATGGTATCTCACTGCGGTTTTGATTTGTATTTCTCTAATGATCAGTAATGTTGGGCTTTTTTTTCATGTTTGTTGGCTGCATAAATGTCTTCTTTTGAGAAGTGTCTGTTCATGTCCTTTGCCCACTTTTGAAATTTTTACATTTTTATTTTTTAAGACAGAGTCTTGCTCTGTCACTCAGGGTGGAGTTCAGTGGCACAATCTCGGGTCACTGCAACTTCTGCCTCCCAGATTCAGGCGATTCTTCTCTCTCAGGCTCTTGAGTAGTTGGGATTACAGGTCCGCACCACTACATCCGGCTAATTTATTGTATTTTCAGTAGAGACGTGGTTTCACCAGCTTGGCCAGGCTGATCTTGAATTCCTGGCCTCAAGTTATCTGCCCACTTCACCCTCCCAAACTGCTGGGATTACAGGCATGAGCCACTGTACCCAGCTTTTGCCCACTTTTATATGGGGTTGGATTTTTTACAGTTTTGGGTTTTACATTTAAGTCTTAATCCATTTTCAGTTCATTTTTGTATAAGGTATAAGGAAGGGGTACAGTTTCAGTTTTCTGCCTATGTCTAGCCAGTTTTTCAAGCACCATTTATTATTAAATAGGGAATCCTTTCCCCATTGCTTGTTTTCATCAAAAATAAAATGGTTGTAGATGTGCAGTCTTATTTCTGATATATCTATTCCATTCCATTGGTCTATGTGTCTGTTTTGTACCACTACCATGCTGTTGGGTTACCGTAGCCTTGTAATATAGTTTGAAGTTAGGTAGCATGATGCCTCTAACTTTGTTATTTTACCTTAGGATTGTCCTGGGTATATGGGCTCTTTTTTCATTCCATATGAATTTTGAAGTAGTTTTTTCTAATTTTGTAAAGAATGTCCATGGTAGTTTATGGGAATAGCATTGAATCTATGAATTACTTTGGGAAGTATGGCATTTTCATGATATTGATTCTTCTTACCCATGAGCATGGAATGTTTTTCCATTTGTTTGTGTCCTCTCTTATTTCCTTGAGTAGTGGTTTGTAGTTCTCCTTGAAGAGGTCCTTCACTTGCCTTGTTAGCTGTATTCCTAGGTATTTTATACTCTGCAGCAAATGTAAATGGGAACTTATTTGTGATTTGGCTCTCTTCTTGTCTATTGTTGGTGTATAAGAATGCTTGTGATTTTTGCACACTGATTTTGTATCTTGAGAATTTACTGCAGTGGCTCATAAGCTTAAGAATCTTTTGGGCTGAGATGATGGGATTTTATAGATATAGGATCATGTCATCTGCAAACAAAGACAGTTCAACTTCCTCTTTTACTATTTGAATATGCTTTATTTCTTTCTCTTGGCTGATTGCCTCGGCCAGAACTTCCAGTACTATATGGAGTAGGAGTGGTGAGAGAGGGCATCCTTGCCTTGTGCCGAATTTCAAAAGGAATGCTTCCAGCTTTTACCTATTCAATATGATATTGGCTGTGGGTTTGTCAAAAATGACTCTTATTATTTTGAGATATGTTCCATCAATACCTAGTTTCCTGAGGTTTTTAACATAAAGGAATGTTGAATTTTATCAAAGATCTTTTCTGAGTATACTAAAATAATCATGGGGTTTTTGTCTTTAGTTCGGTTTACATGGTGAATTATATTTATTGATTTGTGTTTGTTGAACCAGCCTTGCACCAAAGGGAAGAAGCTGACTTGATCTTGGTGGATAAGGTTTTTGATATGTTGCTGGATTTGGTTTGCCACTATTATATCGAGAATTTTTGCATCAAAGTTTATCAGAAATATTAAACTAAAGTCTAGTAAACACATTGAAAATAATAACAGACTGATTAAAATACTAAATAATATGAATCCTAAGTGTTCTCACAACTGATTTATAGAGTAAAAGCATTGTTAAACCAAATGAGCTTGGCCAGAAACTGTATAGAGTCTGAGATGTTGTCTGAACTTCCAGTTACTCATTGTGAGGTGGAACTGCAGTAACTATATTTGGTGCAAAATTTCATGTTGATGGAAGCTGAGATGTCCTGCAGTCTCAGAGGGACAGAATTCTGGTGTATCTCCCTTTGGCCTATGAGGAATGAAGATTTAGGCCCTGAGGGTTTTGTCAAAATTTATAAGATGTAAGAAATGGGGACATCTTTAGGCCATGAGGCAAGGCCTAGAGGTGTAAAGAAAACAGCTTCTGACCCAGGGCTCATGAAGTCAGCATAGTGTCAGAGGCGATGGTGGAGTGAGCATAGTATGGTCTTTGGAACCATTCCTTCCCCATATTTCTTCATAGGCCAAGTATGCGCAACCAGGGGGCATCTCGGGCCTGATGAGCAGAGTCCTGGAGAGATAAAGCAATCCTGAGGAAGAGACTTGACAGGGAGGAAGGAGCCACCATTTTCACTGCTGAGAAAACTACTCCTCCCTAGTAAACCATAGGATTTTCCTTGGTCCAGTGAGAGTTTTCCTGAGTGAAGAGAAAAGAGAGAGAAAGGGACTGATGTGTTATCTGTTTCTACCACCTGAAGTGATTCTGAAACTTTGGGGGACAGGAGAATTATCTTCAGAATCATGAGCAATCCAGATGCCATGATTACACATGAGAGACTGGAAGTTCTTATCTCTGGGGGGTAGGCACTAGGCATTGATATTCGTTAAAGCTCATTCACTGATTACAAAGTGAGACAAATAAATACTCTGCTGCAAGATTTATTCATGACATATTATTTCACACACAATTCAATTGTCTTCAGCACAAAGAGCTCTTGGTTCCCTGCCTGCGGACACCCTGTAACTGGGTCTTCCAAATTCATTCTTCTGGATGTAAAAGAGGACATAGGCCTGTTGACTCAAAGGAGAAGTGATACCAGAGGCAGTGACCTCGGCATCATCCATTTTATACCACTGGCCTTTTTGAGCTTTGACACAAGAGAAGTAATGTCCGTTGTGACAACTCCACCCGGTGACGACGAGAACAGCATAGAGGACATAGAAAAGAGGTCCTGTGTTCTGCTGAGACATGTATGGCTGCATGTCAACGCACTCAGGATATTGCACATTCTTGGCAAGTCTGTTGCCTGTGACATCGGAGAATCTCTTCAAGACAAGGATGAGGACCTTGGCAGAAGTGTGTAAAGTTAACGTCTTGGTGGCAGGCGCCTTCTGGAGACAAAGACCACAATGATAGGCATTCTCTCCATTGAGTTCTTCGGGCTTCACCAACTGTTCCTAAGCTTGCTTGACACTCTGAGCTGCCTGGATATCCAGGGCGATATCCAGGTAAGGGTCGAAGGTGTCTGAAATGCCGTGGAAGTAGAGACACTTGATTTGAGATCTCTAGTACCCTCCAAATATTTGGTGGATGAGGGTGGTGTCCTTGCAGTGATGATCTAGCTGCTTGTGCCCGGGAAGGCATGCCTTTCTAATGGCATCCACAGTGAATATGAGAAATTCATGGGCATCTTCCTGCTTGCCTCTATGGAAGTCAGCAGCCAATGCCTGTGAGGGCTGGATGACATGGCCAGGACGGTGGAGGTGCCCGTGTGCTGTGAGCTTCCATAATACAGAGCATGCAGCACTTGGGACGATGACACATTTGAGAGAGCTCCCAGGACAGCATGTAGTTGGCAAGGGGCGGTGTGTATGTCAGGCACTGCAGGGAAGCATTCAAGTAGCAGGTATTTCCCATATTCTGGAGACCAGCTCCCACCGCAGCAGGTCTCCTGCTACTCGGAGGAAGCTTCTCCCTGGGAGCAAGCTGTCTTGTCACAGGAGCCAAATCGTCACAGAGGTCGACATGGGTCTCCGATGAGAGTGGTGACTTCTCAGGGAGAGAAGTCCGCTGGATTTCAGCAAAAGCTGCATCTGGCCGAGAAGATGTGAGTTTTGAAAAGTGGTTGAACTGCCACTCACCTCCCAAGTAGAGTGAGTCGTCGTCCATGTCGCCTGGAACAAGGATCACAAGGTTTTTCTGCTGGGACCGCAGGTTGCAGAAAGACGCTATCTCTTCCGAGAGAGTCTTCAAATAACGAGTTCTCTGGCCAAATCAGCCCTTACATAACTCACCCGCACCAAGAGCGAACACGCCACCCGCACATAAGGTGCGCGATAAACCAATCAAATATCAGCACTCAATTAAGGAATGAGTCACAGGGTGTGTCCCCTTGCATCGCTGGGAATTCAACAGACACAGCCCACATCATGACTTCTAAAACACCTGCATCAAATTACTCCTCAGGATGATAGGCACATATAATATGATTGTAACCGGGTTGGGACAGTGGCCACACAGTTGCCTTATTTTAGGTAAAAGAATGTCAGGGAAGAAATCTTTATCTATGAAACCGTGTGTGTGTCTCTCTCTCTCTGTGTGTGTGTGTGTGTGTGTGTTTGTGCTGGGATGTACTTCCGAGTATGTGCTTTTGGCAGATACCATCATCCTTTCAGCGATAGAAGGAGAAGTCTGAAGTGCGCTTTCTGACCTGAGAATAGGCAATGAAGTATAGTAATTAGCACAGCATATATTTTTCCTCAATAAAAAAGGAGAGATCCGTGGAATCAATCACACCTCCCAGCGATAACCTTTCCATAATCAGCTTAATGATTCTATATCCGAGTGAAATTACCTGCCAGTGGAGAAAAAGACAAGTCTTTACATTAAATGCTCTTGTGGAATCTAGATTGCTGAATAATAAAGCATTAAGTCGTAGAAACATGCACTGAAGTTTGAAGAGATACTCAGTGCACAAACTAGACTGTAAAAGACTTTGGGGAAATAATGGAATCACCGAGAGACTAACTGATGACATTCCGAAAATTTATATTTGCCAGAAAAGAGAGATGGTCAAGACATTGTATAGTGAGTGGTTTTGGACGTGCGACGGCAGTTTAAGAAAATATGAAACAAAAAACTTGAGAAATCAGAAGGTATCCCAACTATAACCTTTGTTTTACAAAAGAATTGATGAAAATAAAAACAACGTATCTCACAGCACGCGTGATAATATTTTCATACGTATGTGATAATGGAGCAACATTTGATAGAGATGAAATGAAAATTTCTAAATTTGACAAAAGCGAACAACAAAAATTACACCGTAGAAAAGCGTGGGTGACGGCAGTGACGCCCTGTCTCAAGAAGTAAACATCCGAGAGATTTAAAAGTGGGGAGTGAAACCAAGGATAGCATAACATTGTTAATACTGGCCCTTGTTTCAGTGGGAAAAGGCAAAAATAAGCCCTGTGTCTCCTAGATTCTCGCATGAATTGTTCAGGATATGAGATGTTGCCTCCATTTCCAGTTACGCATTGCATGGTGGAATTGCAGTTAGCACATTTGGTGCAAAAATTTTAGTGCTGACGAAAATGGACATGTTCCCTGAACTAAGAGGGACATAATTTGGGTGTGTCTCCAGGCTCTCTGGCTTACCAGGATTGAAGATCCAGGCTCTAGGGATTTTCCCAAAATGTCTTAGACAGTAAGCACTGGGGCAGAATTGAGGCCCGGCGCCAAGGTCTCGAGGTGTAAAGAAACAGCCGTGGCCTCAGGGCCCATGAAATTAGGATGATTTTAAGGAGGATGATGGAATGAGAGGACTGTGACCTTTGGCCCCGTTTCTTCTCCCTTGTCTTTTCATGGGCCAGGTGTGCTCCATCAGAAGGCTTTCTGTGCCTGATGTAAAGTGTCCTGGGTGAAGAAAGGGCACTGCTTAGAGAGGTGCTCCACAGGCAGGAAGGAGCCACCATTTTCAGGAGAATGATCCCCAGAAGCATGAGCAATCCAGATGCCGTGGCTTCACACAAGACGTTGGAGGGTCTTATTCCTGCAGCCGGGACCTGGGCATCGGTGCCCTTTAATGCTCATAACTAATTTTGAGGGGAGCCCAATCGATAACCTGTCTGCAAGTCATGCTCATCACACTGTAGTTTTCACACACGTCACACAGAGACCCTGTTCGTATGCACATTTGGGTGCTTGAGCAGGGTTGCGCCCAAGATTCTGTGGTTCTACGGAGCCCTGAGTTGTGACCTGGACAGCTTTCCTCAGGGGTTGGTCAACTTTGATCACTGCACCTAACAAGAAAGGGACCATGAAATCTAATCAGCAAATACAGAAAAGGAAGGGGCCATTTCCCACAATAATTTCCACAGAAACACCACGTCGGATAAATAAGTCTGATTGCAGGACAGGGACTGTGTTTCAGAGATGCAGCTTTCGCAGCTGGACGAATGACCCGGAATCTCCTCAAATGCCATTTGTAAACACACCAAATGAGGTTTATTTCAGGGCTTTCTGAATGTATTTTAGATGAATACACACACTCCAGTGTTTGATTTCCTTTAGTATCAATGAGACTTAGTTCCAAATGACTTCCGTGCCAGTGGGAAAATTTTCCGTTTCCACGCAATGGAAGTGGACAGCGTGAAACAGGTAAGTCGGTCTGTCTGTTTCCCGCATTATGTGGGTTCCAGCAAGAGCACAAGTCCCAGGGCACCTGAGGTCCATTCAGAAACCAAAATAAAATGGGCGAGCCAGGGTAAGAAAGAAGAGCACCGTTCCTATCTTCCAATTGAATTCCAGTATCCACTATTCAAGGTGGCAAGAATGATCCACGGATGTACCACATGAGCAAAATTTCACCTTCTCTTGACGACCAACAACTGACGAAAGAAACAAACCCCAAGAGGAAATAGTAAACCATGTCCCCTGCAATAACCTCACACGCAAACCTACAGGTCAATAGGTCACATTAAGAAATACACACTGAATGTCATCTACCATGAACACAAACACACAGACAGTCCCTCCAGAGGTTCGGAAGACTCACGACCCCAAAACATGATGTTTCCCATATGTGGGCTCATCCTGAGACGCAGCCATCACTATCCAATTGTCCCTGTTGTAGAGACAGAAACTGGGGCTCCTCATTACTTTATGTAGGATTGATGGTGTTCGTGTTTGTGTGGGTGTGTGTGTGTTTCCGTGCGCACTTGTGGGTGTATTTGTGTTTGTGTGTGTGTGTGTGTACCCCTCAGTGTGGGTCGGTACTTCCACTGTGATCACTGGCACACAAGCAGAGATCTCTTGCTGTGTTTGTTCTTCCCTTTGGATCTCCTGGTCCTCCCTTGCAGAGAAGCGAGTGTGCCAGTGTTCATGGACTCCTGATCTGTCAAGTTCGTCGAAGAGAGGTTTAGCAGGGAGCTTTGCTGTTCAGGATGGTGGTTTTTCATCCCACACTTGTATTTTGATTGATGAATCACAAGTACGTTGGGAGGCAGGGTACCTTCAACTTTTCTGACGTTGAACTCAGGCTTCATTTTGTTTTGCTCTTGGAGGAATTTCCAGTGGTCTAAGGTGCTTTCCTGAGTGGCTCTTTCCACCAAGTGCTCGTCCAACTCGGGTACCTGGAGGCAAGAGTGGTCTCTCTTGAGCTCTCCTTGCGTTGCTGGCCTGTCTGTGTCTTCAGCGCCAAGGGCTCTTGGTTCCCTGCCTCTTGACACACTCTCACTGTGTCTTTCCCATTCACTCTTCTGGATGTAAAAGAGGACATAGGCCTGTTGACTCAGGACAGAAGTGATGCTACAGGCAGTGACCTCGGCATCATCCATTTTATACCACTGGCCTTCTTGAGCTTTGACATAAGAGAAGTAATATCCATTGTGACAACTCCACCCAGCGTGGACCAGCACAGCATAGAGGACATAGACAAGAGGTCCTGTGTTCTGCTGAGACATGTATGGCTGCATGTCAAGGCACTCAGGATATTGCACATTCTTGGCAAGTTTGTTGCCTGTGACATCGGAGAATCTCTTCAATACAAGAATGAGGACCTTGGCAGAAGTGTGTAAAGTTAACGTGTTGGAGGCCGGCGCCCTCTGGAGACAAAGACCGCAATGATAGGCATTCTCTCCATTGAGTTCTTCGGGCTTCACCAACTGTTCCAAAGCTTGCTTGACACTCTGAGCTGCCTGGATATCCAGGGCGATGTCCAGGTAAGGGTCAAAAGTGTCTGAAATCCCGTGGCAGTGGAGACACTTGATTTGAGATCTCCAGCAGCCTCCAAATATTTGGTGGATGAGGGTGGTGTCCTTAGAGTGATGATCTACCTGCTTGTGGCCGGGAAGGCATGCCTTTTTCATGGCATCCACAGTGAACATGAGAAATTCATGGGCATCTTCCTGCTTGCCTCTATGGAAGCCAGCAGCCAATGCCTGTGAGGGCTGGATGACATGGCCAGGACTGTGGAGGGCCCATGTGATGTGAGCTTGCATAGTACAGAGCATGCAGCACTTGGGACGCTGACATGTTTGAGAGTGCTCCCGGGACAGCATGTAGTTGGCAAGGGGCGGTGTGTATGTCAGGCACTGCAGGGAAGCGTTCTCGTAGCAGGTATTTCCCATATTGTGGAGCCCAGCCCCCACCGCAGCAGGTGTCCTGCTACTCAGAGGAAGCTTCTCCCTGGGAGCGAGCTGTCTTGCCACAGGAGCCAAATCATCACAGAGGTCGACACGGGTCTCAGATGAGAGTGGTGACTTCTCAGGGAGAGAAGTCCGCTGGATTTCAGCAAAAGCTGCATCTGGCCGAGAAGATGTGAGTTTTGAAAAGTGGTTGAACTGCCACTCACCTCCCAAGTAGAGTGAGTCGTCCTCCATGTCGCCCGCAACAAGGATCACCAGGTTTTTCTGCTGGGACCGCAGGTTGCAGCAAGACGCTATCTCTTCCGAGAGAGTCTTCAAATGACGAGCTCTCTGGCCGCATCAGCCCTTATATAACTCACCCCCACCAACCGCGAACACCCCACCCACCCATCAGGTGCGCGATAAACCAATCAAATATCAGCACTCAATTAAGGAATGAGTCACAGGGTGTGTCCCCTTGCATCGCTGGGAATTCAACAGACACAGCCCACATCATGACTTCTAGAACACCTGAATCAAATTACTCCTCAGGGTGATAGGCACATATAATATGAGTGTAACCGGGTTGGGACAGTGGCCACACAGTTGCCTTATTTTAGGTAAAAGAATGTCAGGGAAGAAATCTTTATCTATGAAACCGTGTGTGTGTCTGTGTGTGTGTGTGTGTGTGTGTGTGTGTGTGCGCTTGTGCTGGGATGAACTTCCAAGTATGTACTTTTGGCAGCTATCATCATCCTCTCAGCGATGGAAGCACAAGAAGTCTGAAGTGCACTTTCTGACCTGAGAATAGTCAATGAAGTATAGTATTTAGCACAGCGTATATTTTTCCTTAATAATAAAGGAGAGATCCGTGGAATCCAACAGACCTTCCAGCGATGACCTTTCCACGTTCAGACTATTGATTCTCTATCCGAGTGAAATTACCGGCCAGTGGAGAACAAGAGAAGTCTTTGCATGAAATGCTCTTGTGGAAGCTAGGCTGCCAAATACTAAAGCATCAAGTGGTAGAAACATGCACTGAAGTTTGAAGAGATACTCATTGCACAAAGTAGACTGTGAAAGACTTTGGGGAAATCATGCAATCACCGAGAGACTAATTGATGACATTCCCCAAATTTATGTGTGCCAGAAAAGAGAGATGGTCCTGACATTGTATAGTGAGTGGTTTCGGACGTGCGGCGGCAGTTTAAGAAAACATGAAACAAAAACCTTGAGAAATCCAAAGGTATCCCAACTATAAGCTTTTGTTTATTAAAGAACTGATGAAAATCAAAACAACGTATCTCACAGCATGGGTGATACTATTTCCACACGTATGTGATAATGGCTCAACATTTCATAGAGATGAAATAAAAAGTTCTAATTTTGACAAAAGCAAACAAGGAAAATTATACCGTAGAAAAGCCCGGGTGACGGGAATGAGGCCCTGTCTCAAGAAGAAAACATCGGAGACGTTTAAAAGCAGGGAGTGAAACAGAAGATAGCATAACCTTTTTACTGCTGGCCCTTGTTTCACAGGGAAAAGGCAAAAATAAGCCGTGTGTCTCCTGGATTCTCGCATCGATTGTTCATGATCTGAGATGTTCCCTCCATTTCCAGTTATGCATTGTATGGTGGAATTGCAGTTAGCACATTTGGTGCAAAAATTGTAATGCTGACGAAAGTGGACATGTTCCCTGAACTAAGAGGGACAGCATTTGGGTGTGTCTTCAGGCTCTCTGGCTTACCAGGAATGAAGATCCTGGCTCTAGGGATTTTCCCAAAATGTCTTAGACAGTAAGGAACAGGGCAGAATTGAGGCCCGGCGCCAAGGCCTCGAGGTGTAAAGAAACAGCCCTGGCTTCAGGGCCCATGAAATTAGGATGATTTTAAGGAGGATGATGGAATGAGAGGACTGTGACCTTTGGCCCCGTTTCTTTCCCTTGTCTTTTCATGGGCCAGGTGTGGTCCATCAGAAGGCTTCGTGCGCCTGATGTAAAGTGTCCTGGGGGAAGAAAGGAACACTGCTTAGAAAGATGATCCACAGGGAGAAAGAAGCCACCATTTTCAGGAGAATGATCCCCAGAAGCATGAGCAACGCAGATGCCATGGCTTCACACAAGACGTCGGAGGGTCTTATTCCTGCAGCCGGGACCTGGGCATCGGTGTGCTTTCATGTTCCTAACTGATTTTGAGGGGAGCCCAATCGATAACCTGTCTGCGAGTCATGCTCATCACACTGTAGTTTTCACACACGTCACACGGAGACCCTGTTCGTATGCACATTTGGGTGCTTGAGCAGGGTTGCGTCCAAGATTCTGTGGTTCTACGGAGCCCTGAGTGGTGCCCTGGGCAGCTTTCCTCTGGGGTTGGTCAACTTTGATCACTGCACCTAACGAGAAAGGGACCATGAAATCTAATCAGCAAGTACAGACAAGGAAGGGGCCATTTCCCACAATCATTTCCACGGAAACACCACGTCGGATACGTAAGTCTGATTGAAGGACAGGGACTGTGCTTCAGAGATGCAGCTTTCGCAGCTGGACGAATGACCCGGAATCTCCCCAAATGCCATTTGTAAGCACACCAAATGAGATTTTTTTTCAGGGCTTTCTGAATTTATTTCAGTTGAATACACACACTCCTGTGTTTGATTTCCTTTATTATCAATAGGACTTAGTTCCAAATGACTGACACGCCAGTGGGAAAATTTTCCGTTTCGACTCATTGGAAGTGGACCCCGTGAAACAGGCAAGTCGGTCTGTCTGTTTCCGGCGTTATGTGGGTTCCAGCAAGAGCACAAGTCCCAGGGCGCCTGAGGTCCCTTCAGAAACCAATGTAAAAACGGCGAGCCAGGGTAAGAAAGAAGAGCACCGTTCCTATCTTCTAAATGCATTCCAGTTTCCACTATTCAAGGTGGCGAGAATGATCCATGGATGTGCCACATGAGCAAAATTTCACCTTCCCGTGCCGCCCAACAACTGACGAATGAAACACACCCCAAGAGAAAATAGGAAACCGAGTCCCCTGCAATAACCTCACACGCAAACCTACACGTCAGTAGGTCATATTCAGAAATACACAGTGAATGTCATCTACCATGAACACAAACACACAGACAATCCCTCCAGAGGTTCGGAAGACTCACGACCCCAAAACTTGATGTTTCCCATGTGTGGGCTCATCCTGAGATGCAGCCATCACTATCCAGTTGTCCCTGTTGTAGAGACAGAAACTTGGACTCCTCATTACTTTATGTAGGATTGACGGTGTTCGGGTTTGTTTGGGGGTGTGTGTGTGTGTGTTTGCGTGCGTGCTTGTGGGTGTATTTGTGTGTGTGTGTGTGTGTGCGTGCACCCCTACGTGTGGGTCGACACTTCCACTGAGATCACTGGCACACAAGCAGAGCCCTCTTGCTGTGTTTGTTCTTCCCTTTGGCTCTCCTGGTCCTCCCTTGCAGAGAAGCGAGTGTGCCAGTGTTCATGGACTCCTGATCTGTCCGGGTCGTCGAAGAGAGGTTTAGCAGGGAGCTTTGCTGTTCAGGATGATGGTTTTTCATCCCACACTTGTATTTTGATTGATGAATCACAAGTGCGTTGGGAGGCAGGGTACCTTCGACTTTTCCGACGTTGAACTCAGGCTTCGTTTTGTTTTGCTCTTGGAGGAATTTCCAGTGGTCTAAGGTGCTTTCCTGAGTGGCTCTTTCCACCAAGTGCTCGTCCAACTCGGGTGCCTGGAGGCAGGGGTGGTCTCTCTTGAGCTCTCCTTGCTTTGCTCGCCTGTCTGTGTCTTCAGCGCCGAGGGCTCTTGGTTCCCTGCCTCTTGACACACTCTCACTGTGTCTTTCCCATTCACTCTTCTGGATGTAAAAGAGGACATAGGCCTGTTGACTCAGGACAGAAGTGATGCTACAGACAGTGACCTCGGCATCATCCATTTTATACCACTGGCCTTCTTGAGCTTTGACATAAGAGAAGTAATGTCCGTCGTGACAACTCCACCCAGCGTGGACCAGCACAGCATAGAGGACATAGACAAGAGGTCCTGTGTTCTGCTGAGACATGTATGGCTGCATGTCAAGGCACTCAGGATATTGCACATTCTTGGCAAGTTTGTTGCCTGCGACATCGGAGAATCTCTTCAAGACAAGGATGAGGACCTTGGCAGAAGTGTGTAAAGTTAACGTGTTGGAGGCCGGCGCCCTCTGGAGACAAAGACCGCAATGATAGGCATTCTCTCCATTGAGTTCTTCGGGCTTCACCAACTGTTCCAAAGCTTGCTTGACACTCTGAGCTGCCTGGATATCCAGGGCGATGTCCAGGTAAGGGTCAAAAGTGTCTGAAATCCCGTGGCAGTGGAGACACTTGATTTGAGATCTCCAGCAGCCTCCAAATATTTGGTGGATGAGGGTGGTGTCCTTAGAGTGATGATCTACCTGCTTGTGGCCGGGAAGGCATGCCTTTTTCATGGCATCCACAGTGAACATGAGAAATTCATGGACATCTTCCTGCTTGCCTCTATGGAAGCCAGAAGCCAATGCCTGTGAGGGCTGGATGACATGGCCAGGACTGTGGAGGGCCCATGTGATGTGAGCTTGCATAGTACAGAGCATGCAGCACTTGGGACGCTGACATGTTTGAGAGTGCTCCCGGGACAGCATGTAGTTGGCAAGGGGCAGTGTGTATGTCAGGCACTGCAGGGAAGCGTTCTCGTAGCAGGTATTTCCCATATTCTGGAGCCCAGCCCCCACCGCAGCAGGTCTCCTGCTACTCAGAGGAAGCTTCTCCCTGGGAGCGAGCTGTCTTGCCACAGGAGCCAAATCATCACAGAGGTCGACACGGGTCTCAGATGAGAGTGGTGACTTCTCAGGGAGAGAAGTCCGCTGGATTTCAGCAAAAGCTGCATCTGGCTGAGAAGATGTGAGTTTTGAAAAGTGGTTGAACTGCCACTCACCTCCCAAGTAGAGTGAGTCGTCCCCCATGTCGCCCGCAACAAGGATCACAAGGTTTTTCTGCTGGGACCGCAGGTTGCAGCAAGACGCTATCTCTTCCGAGAGAGTCTTCAAATGACGAGCTCTCTGGCCGCATCATCCCTTATAGAACTCACCCCCACCAGCCGCGAACACCCCACCCACCCATCAGGTGCGCGATAAAACAATCAAATATCAGCACTCAATTAAGGAATGAGTCACAGGGTGTGTCCCCTTGCATCGCTGGGAATTCAACAGACACAGCCCACATCATGACTTCTAGAACACCTGAATCAAATTACTCCTCAGGGTGATAGGCACATATAATATGAGTGTAACCGGGTTTGGGCAGTGGCCACACAGTTGTCTTATTTTAGGTAAAAGAATGTCAGGGAAGAAATCTTCACCTATGAAACCCTGTGTGTGTCTGTGTGTGTGTGTGTGTGTGTGTGTGTGTGTATGTGTGTGTGTGCTCGTGCTGGGATGAACTTCCAAGTATGTACTTTTGGCAGCTATCATCATCCTCTCAGCGACAGAAGGACAAGAAATCGGAAGTGTGCTTTCTGACCTGAGATTAGTCAATGAAGTATGGTATTTAGCACAGCGTATTTTTTTCTTTAATAAGAAAGAAGAGATCCGTGGAATGAAACAGAGCTTCCAGCGATAACCTTTCTACGTTCAGCCTATTGATTCTCTGTGCGAATGAAATTACCTTCCAGTGGAGAACAAGAGAACTCTTTGCCTGACATGCTCTTGTGGAAGCTAGGTTGCCAAATAATAAAGCATCAAATGGTAGAAATATGCACTGAAGTTTGAAGAGATACTCATTGCACAAAGTAGACTGTGAAAGACTTTGGGGAAATCATGCAATCACCGAGAGACTAATTGATGACATTCCCCAAATTTATGTGTGCCAGAAAAGAGAGATGGTCCTGACATTGTATAGTGAGTGGTTTCGGACGTGCGGCGGCAGTTTAAGAAAACATGAAACAAAAACCTTGAGAAATCAGAAGGTATCCCAACTATAAGCTTTTGTTTATTAAAGAATTGACCAAAATAAAAACAACTTATCACACAGCATTGGTGATACTATTTCCATACGTATGTGATAATGGCTCAACATTTCATAGATATGAAATAAAATGTTCTAATTTTGACAAAAGCAAACAAGGAAAATTATACCTTAGAAAAGCCCAGGTGACAGTAGTGAGGCCCTTTCTCAAGAAGAATACATCGGAGACGTTTAAAAGCAGGCAGTGAAATAGAAGACAGCATAAAGTTTTTAATACTTGCCCTTGTTTCACAGGGAAAAGGCAAAAATAAGCCGTGTATCTCCTGGATTCTCTCATCGATTGTTCATGATCTGAGATGTTCCCTCCATTTCCAGTTATGCATTGTATGGTGGAATTGCAGTTAGCACATTTGGTGCAAAAATTGTAATGCTGGCGAAAGTAGACCTGTTCCCTGAACTAAGAGGGACAGAATTTGGGTGTGTCTTTCGGCTCTCTGGCTTACCAGGAATGAAGGTCCTGGCTCTAGTGATTTTCCCAAAATGTCTTAGACAGTAAGGAACAGGGCAGAATTGAGGCCCGGCGCCAAGGCCTCTAGGTGTAAAGAAACAGCCCTGTCTTCAGGGCTCATGAAATTAGGATGATTTTAAGGATGATGATGTAATGAGAGGACTGTGACCTTTGGCCCTTTTTCTTTCCCTTGTCTTTTCATGGGCCAGGTGTGCTCCATCAGAAGGCTTCCTGCACCTCATGTAAAGTGTCCTGGGGGAAGAAAGGGCACTGCTTAGAAAGATGCTCCACAGGGAGAAAGGAGCCACCATTTTCTGGAGAATGATCCCCAGAATCATGAGCAAGCCAGATGCGGTGGCTTCACACAGGTTGTTGGATGGTCTTATCTCTTTAAGCGGGACCTAGGAATTGGTTTTCTTTAATGCTCACAACTGATTTGAGGTGAGCCGAATTGATATTCTGTCTTCGTGTCATGCTCATTGCACTTTAGTTTCCACACATGTCACACAGAAACACGCTGAATAAGCACATTTTTGTTCTTGAGCAATATTTCACCCAAGATTCTGTGGTTCTACCGTGCCCTGAGTTCTGTCCTGGATATCTCTACTCTTGGGTAGGTCAACTTTGATCTCTGTACCTAATGAGAAATGGACTATGAAATCTAATCAGCAAATATACAAAAATAAGGGGCCATTCTCCACAATTGTTTCTCTCCGGTAGGTCGTGTTTGGTAACTGTATCTAACAAGAAATGAATATTTGACGATTCCTAATAAAAAAATTTCTTGTTTTTTTGCCATTTTAGTTAATTCTTTTAACGTTTAAATAGAGTTTAAAACCCGAAATTTGGCATGAAATCTAATCGTCAAATACACAAAAGGAAGGGGCCATTCTTCAAAATCTTTTCCTCTGAAAGACCACCTCTGATAAACAAGTCTCGTTTCATTACAGGGATCCTGCTTCCAAGATGCAACTTTCACAGCTTCATGATTGACCCAGAATCTCCTCCAATGCCATTTTTTTACCCGCAAAATGAGATTTATTTCAGGGCTTCCGGATTTTATTTTAGCTGAATACATCCACTCTCCTGTTTCAATTTCTTTCAAACGCCTTTAAATAATTATCTTGCTGCATCAGCCCTTATTTAACTACTGTCCACCCACCGAGACCATTACATTTATCCATCAATTACCCTATTTACTAATGAAATATCAGGATTCAATTAAGTTTTTTGTCTTAGGTTGTATCCTCTTGCATTCCTCAGAGAATTTAATGGACACTGCTTACATTGTGACTATGGAAGGGTTGAAGCAGATTTACTTGTCAGTATTATGAGCAAATATGTTAGGAGTGGAACCGGGTTAGGATAGTAGCTAAACATTTGCCTTATTTCATGTATAACAATGCTATTTAACAATTGTGTACATATTAAACAGTTTGTGTGTATGAGTGTATTTGTGTGTTTGTTTCTGGATGTGTGTGTATGCCTTGAGAAGTACTTCCAAGCATGTGCATCTGTGAGATAAGATCATTCTTTCAGTGACTAAATGCCAAGAAGTTATAACTACATTTTCTGACTTGAGAATTTGCAACAATGTGAGGTAATTAACACAGCATATTTTTTGTCTTAATTAAGATGAAGTGATCAATGGAGTCAAATAGACATTCCAGAGATAACCTTCCCATTTTTGGCCAGTTGATTCCATGTCATGTTGTAATGATCTGGCATTGGGGAGAAGACAAGTCTTTGCGTGAAATGTTCTTGTGGAAGCAAGATATGCAAATAATAAGGCATCAAATAGGACTATTCCCTTCAATAGTGAATGTCGAAACCTTCACTTAAGTTTGATGAAATTCTCAATGCCCAAAATACATTGTGAAACACTTTCAAGAAAACATGCTATAAACCAGAGACTAATTGATGACATACACCGAAGTTATGACTGCAAGAAAAGAGAAATATTCATGGCATTTTTAATCCAAGGGTTTCTTGTATATGACAGCATTTTTAAAAAAGTCAAAATCAGAAAAGATTCACAAATTGGAAGATATCTAAGCTAAATCTTTTGTTTCTTAAAGGAATGATGAAAATAATTGCAATGTAACACACGGCCTGTGTGATAATGTTTTAATACATATCTAAAAATGCCTTAAAATTCAATAGAAATAAAATAACAACTTCTAAAACTTGACAAAAGGAAACAACAAAAATTACACACTGGAAAATCCTGGCTGACTGGAGTGACATCCTGTCTCAAGAAGGAACAGACAAACACACAAACAAGCAAAGGATTCTAAAAGCAGGGAATCAAACAGATACTTGTACACTATTCTTCCTATTAGCAATCTTCATAGTAGGAAAAGGCAAAAACAACCCAAATGTGTGGCGAATTACTTCATCAGTTTTTTAGGATCTGAAATACTGCCTCAATTTTCAGTTACTCATTGTGGGGAGAACCTGCAGTTACCACATTTGTTCCAAAATTTTATGGTGATGAAGGTAAACCTGTCTGGCATTCTCAGAGGGACAGAATTCTGGTGTTTCTCCAGGTTCCTTGGCTTATCAGGAATGAAGATCCAAGCTGTATAGACGTTTTTCAAAAGTATGTACATACGTATGTATGTATGCATGTATGTATGTATGTATGTATTTCCTCTTTTTAAATTTAAAAAATACAGGATACATGCGCAGAACGAGCAGATTTGTTATATAGGTATCCTTTGCTATGGTGGTTCGTTGCACCTATTGACTTATCCTGTAAGTTTCCTTCCCTCACCCCCAGCCCCCAACGGGCTGTGTTGTGTGTTGTTCCTATCCAGTCTAGCACTGAAGGGCATTTGGGTTGGTTTCATGTCTTTCCTATTGTATATAGTGCTGCAGTAAACATACGTGTGCATGTGTCTTTATAGTGGAATGATTTATATTCCTTTGGGTACATAGCCAGTAATGGGATTGCTGGGTCAAATGGTATTTCTGGTTCTAGATCCTTGAGGAATAGCCATACTGTCTTCCACAATGGTTGAACTAATTTACAGTTTCACCAACAGTGTAAAAACCTTCCTCTTTCTTCTCAGCCTCACCAGCATCTATTGTTTCTTAATTTTTTAATAATCGCCATTCTGACGGGTGTGAGATGGTATCTCACTGTAGTTTTGATTTTCATTTCTCTGATGATCAGTGTTGTTGAGCTTTTTAAAAATATATTTGTTGGTTGCATAAATGTCTTCTTTTGATAAGTTTCTGTTCATATCTTTTGCTCACTTTTGATGGGGTTGTTTGTTTTTTTGCTTGTAAATATGTTTAAGTTCCTTGTCAACTTTGGTTATTAGACCTTTGTCAGATGGGCAGATTGCAACAATTTTCTCCCATTCTGTAGGTTGCTTTTTCATGCTGATGATAGTTTCTTTGCTGTGCAGAAGGTCTTTAGTTTAATTAGATCCAATTTGTCAATTTTGGCTTTTGTTGCAATTGCTTTTGGCATTTTTGTCATGAAGTCTTTGCCCATGCCTATGTCCTGAATGGTATTGCTTAAGTTTTCTTCTAGGGTTTTTATGGTTTTGGATTTTACATTTAAGTCTTTAATCCATCTTGAGTTAATTTTTGTATAAGATGTAAGGAAGGGGTCCAGTTTTGGTTTTCTGCCTATGGCAAGCCAGTTTTCCCAGCAGCATTTACTGAATAGGAGATCCTTTCTCCCTTGCCTGTTTTTGTCAGGTTTGTCAAAGATCAGATGGTCGTAGATGTGTGGTGTTACTTCTGAGGGCTTTGTTCTGCTCCATTGGTCTATATGTCTGTTTTGGCAGCAGTAGCATGCTGTTTTGGTTACTGTAGCCTTCTAGTGTGGTTTGAAGTTAGGTAGCGTCATGCCTCCAGCTTTGTTGTTTTTGCTTACAATTGTCTTGGGTATACGGGGTATTCTTTGATTTCATATGAAATTTAAAATAGTTCTTTCTAATTCTGTGAAAAATGTCAATGGTAGCTTGATGGGTACAGCATTGAATCTATAAATTAGTTTGGGCAGTATGGCCATTTTCACAATATTGATTCTTCCTATTCATGAGGATGAAATGTTTTTCCATTCGTTTGTGTCCTCTCTTATTTCCTTGAGCAGTGGTTTGCAGTTGTCCTTGAAGAGGTCCTTCACATCCCTTGTACTCCTAGCTGTATCCCTAGGTATTTTATTCTCTTTGTAGCAATTGTGAATGGGAGTTCATTCTTGATCTGGCTCTCTGCTTGACTATTGTTGATGTAAAGGAATGCTTGTGATTTTTGCACAATGATTTAATATCTTGAGAACTTGGTGAACTTGCTTACCAGTTCAAGAAGTTTTTGAATTGAGATGATGGGGTTTTCTAAATATAAAGTCATGTCATCTGCAAACAGAGACAACTTCACTTACTCTCTTCCTATTTGAATACCCTTTATTTCCTTCTCTTGCCTGATAGCCCTGGTGAGAACTTCCAATACTATGTTGAATAGAAGAGGTTACAGAGGACATCCTTGTCTTGTACCAGTTTTCAAAGGGAATGTTTCCAGCTTTTGCCTATTCAATATGATGTGGGCTGTGGGTTTGTTATAAACAGCTCTTATTATTTTGCAATATGTTCCATCAGTACCTAGTCTATTGAGAGTTTTTAACATGAAGGGATGGTGAATTTTATCAAAGGCATTTTTGCATCTATTGAAATAATTGTCTGGTTTTTGTCTTTGGTTCTGTTTATGTGATCAATTACATTTATTCATTTGTGTATGTTGAACCAGCATTTCATCCCAAAGATGCAGCCGACTTGATTGTGGTGGATAAGCTTTTTGATGTGCTGCTGGATTCTGTTTGCTAGTATTTTATTAAGAATTTTTGCATTAATGTTCATCAGGGATATTGGCCTGGATTGAGCAGGTGTCTGTGTGTGTGTGTTTCTACCTTGGTTTGCCAGTAGGTTGATGTGTGAGTGTGTGTGACTTTGTGTGTGTGTGGCGGGGGGGGGGGGCGGTGAATGTGCGATAGAGAGCCAAACTAGAGCAGAGGAAGTTCCCTGGCCTGCCATGACATTAAATGTTCTGAATTCAAGATACCAAGAGAGGCATGAGACCCACAGTTGAAACTTCATGATGTGGCCAGGTTTCAGGGGTTTCTGGGAGCTGCCAGTGGGCATATCTCAGGCTTGCTCCCACTGACAATCCATGTCTTCTCTCTAAATGGGAGATGGCTCTGTATGGAGAACAGGCAACAGAGAGCATGATGTAAGGGTTCTACCTCATACTCACTAGGAAAGAAAACAGTTTTCATCATCTCTCACTCCATTCCCATTGTAAATCTATAGACACAGGGGACAGTTACCTGAAATATTAGCATAGCTAAAGTCCTCAGACCAAATTAGATGTCCTACCTTCTCATGTGGATCAGATCCTAAAAAAACAACTGCTTCCTGTGGTCATTATCTTTTATCCCAGGCCATTTCCAATCCAGCGGAAGACCTTCTAGAAGAGGTGATGGGTGGGAGAGTGCTGGCATACTATGTGAAGCTACTATTTGGAGTTGGACACGAGTGCATGTGACCTTGTGCCACAGCGGGAATGTGAGCTGGATGACAAATGGAGATTTGGACTTGTGATAATTGGCCTCTGTGTCATTGTGTGGAAGACTGACTGGTCCCTTTATTTCCTGTAGCTTGACTACCACACAAATGAATCCACTCAAATGTTGGCAAGTGGAGCAGAGTCCCAGGACAGGTAAGGCACTTTCCCTGCTTTTTCTTAAGATCAATCCCCATGCCTAAAAATTAAAGTCACATCCCACACGATCATTAAAGTAGAGAGTGCATTCTGCAGGATGAGTGAAAAGGCATTTATGATTCTTGGGGGCAGATGTTCTACAGTAGCCTGTGCTAGTTCATGTCTTTCTGCAGATCACATTCTTAACCTCTAGAGAGCCTGGCAGGACCAGAGCCTTACCTTTCCCAGTCTGCAATCTCTACAGGTACAGAAACACCCCCAGTTCAAGGATCTTCACACCTGGATTTAGGCCTACTCCTGCAACTACCCCAGGTAAGTTTCCTTGTTCTTCAATGGCAAAGTTTGGACAATGCTGTTCAAACTCCAGGCAACAAGCAACATCTAGGAAATGTGCTTTTAGGTAGGGTCAGCATAATATCCCACCCTGGGAGACAGTTTTATTTTATAGTTGTAGAGGGTGATGCTGCTGGCGGCTCCCTCCCAATCAGCACCATTTGCAGCCTCTTTTGAAGATAGAGAACTGAGGGCTGTCCTTCGAATGGAGCAGTGTGATTCCAAAAAAAGAGATGCTCCTTGTGGTCCTGGGACCAGGGATAGGACTCCAGTTGAGCCTGGTGGAATAGGTCCTTGTCCTAACCCAATGGAGAGCCATGCAGCTGAGCTTGGGCGATGTGGTCCACGTGGTTGTTTCTGACTGTGTCCTGTGGTTGCTGGATGGCTTGCAGTTCCCTATGCAGATCCAATGCATCTTTTGCTTTTTTGCTTCTAGAACCTGGAATTTATATGTTCAACATGGAGCCATCCCAGCCATGACAACAGAGAATGTACCACTCTCACGTGAGTAAGAGGGGTAGGCAGTGCTCCTGTATCACCAGCCCTTAATGAGACCCTGAGGAAACCACATCATGGAGATCAGCCCTTCTCTCCTGTAAGGAACTCATCCTATGAAAGAGCAATTAGTGCCTGCAAGAGCTGTCTCTGGGACAGCGGTTCATGTCTATATCTGCAGGGTAACCCTCATAGTCATATGCAGTCATATCCATAGTCATATCGGGAGTCAGACTCCAGTTTGACTGAGTGAATGGAGAAACTAAACATTTATTACTGAATAATAACATTAATAAACCATCTTAATGATAATAATAAACATATTGATGAGTATTAACAGGAATGATGATGATTATTATGATACTAATATCCATAATTAATAATTTTAATATTGATAATAGTACTAACCCTGTGGACTTGGGACCTAAAGAGCAGTTTCCCCTTACAATTATCCCATATTTGGCCACAGGGGGTAATATCGAGTTCCAGAAGGCAAGGATTAACATTCAGAAAAATAGGAAAAACAACCTGCAGGTAAGCATGTGCACACATGGGGACTCTATGGATAAATACTAAAGTGACTCTTGTTCTGGATCTCCATGTTAACAAACATGCACCAGCTTTCAGGAGGTAGGACAGCTGGCTGATGGGGCAAGGCTTCTTGAGGACATGGCAGGAGTCAGAAATCACACATGCTGCCCAGCAGCAGAGCTCATGACAAGCAGTAAACCCCAGCGAAAGGACCTGGCTGCCCTTTCTGCCATCTGCTCTCCCATGACCTCTCTTGACTGGTACATCTAGGCACTGGAGTAACCTTCACTGGCTATAGGAGGGCATAATCCTCAGTATTCTCCCACCTGCAAGAAAGACAAAAATTAATTGAATACCATGGCTTCTGGGTATCCTTAGTGGGCTTAGCGTATTTTGCATTTGCTTTAACAGGCCAGTTATCCAGGCAGTGACTTTCAGTGCAGCTACAGTCACCTCTGGAAACCTGCGGAGACTTTAAAAATTTCCAGAAGGTCAGGAATTTTTGGAGACCTTTCTCATGGCTACATTGCCTGCAAAGGTGAATCAATAAGCTTCTGAACTGACTTAGAAAATGTTGCAGAGACTCTTGTGAACAGATAGACCCTCTCCTGCCACTCAGATAGACGTATCAGGGTCACACACACCTGATTTAACAACATGTCATTATCTCAGGTGGGTAACAGACAGCAATTTAGGACCTATCCCAGTGTGGATGAAAGACATTGAGTTGGCTTAGAAAAATGTTACATAGACTAGATGGGGCAAGAAAGCCCATTCTGGGTCTCAAAAGCCTGCACATAGAGTTGCTGACACATAAAGGGTATGTATAAATTCTTTCTTAGCCCATGAGATCAGGATGTACTTCATCAGTATACCATGCTGGTATAAAGAGATTCTTGCCTCCAAAGGGACTCAGAATATTTCAGGGAACCTGTATTAGTCCATTTTTACACTGTTGTAAAGACACTACCCCACACTGGGTAATTTACAAAGGGAAGGTGTTTAATTAATTCACAGTTCTGCATCGCTGGGGAGGCCTCAGGAAACTTACAGTCATGGTGGAAGGCAAGACAGAAGCAGGCACCTTTTTTCACAAGGTGGCAGGAGAGAGAAGTGAGTGCACAGAAAAAAAAAACCTCCTACTTTTAAAACCATCAGATCTCCTAAGAATTCACTCACTATCATGAGTATAGCATGAAGTAAACTTCTTTGACACATGGCGATTACAAGTCCCTCTGTCGATGTGTGGGGATAATAATTTGAGATGAGGTTTGGGTGGGGACACAGAGCCAAACCATATTATTCTGCTCCTGGCACCTCCCAAATCTCATGTATTTTATATATATTTCAAAACCAATCATGCTTTCCCAACAGTCCCCCAAAGTCTTAACTGTTTCCAGCATAACTCAAAACTCCAAGTCCAAAGTCTTATTTGAGACAAGTCCCTTCTGCCTATCAGCCTATAAAATTAAAAAAAAAAAGTTAGTTACATCCACAGTGGGGACCTCATGACCCTGACCAGGGCCCTATCCTACTGTGGCTCAACTGATATCCAAGATGCAAGACAAAGTCCTTTTTACTCTTTCCTCTAATCTCCTCTAGCAGAAGGAAGCGGTCTTTTTTGGAGCTGCAAGCTGTGCTGCCTGGGGTTGGGGGAGTGGTAATGCAAGTACTCCTTTAGCTCTCCTGGCTGGTGTCTCAGTAGGTTTTATGGCCACTCACCTCAGTACACTGGCTCTGAGTACAGTACTATTGTGTCTGCAGTAGTGTATGAGATGGAAAATAAGTCCCCATTCTCCAAGACTCTTCTTGAGCATCAAGGCTGCCTGATTGTTGAGATATAGCTACAGACTTTCCTCGCTGAGCCTAGCATGCACACGTTCCTCTGCTGGAAATAAAAACAAAAACAAACAAACCACCAAACAACTTCCCACAAGTGGAATGTTCTGGGACTCAAGGCCATCTAGATTATTTTGTCCCCAGGGTGCTCCCTTGATGTGGTGTGCTTCCTCTTTCCTCAGAGTAGGAGGCCATGAAATTCAGATTACTGCATATGCTGCTGCTGCTTCTCTGGGTCTAGCTACCCAGTGGGGATGCCGCACACCAGGCTGGTGCTCAAGAATGTCTGCAATGGATCCAGTGATATAATTTGTCCTCACGTCTCACAGCAGTGTGTATCAGCAGCTGATCAGATGGGGATGGCAGGGGAGTGTTGTAGACTCTGAAAGATTCCTTGGTTATAAATAGTCCTAGTGTGTTGTGTATTGGATTTCTCAAATGCCAGTTGTAGTAGTAATGAACTCATCACATGGACAGACTCAGGGCCTCCTGCTTAGCCAGAATGATGCAAGCAATGGTAACAGTTGTGGTCACTCACAACTTTTCTCCTTCCTGGGTGCTATGTTATTCTACCTGCAGATGCTGTAAAGGACTGTCAGTAGGCCTTCAGCCAGGAGGTGGTGCTTCCAAAAGACTGCCAGCTGTGGTGGTAGTGGTGAGATTTGGACTTGCCTTATGTTACCCATGGGAGGCACTCTGGTGTCTCAGGAAATAGGTGGAGCCAAAGAGCTTCTAAAAGTTTCTTCAGTTATTTGTGTTAATCTACCAGGGTAGGTGGTTGAGCAAAGCCAGGTGGGAACTAGGTCAGGTAAGGTGATGCTCTGGCTGTCTATGTGTGGGACAAGCAGTGGCTCCAGTGGGAATTGGAAGGCTGTTCTTGGGCCACTGGAGTAATTTTCCAGAGAGAAGTGAAACTGTCACTGCCTCTGTACAAGGAGAGTCTATGTGAAGAATGGGGAGTAGCAGCTTGGTAGTAAGCCCCATCCAGCTCCCACACACTTGGCAAGGCAGGTCTCACACCCACAGTGTTCCAATGGGAGTAGCTAGCTAAGCTTCAAGAAGTCTGAGCTCAGAACTCAAAACTGACCCATACCATAAGTCTCCCCTATGGAGACAGCAACTGCAACCTTCAGGCCACACCCTTCCTGATCCACCTGCAGAGCAGGGGCCCCCAGCTCCTGTGCTTGCTGCTGCAGCACACTTCCCACTCACCTCTCAGTTCTGGCCTGGGGAGTTTGTCCCCAGTCAAGATTATATCACACATTTCATTTGGGAGGTTGTCTCAACCTGTGACAACCATCTGAGTTACCTGGCAGACTTCTAGGAGGTCCTGTCTGAGGTAGAATCAGCAATGGCTTCCCTCCATTCTACCAGAAACTGGGAATGTGCTGGAGATTCAAAGCACATCCCAATGCCACTCCTCATATACTCACCACTCTTCCCTAAATCAGCTCCAGCGCTGAGGAGGGTTAAGGCCTTCCCTCACGGCCTGGATTGATAGGTTTCCCAGTGGAAGCGTATATCTTAGAGTCAGTTACCCTCCTGTCACACCCTGGAAACTTACAATTTTCTGCCTAGCTTATGGTGTAAGCTGCATCCTGCTGTTTCTTTCAAATGGTCTGTGGCTTATTTCAATTTTCCTGTTAAATTCCTGTGTTGCTTCTTGAAAGAAAGTTCACAGTGTGAGTCTCTACACACCAATTTCTCTTTCCAAGTGCAAGAGGCAGACTAACAATGCCTTCAATCCACCATCTTGGAAAACAAAAGTAACAGTTTTCTCATTTTTAAAAGTTTTGTTAAGATATGTTAATGATTCACAAAGAAATAGTACTTGGGTGTATTTGAAATTAGTATTTATTCATTTATGTTGATAAGTGAAAATGCAAGACGGTTATCAAGATGGAAGTACTTAATATGTATATTTTAATATTCTTAGATGCAAATAACTTCACTTTTGATGTATTTTTATTTTGTTTCAGTTTCATTTCAAGTTAGGTTTAAGGGGTTCTTGATAATCTGACATGATAAGTGGTGTTGCAATTGGCATTAAAATCCACCATGCTCTACAGCACTTCATCCTTCTTCGGCAGGCACCAATTTGATCTTCTACTATGTTGCAGACATCTGTTCTGCAAACACCAAACAAATTGAGACAATGACCTTCCGCAGGACCCAAACCACCTCTTACTGAAGGAAAGAAGATCCAGTGAGATAGTTAGTCCACAAATGGAATGTAAATCCATAAACACTCTTAAGTAACAGAATAAATTTAGTATGAACGTTTTTATGTGGGAGCTCTTGACATGGTTGCTGCTCATATGTCAGAGACACATGCAGTTTAAGAAAGGTAGCAGTTCCAATCCTGGTTTGGCCCAACAGTCACTGCATTTTTGGTGGGGAAAGGGATGTGGGAGGAGATGGTACCTCTTCATCTTTTTCTCTGGGTTTTCTGTCAGAAAGGGATGTTGCTTACTCCAGTGGCAAAAAATGCCAGTGTCTTCTGCCAGAGTGGGTTACTGAGGGCCCTGGTGCTTCCACCTTGTGGCTGATACAGATAGTCCCTTTCTGCTTTTGTTTCTAGCCAAAAAAGATGTTTCTGGCATCTCAGGTATGCTGATTTCAGCAGCTGTTTTTTCTATATGGCTATTTTTTTTTTTCTTTCACTCTCTCTCTCTCTCTCTCTTTTTTTTTTTTTGTTGGCTTCACTGTGTTGCCATAGTTTCTTAAATGGTCCCTTGAACCCTCCCAGTGCTATTTTGGTTTGTACATAACTATCTATATATTTTTTTTCTTTGGGGGAGTGTGTAGAGCTAAAGGCTGGTATATGCTGCTCCTGCTCCCCGAAAGTGACATTATTCCCCTAAGCTAATATTTCAGGCTTTCAATTTATTCGTGGTTTCACCTGTTTAAACATAAGTAGAAATTACTTTTTCTCTCCATATTTAGATTTGATCTATCTACTTTAATTGCTAATAGTGTCTTAGTCATAGAATAGATTAGTTAGAAAAAAGTGTTTTTGACATTATAAATGATTCTTTCAATTTGTGTCTAAAAGTGGAAAATACTAGAAAGCTTAACATTTATTATTGTATTCAGACCAGTATTTCCTCCAGATGACCTTTATTACAACAAAGATAATTTAATGAAGATCTCTCTAATGGTAAAGCTGATGGCTTTGTGCTATTACAATATCCTTCGAATAAAGTGACGGTCTGGTGGAAAGAACAACTAAAGCAAGGATTAGGAAGAAAATAGTTAATACCTTCATTTTGGTCTCACTCTGCATTAAGAGTTGTCATCGTGTTAAGGGTTTATTATACATTAAGTAATTTAATGTTCATTTAATAATAAATGGATCCTATTAAATATGATTTTTAAAATTATAATCACATTACTTTTATTCACATCTGTCTACTGATGCCATTCCTAGATAAGAATGGTATCACATTATTTTATTTTTTTTCATTTTGCCACATCTTTACTTACTTAGGTTTATGCTGTATCAAACAATGTATGTGTGCGAGTAATGGATGATTCAGGAATGCATGAGGAGGAGGTTTAAGCTCCTTAACCTTGAACAATTAAAATTAGCAACATAATATTGAAATACATACAGAACGCTCAAGTGGTACTTTCAAAATAGTGTATATTTCCTCTGTTTATTTGTAGCTTTTAAACCCAGCTAGAAGCATTCTATTTCCTTTAGGCACCATAAGTCTGAAAGTCTGTAGTGAAAACTACAAGTACTAAATGATGCTAATTCATGTGCTCCCACCTGTAGAAGAACTGAATGTCTTAGATAAAAAAAGATGGTGCAATTGGTGTACAAAGTATCTAGAATACAATTTGGTGGTGGTTTTTTCTGTTTCCATAGCAGAGTAACATATATAATATTGCCCTTTCATCAAGTTATTTAAATATGCCTTTGAACGGGGAGAATTGAAAATAATACTGTGAATCCTGGTAAACATTTTAAAATAATGAGAAGAATATTGCATTTTCAAAGTCAAAATTTGTCTGATTACAACCCATATAGCAATTTCATAGCAAGCACTTCCTTCAATCCTATTAAAATCAGAAGGAAAAGAAGAATATCCACTGTCAATGTTGTATTGATATAGTTCTAAAAGTTTTGGACAATGAAATATGTTGTAAGAAGAGAAGTCAGGGGAGACTTGAGCCCATTGTTTCCTCTCACCTTCTATACCTCCCAAAATACCACTGGAATGTTGTAACATTTTGAAGAATCTATAGCAGTGTCCCAAATCATAGAATAGTATGAATACATCTGAATCTTTAATATCTCCAAAATATATAAAATAGGTGTGATTAGAATGAAAGAAAGATTTAGGCTTTTGGCCATGACTGCAAGTTAGCTGCTCTCAAATGACTGCTGCTATCGAACAAATACATTTTAGACGATCTCTTTGAAACATTTCTATTCTTGAAAATGGTTAGGCAAGTTCTTAAAATATCTCCTCTTTCAAACACAAAAACAGTCTGTGAACTGGAGCTTGAGCACTAGGCACTTTGTATTGGCTAGCTGATGGAGGTGGGTGAGGGTTTCCCATATCTTCTGGGAAGATCTGCTATTATCAACAATGCTAATGGTGGTACTACTGACTCTTGGGCCATCAGAAATTCCAGTTCGTTAATCCTGGAACTTCTATATTGAGATAAAGGATTGAGTCAGTTTCACAGAGGAAGTTTGAATAATAGCATTCTTATTTCAGACTGTAGAATGATGGCAGATTAAGGATGAGCAATGAGTTCATCATTAAAAATGATCAGGTAAGAAAGAAACCATGAATAAAAGTTAATGAAATGAATAGCACATTTAAATCCTTGAAAACTAAATGTATTGAAATTGTCAATGTGGAGAAATAATTAAGCAGCTGTGTATCGACTGTTTAAAGAAAAAATCTACTATTACAAAGATGTAAAAACAATAGTAAAGCTATATAGATGATAGAAAAAATGGGCAGGTCTGGCTGGGCATGGTGGCTCATGCCTGTAATTGCAGCACTTTGGGAGGCCGAGGCGGGTGGATCACGAGGTCAGGAGTTCAAGAACAGCATGCCCAAGATGGTGAAAACTTGTCTCTACTAAAAAAAAATGTATATATATATATATATATATTAGCTGAAGATGGTGGTGGACACTTGTAGTCCCAGCTACTCAGGAGGCTGAGGCAGGAGAATCACTTGAACCCAGGAGGTGGAGGTTGTAGTGAGCCAAGATTGCAACACTGCATTCCAGCCTCGGCAACAGAGTGAGACTCTGTCTCCAAAAAAAAAAACAAAACAAAACCAAAATGCAGTTCTAAATTAAAAAATTTTAAAAATTAATGCAAGTTATTAATGATATATTAGATATAGGTAACAGGATAATTAGTAAAGAAAAAAATGCTTAAATGATATACCCAGAATGTAGCATGGAAACACAAGGTCTAACATTTATTTAATTCAAATATGCGGGAAGAGAAGTGTAAGAGGATTCACCATTTCAAGAGATTCTCAAAAAGAAATTAAGAAAAAGTATAAATCCATTGATTCAAAGAATATATTTCTAACAGATGATATAAAAATAAATTCACATTAGTTAAATTATAAAATATTAAAACCAAACACCAGACCATACAAACATTGAAAAAAGGACAATTTATAATGAAATAATATTTATCTGAATATCATAGTGAAGCACAAACTAAAAATGAATAAACTAGTATCAACAAACGTTGAGAGAACATAACTGTTAATATAGAATTGGGTACTCAGTAATGTTGTCTTTCAAGAACAAAAATAACAATACAAAATTGACAGATAAAAACTAAAATTGTTCACTACCAAGAGATCTGCAGCAAATAAAATTTCAAAGGCTATATATCAGGAAGAAAGAATTTAACCCAAAAGCTGATCTCAGAGTCAACTTGGAATTCCATAAATATCACTAAACTGATGATAATAGTAATACTTTCTGACATGGGGGGATTCTGGAAAGAAGTGAACTTTTACTTTTGTTTAGAATTTAGAAAGTTATAGAAAAATGCTCTTGCCCTGACAAAAGAATAAGCTGGATAATCTATAGATCATAGATTTCATTTTAAAAGACAGAGCTGAAGTCTTTAAAAAAAGCTAATTAACTTAAATTCAGAGTAATGAAGCCCTACTGAAAAAAGAACGGATCCACACATGCTTTGTGTGTACCTGAGTTGCAGCAGCAGAAGCAGGAGGAAGCTGCCCTTGATGGAGATAAGAAGGAAACAAGTGAACCTCAAGCAAATGTTGAAAGGCTGAGTGTGGGCTTGTGATAGTTTAGCATCAGTAGGGGCCCAAACACACTCACTCTCATTCACTCACTAATGATTTAATGCTTTTCTTTTCTTTCTTTCTCTTTCTTTCTTTATTCTTCTTCTTCTTCTTTTTTTTTTTTTTTGACGGAGTCTCACTCTGTCGCCCAGGCTAGAGTGCAATGGCACGATCTCGGCTCACCGCAACCTCCGCCTCCAGGGTTCAAGTGATTGTCCTGCCTCAGCCTCCCGAGTAGCTGGGACTACAGGCATGTACCACCGCACCCGGCTAATTTTTTGTATTTAGTAGAGAAAGGGTTTCACCGTGTTAGCCACTGACTTCGTGATCTGCCGGCCTCGGCCTCCCAAAGTGCTGGGATTACAGGCGTGAGCCACCGCGTGTGGCCCCACTAATGGTTTTTTCATGACCTATCTTGTGTGCTCCTATGTAAGATCAGATGGAGAGCAGGAGAACTACCTGAGACACTTTTGAGGGACAGGCATGTAGGAACTGGTGCAATTTGAGGTCAGAGCAAGGTAAAGGTCTCACTGTGAGAATCGAGGAAAACCCTGTGTTACTGGGGAGTGGGTTGGGGAGCTGAGAGAATCCCCCCTTCACTCTCTGTTCTCACAGGTGCATAAGAAGAGAGGCATGATGAGGTCTGAAGGCAGGGCAGGGCCGGTAGCTGAGAGAAGTAGTTTCTCTGGTCTTTCACTGAGTGTGTGGCAGCTACTGCCCGTGGTTGGGCAAGGGATGGGAGCCCTGAGAGATTCTTGAGGTGCAGAGATAGAGGCTTGCTGAGGATGAAAGTGGACAGGAAAGCTAAGAGAGGCTCCAATGCTGACCATGGCACTCTGCAAGAAGAGAAAAAATGTGTATGTAGAGGTTTCTGAGGGAAAATCGTGAGTCTGGTTTTGGATATATATTACTTTTGAAATCAAGTGTCCAAGTAGATATACCAGTTATGCAGTTGGATAATTTATTATAAGCCTGGAGTTCAAAAGGAGGTCCAAAAGGAGAATTGAAAGGGATGAGACTTGCTGAGCCCCTCCGAAGAGTGTGTGGTGAGGGAGAAGAGAAGAGGACCAGGAACTGAGCTCTGGAGCTCTCCTCTAGGAGGTGTGAAGCAAAAGATGAGGAAGAAACAAAGGAAGCCGAAGTGGTAGCTCCAGTGAGACAGGCTGAGAATCAAGTGAATGAGCCATCCTGGAAGCCAAATGAAGAAAGTATACTGTGAAGAAGGAAGTGATTATTTGTGTCAAATGCTGCTAATAGGTCGATTAAAGTTGTAGTGAAAAATGATCATTGGATCTAGCAATGTGGAGATTATTCATAACTTTGACAAAAGTGGTGTCAATAGCATGATCGAAAAAGGGGGAGAGAGCCTGATTGGGATATATTTAAGAAACAATGAGAGCTTGATTGGGATATATTTAAGAAACAATGAGAGGAGAGGAATTGAAGACAGAGAATATGGACAACTATTCTAAGATGTTTTGCTGAAAAGTAGAGCAAAAAAGGGGAGGACAGCTGGCATCAGAAGAAAAGCAAGGAAATTCTTTTTCTTAGATCAGAAAAACAACAGCATATTTGTATGCTGATGGTAATAATTTACTAGCATCAAAATTGATGACACAGTCGTGATATAGTGAACTGCAACAGGAAAATCCCCAAGTACACAGTGAAGACGGAATATACACAAATTTAAAAATTATTTGAATCTCTGAAACATCTGTTTTGATATTAACCTTTCATTCCTGCAATAGTTATTTTAAGCATGTTCTCATTTTCTCTTGTTCAGTGTTGCCAGGTTATTATAAAGTGTATTAGACTTTTTGAAAAACATTTTTTAAAATACTATTTTTTCTCATTTGTTTCATTAATTTATATTTTGTATTTATAATTTTCCCTTTATCTTCTTTAGGTTTATTATGCTGTTTTTTTTTTCCAAAAGCCCCCAAAATGCATGCTTAGCCCAGTAAATTTTAGCCATTTTTGTATTGAAAGTTATGTTACCCATTTCTGTGTGGTTACCTGTAATATACCTTGAGCAGCACTTGTTGGTGTCTTTGCTCCTTATTAATTCACTTGTCTGAAGTTCCTTTAACTCTCCTTTCTACTCTTCAGTTGCACTTTGAAAATCATTTTTTATTCATAACCACATAAAACATAATTTATTTTGAAAAGTCTCTCATATAATTTTCATTTATTCTAGGATTATAGTTTTTCTGTTTCTTCGAATAAAACCTTCAGATTTGTCAACACCCATTTAGAGTAGCTCCTATTGATAGGATACCATCCATCTCTTTTGACCTATTAAGTGAATATAATAATAGATGCCACCGAAATTCAATCCTGTCAGATCTAACTGCCTGCATATAAATTTCCATGTCCCGCAAAGGCATCTCATTGAGGTCATGTTCTGTTGTATCCTTACTTTGTATCTTGAGGTGCTTGGTGGGGCATGGAAATTTACATGTAGGCAGTTTCATCTGACAGGATTGAATTTCAGCAGCATCCATTATTATATCCACTCACTAGGTCAAAAGACATGGATGGAATCTTATCAAGAGGACATACTGCTAAATGAGTCTCTTTTCTATTTTTCCCTATTATAATCCTAGTGAAGCTGTAAATATTAGGTTCTTGAACCCACAGGACTGATTCTAGGTTCTTGTCTGGCCAGGGATATAGCCTTCTCATCTGCAGAACCTTATAGTAATGAGCTACCAACTTACCTGGGGATAAGAGAATTGAAAAAAGAAGGAGAATAAGGAGAAGCAAATGGAGTCTCATGGCTGAAGGGCCAGCATCAATGTGGGTTGAGCCTGGAGTCTCTGGGCATCGTGGGTCTAGGCCTTTTTATGATGCTCTCTGAGTCTGTGATTTGTTCTTGGTCAGTAGAGCCTAACGAAAAGAGAATAACTAAATCTCCCACGGGAAACTTCCAGGGACACATAAGTACATAAAGGTGGTGATATCTCAATGGATGAGAAAGCAGGTGAATGCTATTTATTTCCCAAAGATTCAGGATGTCTTTATTGTCACCTGCTTTCTTTATTATTTTTGACATGCATATGCAATAATCATTGATCTCACTTTATACATCTATTGTTTGCCAGGCAATATAGTAGGAACTGAAGTAAAATTGTTATACACAAAAAGTACATAATTAATGGATATAGTTTGGCAAGTTTGCACATAAGTATTATCTTGTTACCACACCAATATCCAGGTAATAATATATCCATCACCTCCAAATGTTTCCTACGTCCCTTTGTTGTGGTTGTTGTTGTTGTCAGAACCCCTAAGATCGACCCTCTTAACAAATTGTTGAATACAAAATACCTTATTGTTAACTATAAGTACTATGGTTTGGAGCCTATCTCTGTAATTGATTCATTTTTTATAGCTTTAACCCTTTAACAATAACTCCCCATATTGCTCTTTCCCCACTCAGTAAAACACCAAACTCTTTTAAAGCACATTCTATATAATCCACTTTATGAAGCTTTTCCTAACACTCTTCTATCTGTTCCCCCCCCCCCCCAAGTAAAGGGAACTACTAATATAACAATTACCTATTTTGGATTATTGCATCTTTTACAAACATTCCTTCATGAACCCATTTAACACTTATCTCCCATTATCTTATTATGAAGTAAAATAAAACTTGACTTGATTTTAAAAATGAAATCACAAAAGAGCTTTGTAAAATTATGATGTACCATTGCTTATTTGTAAGAATTCAAGTTACACTAGGGGTTTTTAAAAATCTTTTGTTTTTATTTGTTGCATATTGTAAGCACAGTGTCTTTTCCAGCTATTTGCTTTGGGAAGGAAAAGTTAGAGTTACAATGAACATCATAGGCTATCTTGTCTAGTCACTTACATGACAGATGAGGAAATAAGCTGAGGGAAAGGAAGAAACTTGCCCAGGATCACCCAGTGATCTAGCGAGGAAGGCGATAGGGACAGCACTAAGGCTTGGTATTCTGAGCCTCATTCTATTTTCTCCTCTTGCCCCTTCTCTGTTTCCTCCTCTCTTCCCCAGACTTCCAGAAAAACTTTACAGTTCTGCTGCAGTGTCTACCTAAGGACATCCAGAGGAGACCTCACTTTTCATTAGACTGCTTTTTTAAGCACTGTCTTGCATTTTCTTCTTCAGTCTTGTTTTATCCCATTTATGGCTATAAGTAATGCTTCTGCTGTGCTGTTCTATCCAATTAGTTTCTTCTATTTTCATTGAGAGAAAATTAAAACAAAAAACCATTAGTTTATCTAAATTTGAAAGTTTTAAAACTTGATTAGAATTTCCTGGGATATGGATGTAAGACATATATTTTAAAATATTTTTCATTTTCAAAATTAAAAATCAAACCCATATATTTAGCCAGGATGACTACTTGATAACTACTAATCAGATGGGTCTTCAGCAACGCCACAAGAATAAAAATCTTATAAATCAATTCCCTGGTGTTATGTGCTACTGAGTTAATACAATTTGATATGATATCACTTTTAAGCAGGCTTTACGGAGTCACACAAAGGAACAGCACAACAGAACCATAGGGTGGAATATATAGGGAAAGCTGGGATGTAAAACCTAGCCTTGACTCTGACACTTACTCCACTGTTGGGAAAAGCACTTCAGTTCCCAGAGCCTTAATATTTTCCTCTATAAAACAGGAAAAATAGACCCATATTTAAGGTTTTGTCAAATCTTGTTGCTGAGTGATTTTACAGTGTCTGCAGCTATCCTCTCTGCTAATCATAACAAGGCTAACAAACTGTTCTTTTGTTTAGTTAAAGATATTTTTGCATTTGTTTACAAATTGTTATTCTTCCCTTCACAGAAAAGGAAACATTTTAAAGGTAATTTATAAAAGGTTAAGAGTCTCTTACATATCAACTCTTCACAATGTGACAGAGTAGCTTAACCCCATCCCTAAGAGTATAGTTTCAGATCAGCCCCAAACCTATGTGGAGTGTGGGATACAGAATATATTTCAAACACATGCAAAGGCACGCACATGCACACACACACACACACACACACAGTATTACCTAAGGCAGAGGTGCAGATGACAATCTTGGATAGACAGCTCAAAACTCTTAGTACTAAAATAATCCTAATAATAATTTTCCTTCCAAAGTCACCACCAACAATCAGATCTCTTAAGGGTTGGTGACTTAGGTTTTCGAACCTTGTGTATCTTTTGGCTTTTTTTTTTTGGTTGTGTGCTATTTATCTCATACAAAGAAACCTCTTCTTCATCCTATGCCAGTGCTGTATTGTAGGGGCTTGTTGACGTCTTCCTGGTATGTAGCAATCCAGGTGACTGGCCTCTGGCTTCTTAGGAGCAAGGCCATCACATGCTTTTTTTCTTTGTCTGCTTGTTTCCTTGTAAGGGCCCCACATACAGTGGGCGCTTAACAAAAATTTGATCAACTGAACTCATTCTCCATCTCCATTATCTCCATTTCAATCTTTCCCTTTTACTTCTTCCAGATTAGTTTTCCTACAGCAAAATGGGAATTGTCCAAAAACTGCCCTTCATCTTTATAACTTGAAGGATTCATTTACCCTAAGCAGTCCTTTTAAATTTACTATCACAGACTAGATAGAAAAGTCTGGGTTCACCAAGAATAGGCATGTGTGCCATCATATTTTCTGTTGAAAACTTTGGAAAGTGTCTTTTAGCAAACAACATAAAGCATAGAATTTGACCATCCCTGACAATGTAAAAGGACGATCCGCATTCTTACACGTCCATGGCTACTTTCCCACTCCTTCCCCAACCTTGAAATCCTGAATTCAAAAGAAAATATGAGAAGATAGTTTGCCTCATATAAGGCAACATGTTGCTTAATCTTTCTTGCCTATACAAGTTCAAGAGCTCCAGAAAATTTTCTGATCTACTTAGGATGCCTGATCATCTTCTTGGGTAAAAGCAATAAGTCCTACACAGAATCACCAAAACCATGTCTGTTCAAGGGGTCTTATACCTGTGATTCATGATTGCATGCTCAATGCAGAAGGGCGTGCTCTGTTGCAGGGTCATATCTGGTCATTGTGTTTAAGTTCTAATTTAGAAGACTAGTTGCTGAGGAGGAAGAGGGAAGGATAATGTTAGGAAATGGAATCAAACTTAAGGGGAAAAGTCAAGTACAGGGGACCAACAGTACTGAGGGGCAATAGGTTGAAAATTTCTTAGATAATTGCAATATTTTCAAGGAGGCCCCACGAATCCTTCCTGGCTGACCCCACCAAAGCTTTGGCATAGCCTTTATGCCAAATGTCTTAGACTAACTAACTTTTCCAAAAGAAAATAGAGGAGTTATGGAGACCAATATTTAGTAGAATAATGCCTGATTATTTTGCTTTTGAGGTCTAGTAACTGCTAGTAAACTTGCCTAATTAATTCACATTTAGAAGTAGAGTAAAGAGGGTTTCAAGCACTTGAAACACCACTGACTTCATTTCATGTGAGAGTTGCTATGGAGAGCTAATGAACTATGAGGCTGCAGGTCTCTCAGCCAATAGGTCTTCTAGATTTCCTATGTGACTCCCTTTTCTGGTCATAGGCGATTTTGCTTTTGCTTTGAGTATTATAGCACCATAATGTGTCAGACACTCTACTCTTACCAAGCCTTACACAAAGTTTATCCTGTTATTTGGTGGAGCTTGGCTCATAAAAAAAAAAAAAGACAGAATGATAAAGAGGAAGACAGCAATCCTCATGGCTGAGGAAAGAAGAAAGCTTGGCTTTATTTCCAGTAGGCAGAGAAAACTTCCGTCTGTGGCTCTCTAGCACCAGTGGAATGTCTTTGTTTGGATAATAAGTGTCCTTCCATACCTCATTAGGCATATTCACAGAGATGTACTATGCACACAAAATGACCTTCATGAGACGACTGAGAGTCCATGTTTTATTGGACACTAAGTTCATTAGAATGATGTGGGTGCACAGTTTTGACCAGAAAACCTTGTTAAATGGGAACATAAGCTACAAATATTTTGGCAAAAGATTAAGGTTTATGAACAAACAACCATTTATATTGTTACAATTAATTAGGCCATGTTGAGAAACCGTTTAGTTTAATGATTAGACATTTTGTTAGTGAACACTTCCCAGACTTTACTTGCCCTATTAATCCCCACTTTGCCCCTGGTCTGAATCCCCACAGTGCCTTGTTTATGGTACAGTGCCTACTGCCTTGTATGTTAGATTAGTGAACATATATTTGCCCCCTCTACTACTGCAGGAGCTTCTTGTTTGCCAGGACAGGGCTATATTCCTCAGAGCTGAGGAGGAGTTGAATCATGTGGTCATTTATTCTCAAATCCTCTTCATCAATTGAAGCAAAACAGGACAGTGAAAGGTCACTGCACATGGAAGCAGGATGTCTGGATTTCAGTTCTAAATCTCTAGATGTATTACTAACTGGAGGTATGGATAGAGTCAGGAAAATTTTCTTCCTTAAGTTTTGGTAGCACCTATGTAGGTCCAGGTCCGTTGGATCTAGATAAGGGGATTCTCAATAATTACTGTGCATAAAATCAACTGAAAGTGTTAGTTTGCAATGCAGATTCATAGCCCCATTCTATGAAATATTTACTGTTTTATAAATTGATAAATAATTTTTATTAGACAATGTAAATTTCCTTACTTGCACCAGCATACAAAAGTATTGAATAATATTAGCAGCAGAATCTTTCAACAAAATAACTATGTATCTTTATTAAACCACTTTGTTTCACTGCTTTTTATTTTCTTTTATGTATCACTATTGTGTTCATTATTATCATCATCACACATTATTGAACACCCATCATGTACCATATGGCACAAACATTGTTTCTGCTCATAAGGAGTATATATTCTCTACATGTTTATAAAATTAATGCCTGAATAAGTTTGCTTAAGCAAAGCAGAAGTTGATTTCTTTTTCACTTAAAATTAACCTGTAGTTATACCATTCAGGGCTAGTACAGATACTTTCTAATATCATTAGGGATGCAGGTCCCTTCCGGCTCTCTGCTCTGCTATACTTTAGAAAAGGTCCTAGTTTGGCTGCTAAATTCCCACCTATTATTCCTGAACTCTAGACAGCAGGGAGAAAAATCCATGAGAGAAGGGCAAAGGAACATCTACCCTTCCTTTTTAAATTTTTTAACCAACCCCCCTTAAAAACACTTTGTTGAGACATGATTACATTCAAAAAGCTGTACCTATTTAATGTGTATATCTCAGTGAGTTTGAGAATAAGGATACATTGTGAAAGCATCACTACCATCAAGATTATAAACATATTCATCACCTCCCAAAGTTCTCCCTCCCATTCTAATTATTATTTTTATTGGTAAGAATAATTAACATAAAATTCACCCTCCTATTATATTTTAAGTATGCAATGCAGTATTCATAGCTATAAGCACTATGCTATAAATTAGACCTCCTGAACTTATTTATGTGATATATCTAAAACTTTGTACTGTAATCACACCTACACACTTACCTGCACCACAGTTCTTGGTCAGTCTACCCTCTGCTTCTGAGTTTGTTTTTTTGAGATTTCAAATACAAGGGGAATCATACAGTATTTGTCATTCTGTGTTTGGTTTATTTCACATGACTTCATGCCTTTCAGATCCATCAATGTTGTCACAAATGACAGGGTTTCATTATTATATAATACTGAATAATATTCCATTGTGCATATATATATATATATATAAAACAATAATTCAGCCGTCCATGAATGAATGATAACATGTATGTCTTCTTCATAGATCTTGACTATTGTGAGCAGTGCTGAAAGGAGCATAGGAGCGCAGATAACTCTTTCACATACTGATTTCGTGACTTCATATATATATATATATATCTATATCTATATATGTATATATATAGATATATATATTATATATAAAATAAGTGGGATTGCTGGAACAAAATGGTATTTTTATTGTTAATTTTTTGAGAAACGTCCATACTGTTTTCCAAGGTGGCCATACTAATTTACATTCCCACCACCAGTATACAAAGGTTCCCTTTTCTCCACATCCTTACCAACACTTGTTATCATCCATCTTTTTGATAATAGCTATTCTAACAGGTGTGAGGTGATATTTCTTGGTAGTTTTCATTTGCATTCCCGTGATGACTAGAGAGGGTAAGAATTGTTTATATATATGTTGTCCATTTGTATCTCCTTTTTCAAGAAATGCCTGCTCATATATCTTTGTTCATTTTTTACTTTTTTAATTTTTATTTTAGACACAGAGGATACATGTGCAGGTTTGTTACATGGATGTATTGTGTGCTGCTGAGGTTTACAGTATGAATGATCTCATCACACACTTAGTGAACATAATACCCAATAGGTAGTTTTTCAGGCCTTGCACCCAACCCTCCCTCCTCTCTCTAAGAATCTCCAGTGTCTGTTGTTTCCATATAAGTGAGAGCTAAACAGTGTATAACCCAATGTTTAGCTCTCACTTATACATGAGAATATGTAGTATTTGGTTTTCTGTTCCTGTGTACCACACCATACTGGGCTAACTTTTGTATTTTTGGTAAAGATGGGGTAGCTTCAACATGTTGGCCAGGCTGGTCTTGAACTCCTGGGTTCATGCGATCCACCCACCTCACAAAGTGCTGACATAACAGGCATGAGCCACTGCACCTGACTTTCCTGAACTTTTTTAGCTTATATTAGGTTTGTCTGTTCTAGAATTTTGTATACATTTATTTATATTATAGGACACTTTTTAGCTTAGCTTTCCCCAATCGGGGTTAGAAAGATTATATTGATCCATGATCATGATGTTGATTCATAGAGTTGATTTTTCCCCTTTATTGCTAAATATTACTCTATAATATGCATATAATTTATCAATTTCCTCTCAATAGACATTTGAGCTGTTCCTAGGCTTTAGCTATTGTTAATAGAACTCAAGGACACATTTTTAAAAGAAAAAATTTCAACCCAAATTGTCCTTTCCTTTTGGCTCTCCAATATTGTGTCAGAGTTATATTTTTGTTGTCTTGAAAATCCAATTACATTGAAGAGGAGGTGTCTCTAGAATCAAGTTTCAGTATATGTGTGGTCTGGCTGTGTCCTGGAATGTAGCCCTTATTAGTTTTATTAAGCATTTTCCTATATAAATTGAAATCAAGTTGAAGACTCATTTTTCCACAGTAGGACAAATAGAACAGTTTAGGACTTTGGAGAGATAGCAACTTGCTGCTTGCCTGTGCAACCCACCTCAAAAGATACAACTCCTCCAACTTTTGATTTCTGGTGACTTGTCCAAACAATTAGATGTGAATTGACCTTATTCCCTTACATTACTACAAGTCGATCTTCTGCACCTGGCCAAATACAGTATAAAATTGATGAGCATACGTTTCTTTTGGTTTCATACATTCTATTTAAAGCTATTCTCTGTGGCTGGGCACTATGGCTCATGCCTGTAATCCCAGCAGTTTGGAAGGCCAAGATGGGTGGATCACTTGAGGCCAGGGGTTTGAGACCTGCCTGGCCAACATGATGAAAGCTGTCTTTCTGAAAAATACAAAAATTTTCTGGGTATCGTGGCACGTGCCTGTAATCCCAGCTACTCAGGAGGCTGAGGCAGGAGAATCACTTGAACCCAGGAGGCAGAAAGTGCAGTGAGCCAAGATCCCACCTCTGCATTCCATCCTGGGTGAGAGAATTAACCTCCATCTCAAAAAAATAAAAAGCTAATCTATACTTTTCTTTTGGTGTATTATTAGAACATAGAAGGCAATAAGGCAAAACTATTGTGGGTATATTAGTGCGTATCTGTAGCACCTAGCACAGTGCCTAGCCCATAACTTGTGTTGAAAATTAAGAGAACCTTCTTAATATCCTTTTCTATACTCTAGTTCTGAATTTAAAGAAAGAAAAAGGTAGGTTAGCAAATATAGGTATCAATTATTTCTATTGACAGATCATTTGGACAACATGTTTTTGGGTGTGGGAGAAAAAAGATTCCTAACTCTCCACCCCAGAAATAATTTTGCTGATACAAAAATCAGCCAGACATGGTGGCACATGCCTATAATCCCAGCTACTTAGGAGGATGAGTTTGAGGATAAGGATACATTGTGAAAAAGGTGGGAAAATCACTTGAACACAGGAGGCAGAGATTGCAGTGAGCCAAGAGTGCCCCACTGCATTCCAGCCTAGGCAACAGAGAAAGACTCTGTCTGAAAGAAAAAAAAAGTTGTTGCTATATAGCACATAATTTTATTGTCATCACATTTAAAATTGAATAGTACATTTGGGTTGAACTCTTATGCCTGCAGAGACATTTTCTTCTGGCTTAAAATCGCTGGCTGTAGGAGGAAACTCCAGCAGAGGGCATCGTAAGGATTTCATAGTGTCTATGGTCATCTTGGTAATTCCTCAAATAATTCCTGGCAATTCTGTTAGGTCTTGAACTTCACTTACTTCTTACATGTTTAAGAAAAAGAAGTTCAAAGCATTGCCATGGCTGTTGAATTCCCACAGGCTTGTCTTCCCTTTGAAATTCATCACATGGTTTGTACTCTTTTGCAGATATAATATGTAAGTTTGGAGGTGGATACTTTCAGCCATTAAGTTCAAAAGTACTGCTACAAGGGCCAACCATGGTGGCTCACACCTGTAATCCCAACCCTTTGGGAGGCCAAAGCAGGCAGATCACGAGATCAGGAAACTGAGACCATCCTAGCCAACATGGTGAAAACCCATCTGTACTAAAAATACAA
Organism: Homo sapiens; assembly: GCF_000001405.40. NCBI lineage: Eukaryota > Metazoa > Chordata > Mammalia > Primates > Hominidae > Homo > Homo sapiens. The sequence goes on from NW_018654717.1 coordinate 915,508, forward strand.
AAATTAGCTGAGTGTGGTAGTGTGTGCCTGTAGTCCCAGCTACTCGGGAGGCTGAGGCAGGAGGATTGCTTGAACCCGGGAGGCAGAGGTTGCGGTGAGCCAAGATTGCGCCATTGCAGGGCAGCCTGGTTACAGAGTGAGACTCCGTCTCCCAAAAAAAAAAAAAAAAAAAAAAAAAAGTACTGCTACATGGACATCCATTGTCCCAGCATCTCTGCCATAATAGCTGAGGAATTATTGAGAATGTCTGTTAATTTCTTTAACTCCAAATTTGTGTTATGTCCCTTGGTCTTCTGTCATACCATAAATTGTATTATTCATAAAATGGACACCTTGTTTATAGTTATTTCTTCTCAGCATGCTACATCCCTTTAGAATTTAAACATAGTGTCTCCCAACCTGAAATTGGAAGTTTTGAAAAACCAGAAAAATGTTTTCGGACACCTTTTATTTCCAGCTGTTTTTATGTCCTCTCCTGAATCCAAGTTGAGGGTAAAGTCCATTCACCAGCATTTCTCCTCAACTCACAGCAACCTCATCCCACTCCAACATGATGTTTGTCCCCACAAATTGATGCACATAATTCTTGCTGGCAGTGCTAATGTCCTAATTAAAAAAATCAGGAGATGGCATCAGACTTTACTTTATTTTCTAGCTCAGCAGCATTTGATTCCTGTCTGATGAGGAAACCCTATTTTCCCTAGAAACTTTTCACTTTTGTCACAGGTTTGGTTCCCAGGGAACTGGATATAGATGAAGTTTAGTGTGCAGGATGTATATTAGGAAGTGATGTGAGGATCCACATCTGTGGAAAGGATTGGAGGGAAGCCTTATGTGCAAAGGGACAAGTCTAATCGCAGTGCAGCCTGACATTGTCAGCTGGCCACACGGACAGAGCTGTAGAGCTAAGAAGTCCTCCCCTATTGTCCCAACTGAATCAAATGGCAAAGCCTATGTACCCCTTGCCTCCATTAATGATTGTGTGCTTGCCACTTGTGGAGGATGAGACTTTGAAGCAGGTGGCTTTCTGTGGCTGAAGAAAACCTTAAATGTGCTGACAAAGTTTTCCAAAGAGACAGAGAATGGCATCTGCCATGTATGTTGCCCCTTTCCAAAGAGGAAGCAACAAGGGTAATAGCCTCCAATGGCTCTGTATGCAGATAGGTGGACAGTAATGTCTGTCCCTCCTGTGACCTAAGAAGAACAGATGGCAGACATGCAGCCAGGCAATTAGAGGTGACACAGTGTTAGGAGATAAACATCTGTCAGAAGCAGTGCTTCTTTGAATCAGGTGTGACACGAGCCTTGCATCCCTTGCATGGACCCCTTCCCCATTATCCTGCTGTCCTACCTCATGAAGGTGGGTGGGGGCTGGCTGGTGAGCAGTCCCAGTACCAGATACACTTTGCCTGCAGTCTTTCCACATGAGTTCCAAGGTAGCCCATGTGATCATCCATGAACGTTGTGTTTTCCTTATGCTGCTTGTCCTTTGCCTTTGAGGAACACGTTTCATTTGACTCTGAGTGCAAACGACACATGTGTCCCTATATCTGGACATTGTCCTTCACTTAGGGGAATCCGTAATCTATATTGCCTTTGTTTTATTTTTACTATTAATATTATAATAATTAACATTGTCATTATTACCTTCATTGTTGATATTCAGTTATTTTTATTAATAGAGTTACTATGAATTATTATATTGTGGCTACTTACACCAAGATGAAGATAATTTATTAGTTCAGGAAGAACCTGCATTCTGAAGGCAAATGGAAGTTCCAGCTACAGATGGGCAGACACATGCCCCCTCAATTCCTGATGGACCTCCTTGTGCCTCATGGACCTAAGGGGCCTCCCTCAATGTTTCAAGATGCCACCAAGGCAGGGATCAGCTAGTGCATTCCTGAGAACATCCAGGATGAATTGAGGCTCTGGAAAAATGCAAGAGTTTCCACATAATCCCAAAAAACCCTACAGGTGAACTGGATGCCACAGAAAGAGGAGTGGTCTTTGTCACAACAAAATCAACAAAATTATTTCGAAGTCAATTAGGAAACTCAGAAATCACTCTTGCTGCCATTAAGAGGAAGAACAGCAGCCTGTGAATGGCATCCCTGGCCTTCCCGAGACTCCACAGATATTTCTATGTGGCTTCAGACACCAGAAATCTCTGTGATTTTCAGAAAGGCAGGGACAGCTCATGCAAGCCCATCCCTCTGCAGAATGTGTCCCAGCAGATCAGTGGCATGGAACCATCATGGACAGCACAGAGGCTCAAGGGCAGCATCCCAGGTGGGCCTGTGACTCTAGATAAGTTCTGAGTCCCCATGGGGGATCAGGAAAGGTTAGTGATGACCTGGAAAGAAGGGACAGGTGGAAACCGCCCCTAAGCAATCTGCAGGATTCCAACTTCAGCAGGAAACCAAGGACCAGCTCGTACCACACCTGCGCCCCCTGAAAACTGGATACAATCCCATTCTGCAGAAAGTTCCACGTAGAAGTGGCTGGGAATTTTGCATTCTAGAATGAATTTTACAGTGCCTCTGGACATGTGATGAGAAAGTTAACATTGGTGTATCTAACTGACATTTTCCACGAAGTGATTTTTTAAGCTGTTTTAAAACAGACAAAATATAATTAAAACATATGTATTATATGTCAAAGTATGGTTCGCTGGAATCAAGTAGACTCACCTTGAGATACAATCTTGGACAACCTCCATATTCAGAATATCTACTTTTTCAAACCGAAACTCTCCAACCAAAAATCAATAACATCAAAAGTTTGCAACTACAAGCCAACGGAAAATAAATACATGAATTCTACCAAAGTGAATTGGACTGCTTTGGGAAACACAGATGAAGAAAGTCAACACCGCTTTGTCTTTCAGTGCCTGGCTCCCTTTTCAGCTCGTCTTGCGACACCAGACATTATACCTGAAAAGTCTCCCGGACGCCTGTGAGGCTCTAATTCCCTGGGTCCTATTGTCATTTCTCTGGATTTGCAAAGATCCACCTCACCTTCTGTGGAACCCCCATGTCGGTGAACTTTTGGGCCACGGCCCCTAATTCTGCCCATAGTCATCTGGAACTGCACGAGTTAGGGTCCATGTTCCTTGGACGGGAAGAGACAGGCAGGAGTCGGAATGATGAACCAGCACACTGGGGCATTTTCTCATGTAGCCCAAGTGACCCCATGGTCTTCCCGAGCTTTGGAACCAGTCGCGTCCCCCTTGACACTGCACCCGACTCCCAGTTTCTCAATCTTGTTGGCCCTCCGGCGATCTCCCTTTGGATGAATTGCACCTGCTGAAACTCGAGTCCCCTTTGATTTGCGCTTCATTAATTATTCATGATTCAGTTTGGAAGGCCTGCTTACGACTCCCTGTGGCCGTTCTCTGAGCTTTCCGGTCACATCGTTTCCTTCCACGCTCTTTGGTTCATTGTGGTCCTGCTGCTTCTGCTGTCAGAGGAGCAGAGAGTAGATCTTATTGATTCTGGATACGGATACTTTCTAGGTGATCTGGATAATCAAGATAACGACCCTCAACAGCGGCGGAAAGGGAGCAGCCATTCAGTGTGTCTCAGAAAATACCGCTCAGTTCCGAGGCCTCCTAGATGTGGAATCCTGCTCAGAGTTGTTCCCAGGTCAGAGAATAGAGAGAGTCTGTGCATGATGAGATATCCCTGCCTAGATCTTTCAGTGAGTCTCTACCTCAGCTACTCTTAGGATCAGTGGGAGAACCATGGAAAGGCCCGGTGTCAGACATCCGGAAAGAAGATGGGATGAATGTTTTACCTCTGAAGTACATCCCAAATGTGGGAGTTAACTACAGCTTTGCTGGGGACTATTTGGTCAGTGAAACTCTGCCTGGTTCATTCGCACATCCGGAAGCCACTTCACGGGGGGCCGTCGCAACCGGAACCACACACTTGGCATCGGCGGTTGAGCCAAATGGGGACTCGCGGTGCAAGCAACGCTCCCCACGTGTTAGCGTGCGTGAGATTCAGTTGGCGGAATTTTACTAGGTGCGTGTTGGTAGAGTGGGGCTGAGGTTCTCTTTCTCCTGTGGATGTATACGAAGTCAAAGGTCCTGCCCAGCCGTGCGGTCCCCTCAGTCAACTCTGTTTCGGAGACATAACGATTTGGATTGCTAACAAGTCAAGAAATGTTCAAGCCCTTGGATGTAGGGAAAAGAAAGAGAGATCAGACTGTCACTGTGTCTATGTCGAAAGGGAAGACATAAGAGACTCCATTTTGGAAAAGACCTGTACTTTAAACAATTGCTTTGCTGAGATGTTGTTCATTTGTAGCTTTGCCCCAGGCACTTTGCCCCAGCCGCTTTGACCCAACTTGGAGCTCACAAAAACCTGTGTTGTATAAAATCAAGGCTTAAGGGATCTAGGGCTGTGCAGGACGTGCCTTGTTAACCAAATGTTTACAAGCCGTATACTTGGTAAAAGTCGTGGCCATTCTCTAGTCTCAATAAACCAGGGGCACAATGCACCGTGGAAAGCTGCAGGGACGTCTGCCCTTGAAAGTAGGGCATTGTCCAAGGTTTCTCCCGATGCGATACTCTGAAATATGGCCTTGTGGGATAAAAAAGACCTGACTGTCCCCTAGCTTGACACCGGTAAAGCGTCTGTGCTGAGGTGGATTAGTCAAAGAGGAAAGCCTCTTGTAGTTGAGATGGAGGAAGGCCACTGTCTCCTGCTCGCCCCTGGGAGCTGAATGTCTCGGTGTAAAATCCGATCGTACATTTGTTCAACTCTGAGCTAGGAGAAAAGCTGCCCTGTGGCGCGAGGCGAGACATGTTGGCAGTAATGCTGCCCTGTTATTCTTTACTCCGCTGAGATGTTTGGGTGGAGAGAAACATAAATCTGGCCTACGTGCACGTCCAGGCATAGTACCTTCCCTTGAACTTAATTATGATATAGATTGCTTTGCTCATATGTTTTTTTGGTTGACCTTCTCTTTATTATCACCCTGCTCTCCTACTACATTCCTTTTTGCTGAAATAATGAAAATCATAATCAATTAAAAATGAGGGAACTCAGAGGCCGGTGCCGGTGCAGGTCCTTGGTGTGCTGAGTGCCGGTCCCCTGGACCCACTTTTGTCTCCCTATACTTTGCCTCTGTGTCTTATTTCTTTTCTCCGTCTCTCATCCCACCCGACTAGAAACACCCACAGGTGTGGAGGGGCAGGCGATCCCTACACTTGGAAAATCAGTTAAACACAAACACGGAATGAGAGTCAAAAGACAATATGTCATCTTTTTGAGAATTTTATTCACTTCAAAACAAATTCAACACACCTGTTTACAAAGGCATTCCAGAGCCCAGTTTTCGAGGCTGAGGAAAGACCCCGAGAGCACTTTGCACAGCACGCTTCCCAGCGTCCGAAACACTGCTCTCAAGGCGGAGCACAGAGGAAGGGCTGCACCTCTCAGGGTTCCCTAACTTTTCCCTTATTCAGTCATCTAAAGAGCAAATACACAGTAATTCCCTAGTTTCCTATTGACGTCCCAGCGGAAGTCTGACTCCAGCGCATCACGCAGTTTCTGACGCAAAGAATCACTGACGCGGAAGCTTTTCCTGGTGCGTTTCCGGAGACCCATGCGAAATACAATGTCCCTCACCAGAATTCAATGAGGCAGAGTCCCTGCATCTGTTCTCTGCCTGGCCTGGGCTCCCACATCCACAGAAGCGCGACAGCCGGGGAGCATCGAAGTCAGCGCAGAGTCTGCTCTCTGCTCTGCGCTCCTCAGTCCCACAGTCCCCTCCAAGTCACGGGAGCTGGAGGCCAAGGAGCCCCTGCCACCTGCAGTCTCACTCCAGGTCAGAATCGCTGTCCTCTGAGGAGGAGGAAACCTGAAGGTCCTCATAGAGGACGCTCGGTGGGACACGAACACAGGGAGCCTCAGACTTCTCTGACACATGAGGGCTCTGAGCGAGGAAGGCTCCCGGCTTCTCAGGAGAGTGAAATGAGGGGGCCGCCAGGAGGCTGGAGCTCCAGCGTCCGTTTTCCAGTCTCCGGAAGAGCACTCTGAGAGGCTGGGCCCCATCATGGCTGGCCGCTGGGTGATGGGACATGGTGCAGGCCTGGGCAGTAGGCAGGCAAGGTCTGCGGTGCGGAGGCTGCCGTTCAACGCTGGGCACCTGGGCCGGTGTCCTCCTGCCCATCTGGGGCGACCTACTTGGTCCAAGTTCGGTTGCGGCTGGTGGAGGTTGGAGATTCTCCGGGGCCCCCAGCTCACCTCCCTGGATGGTGCTTTCGGGGATCTGGAAGGGACCCAGTCTCGGTTTCTTGGGGAAGTTCAGGCAAGCCTGAATCGGAGCCTGGGCAGGTCTCTTGGCTCCTGGCCCAAAGCTGAGATTGGAGCCTAGGCCCAAGCTGTGTGTGGCGGCTGATGGGCAGGGCTGTGAGGTCACCGCAGGACGTTTGTCTTGTGCCTGGGTTCTGACGGCCTGGAGCAGGCCGTGGGTTTTGGAGGCAGCCTGGGGAACTTCTCGGCAGCTACCCTCAGGGCTGCTGTGTGTCGGCTCCACCACGAGGAGAGTCTCGAGGACCTGGTGCCTGACTGCAGGCCGAGGGATGTCGGCGGCAGCCCCTGTCTGTCTTTCCTTTGGTCCAAGACTTGAGGAGGAGCTCAGGCTGGCTTTTCTGAGGGGAGACAGTGAAGCCAAGACGGAGCCCCTGCCAGACATTTCGGTAGCTGAGCGACCAGAGAGGACAGGGTCCATGCGCAGCCTCTTACTGGTTGTGTGGACCGGCATTGGCCCCCTTGCAACCTGAAAGAGAGGAAACAACACAGGTTAGAAGTTCCTCAGCATGGAGCCAACATGAAAATCAAACACATCCAAAGACAAGGTGCACACACCATGAAATTCTTAGTACAGTATCGACAGGCGGTCCTTGGAAGTAGGGACAGACCCTCCACCTGAGTGCTGATCAGGACAAGACACATGAACGATGCGCTATCGAGCTATGTGTAGCTGATCTAAGCACACCATTGTTCAAAAGATTGCGTCTTGGGCATTAACTGGATCAAAGTGCCTCCACTCAGCCTTCCATGAAGTGGAACGGACTAATGGCTTTCCGAAGGCAGGTTGGTGGCTCAAGGGTACTCGGGACGTCTTCTCTGAACACATGCATGTTCCTGGGTTTAGCCTTCTCCACGTTTGGGGCCTCTGAGGGACTAATTTCCTCATGCCGCTAGGAACGTGTTGTTGGCAGGCTTGCCATAATTGGACAGAAAGAAAGCCACAGGAAATACGGCATCTTCAGATGACTTCGCCTGGAATCAAACTGACCTGGAAGGATCGTGGAGGCCCTGACTCCAAGAAGACAAGAAAGAGGGGTTCCCCGATTTCCTCCCGCAGACGGGAAGCTGAAAGGAAATCAACCAGGGTTACCTAGAGGATAAAAGGACCAGGGGCCCGGGGTGACACTCACCCTCAGATAATCAGAAGATTCCGTGGATCCTTTTCCATTCGGCAGCGGCTTCTCTGGAGGTTTCCCGGAAAACATGTGGAGGAGAGCCTTCCTCTGCGGGTCTTGTTGCCTGCAGAACAGAAAAAGGTCAGGCCGTGCCCCCTGGTTTTCCCCAGGAGACAGGGAGAACCCCGTCTGGGGCCCAGCCCCATTCCGTGTCTTGTGATACAGAAATGGAAATCTGGTGCCCTTTCCGCCTCTGCACCTTCCCTCACGTGCCAACCTTCCCATCCTCCAGGTGGCCCTCTAGGCTTCCCAACTAAGGACTGTGATTTGGATTCCATTGCTTTTCCCCCTGTCGTGGGGAACCTGCATGAAGCGCCCCCGCCTCTCCCCGTCCCTGAATCTCCCAGAGCCCAAGGAGCTCCTGGGTGTGGAACCCCGGAGGACACGGAGCTCCGGCCTATTTCTCTGCAGCGTTCCTTCCCTGGCCCGGAGACGGAAAGGCACACGGTGTGCAGGTGCAGAGACACCATGTCCTTAGGAGGCAGTACCCTAAGAGTGGTGAAAACCCCTCCCACTGCTCACCTTGGTCTCTCTTCCTTCTCTCCCTTATCCTTGTTCAAGGGCCCCGGGTTGGCTTCAACCCCAGGCTTCCATGGTTTCAGGTTTTCCTTCCCTTCCTTTTTCCCCAAGGTCGCTGGAACCAGGGCTGCCTTCCAGCACTTCATGGGGCACCTGGTACTTCTGGCCGTGTGGCCAAAGGCCCCGCAGTTTTTGCACTTGAGCTGTGGGTGGAAAGGAAGTGATGTCAGTGAGTGAGCTGAAGCCACAGGCAGCGATCCCACGTTAACATTGGGATGGATTGTGAATTCAGAGCTGAATAAGGATTCCAAAGAGGGGACACCGGCATGGGGGCCGTTAAGTGCTGGGAGAGTTCGGATACGATGTTCCCTCGCAAAGCCCGTGTGACGGAGGAACTCTGAAAGGAAGGACTCAAGGTTCCAAGGGGCACGATGGTGAAGCCGATGTCAACAACGCAGCCAAACGTGGCTACACAGGACTCTAAGTAGAAAGGGAGGTTGCCCCCAAGAGTCTCTCAAGGGACCTATCGGGCCGGGGAGAAGGTCCCAAGCCACGCCCACCTTGGATGGGAAAAGCAACCTGGCTGGTGGTGACAGAACTCTTTGGAATCCAACCCAGTCTCTGAGGACCGTGGGACACCCCCTCCCCCCGTCCCCACCCCCACCCCGATACCCAAGAGATCCAGGGCTAGACTTACCCTGGGATCTTCTTCATCGGGCGGGGGAGCCCTTGGCCCAACTGGGGCCCTCCGCTGCTTCTGGAGGGTCTGGGCTCTCACCAGTCTCTTGGCCCAAGATGTGGGGTCCCGACGTGCCATCATCTTCGTCTCCTGGGGGTTTTATGACCGCCTTTTTCAGGGGTGGACTGTTGGGCCACCTGAAACACACACAAACACACACATGTCGATGGTTAAGCACGTTGGATATTCACACACCCACAGGAAGCCACCTGCTAACTCCCTGCCTGTGTGGTCATGAGGAGACCTCACCACCAGTCGGTCAAATCTGTAGAACACAATGTGCTGCGCGCATCCTCGGATATTGTGTGTTCCTCTGCCATGACTACCTAGTCCAAGAGTAAACCCCACCTGCCACAGGGCCCGTGGCCTAGGTATGGGGGGTTGAGCTTTCAACCCCAAACAAACAACTGATTCTGGAGACTGGACTTAGGTCTCTCACGATTCACTCCGGTAGAAGACACGGTGATTCTATCTCCCTTGACGGACAGAATGATCGAAGACACAGGGCATGGCGTGTGCCACCCTTTGGCAGGTCTGCTTGAAGTCACGGATAAGGGATGCTTCCTGTGACAACTTGAATCGCTACTCTTGCCATTTCATTAGGCAACTTCCAAACACAAATTCATACAGAGAAGTTACCTTCCTCTCTACCGCACTAGCAGGTGATGGTCTTTCCTGTTCTATCTTTTGGCTTTAGCTCCAGCCCCTCTTTATTTATTTTCCTGGTATTTTACGCATACCACACGAATTCATCTGAACAAACGGGGAAGAAGTGCCGTATCGTATCGACGTCTTACACGGCTGAAGGGCAAACCCCCCTTTTTTCCAAAGTCTTTTTTCCATTTACCCACCAATTCAGCATGCTGCAGTACATTTCTTTTCGCATTCCCATCTTGGTCTTCTCCCACACGTGGAGACGGATATGTTGTCTCGTTTTCTGTTCCAAGAATTACTAGTAACGAGAACACATCCTACCCCACCAGCAAGCCCCAGTGTGATCGGTTTCTTTCGGCCTCCTTTGTCTCTTCCTCCCCCCCACCCCCCGCAAAAACCCCCCAGGGATTGCGTGAAACAAACAATTGTTCAGCGAAACCAACCTGAAATTACACGTCTACTTTCTTTCCCAGGCTGGCGCTGAGATGGGCAGGTGCTGCAGCAGCCCCGCTGGAAGCGATGCAGCATCCAGAACGACGGAGGAAGGGGCGGAGAGGGACCTCCGCTTTCCAGGCTGCCTTTTATACTGCCTCTGGTCACCTGACATGGAACGTACCCTAACCTAATCAGTTACCTGTACCTTAATTGCAATTAACTTAATCCAATTACATGACCTGGAAAGGTCTATCTGCACAGCCCACTCTAAGATCCTGTCCACTGCTGACAGACATTCTAAAACCTACTTGTACAGCTGCAAGCTTTGAACAATAGATGTTCCCCGTCAGACATGTAACACTGGTGCCTGTACCCCTGTCTTCTTTTCCATCTTTTTTGTTGTTTTGTTTTGTTTCGTTTTAAAAAATGTGGTAAAATAGACACCTTTTAATTGGACCACATTTTGTCTCTCTCGACGTAGGCCTCAGTGTCATCAAGGAGACTCTCCTTGACATGCAGTCACGGCCATGATCCATCTTCAGAGCTTCTCTTTCTTCCCCAAGGTAAGTCTGTCAGCAGAGAACCCTGACCGCACCCTCATGTGTTTTCTCCCCCAGGAGGCGCTTGGAAACCACCGTGAATTGGACCGCACTGGGAAACACAGATGAGGAAAGTCAACAACGCTTTGTCCTTCAGTGCCTGGCTCCTTTTTCAGCTCGTCTTGCGACTCCCGGACGCCTGTGAGGCTCTAATTCCCTGGGTCCCATTGCCATGTCTCTGGATTTGCGAAGATCCACCGCACCTTCTGTGGAACTCCCGTGTCGGTGAACTTTTGTGCCACGGCCCCTAATTCTGCCCGTGGTCATCCGCACCTGCACGACTTAGGGTCCATGTTCCTTGGACGGGAAGAGACAGGCAGGAGTCGGAATGATGAACCAGCACACTGGGGCGTTTTCTCATGTAGCCCAAGTGACCCCATGGTCTTCTCGAGCTTTGGAACCAGTCGCGTCCCCTTTGACACTGCACCCGGCTCCCAGTCTCTCAATCTTGTTGGCCCTCCGGCGATCTCCCGTTGGATGAATTGCTCCTGCTGAAACTCCAGTCCCCTTTGATTTGCGCTTCATTAATTATTCATGATTCAGGTTGGAAGGCCTGCTGACGACCCCCTGTGGCCGTTCTCTGAGCTTTCCTGTCACATCGTTTCCTTCCACGCTCTTTGGTTCCTTATGGTCCTGCTCCCTCTGCTGTCAGAGGAGCAGAGAGTTGATCTTATTCATTCTGGATACGGATACTTTCTAGGTGATCTGGATAATCAAGATAACGACCCTCAACAGCGGCGGAGAGGGAGCAGCCAGTTGGTGTGTCTCAGAAAATCCCACTGAGTTCCGAGGCCTCCTAGATGTGGAATCCTGCTGAGAGTTGTTCCCAGGTCAGAGAATGGAGAGAGCCTGTGCATGATGGGATATCCCTGCCTAGATCTTTCAGTGAGTCTCTACCTCAGCTACTCTTAGGATCAGGGGGAGAACCATGGTGTCAGACATCCGGAAAGAAGACGGGATGAATGTTTTACCTCTGAAGTACATCCCAAATGTGGGAGTTAACTTCAGCTTTGCTGGGGTCTATTTGGCCAGTGAAACTCTGCCTGGTTCCTTTGCACATCCGGAAGCCACTTCACGGGGGGCCGTCGCAACTGGAACCACACATTTGGCATCGGCGGTTGAGCCAAATGGGGACTCGTGGTGCAAGCAACGCTCCCCACGTGTTAGCGTGCGTGAGATGCGGTTGGCGGAATTTTACTAGGTGCGTGTTGGTAGAGTGGGGCTGAGGTTTTCTTGCTCCTGTGGATGTATAGCAAGTCAAAGGTCCTGCCCAGCCCTGCGGTCCCCTCAGTCAACTCTGTTTCGGAGACGTAACGATTTGGATTGCCAACAAGTCAAGAAATGTTCAAGCCCTTGGATGTAGGGTAAAGAAAGAGAGATCAGACTGTCACTGTGTCTATGTAGAAGGGGAAGACATAAGAGACTCCATTTTGAAAAAGACCTGTAGTTTAAACAATTGCTTTGCTGAGATGTTGATCATTTGTAGCTTTGCCGCAGCCCCTTCCTTTGACCCAACTTGGAGCTCACAAAAACCTGTGTTGTATAAAATCGAGGTTTAAGGGATCTAGGGCTGTGCAGGACGCGCCTTGTTAACCAAATGTTTACGAGCAGTATACTTGGTAGGAGTCATTGCCATTCCCTAGTCTCAATAAACCAGGGGCGCAATGCACCGTGGAAAGCCACAGGGACCTCTGCCCTTGAAAGCAGGGTATTGTCCAAGGTTTCTCCCCATGTGACCGTCTGAAATATGGCCTCGTGGGATGGGAAAGACCTGACTGTCCCCCAGCCTGACACCCGCAATTGGTCTGTGCTGAGGTGGATTAGTCAAAGAGGAAAGCCTCTTGCAGTTCAGATGGAGGAAGGCCACTGTCTCCTGCTTGCCCCTGGGAACTGAATGTCTCGGTGTAAAGCCCGATCGTACATTTGTTCAACTCTGAGCTCGGAGAAAAGCTGCCCTGTGGCGGGAGGCGAGACATGTTGGCAGTAATGCTGCCTTGTTATTCTTTACTCCGCTGAGATATTTGTGTGGAGAGAAACATAAATCTGGCCTACGTGCACGTCCAGGCATAGTACCTTCCCTTGAACTTAATAATGATATGGATTCTTTTGCTCACGTGTTTGTTTTTGTTGTTGCTGTTGAACTTCCCCTTATTATCACCCTGCTCCCCTACTGCATTCCTTTGTGCTGTAATAATGATAATCATAATCAATAAAAACTGAGGGAACTCAGAGGCCGGTGACGGTGCAGGTCCTAGGTGTGCTGAGTGCCGGTCCCCTGGACCCACTGTTGTCTCCCTATACTTTGTCTCTGTGTCTTATTTCTATTCTCCATCTCTCATCCCACCCGACTAGAAACACCCACAGGTGTGGAGGGGCAGGCCACCCCTTCACTTGGAAAATCAGTTACACACAAACACGGAATGAGAGTCAAAAGACAATATGTCATCTTTTTGAGAATTTTATTCACTTCAAAACCAATTAAACACACATATGTACAAAGGCATTCCAGAGCCCAGTTTTCGAGGCTGAGGAAAGACCCCGAGAGCGCTTCACACAGCACGCTTCCCAGCGTCCGAAACTCTGCTCTCAGGGCGGGGCACAGAGGAAGAGCTGCACCTCTCAGGGTTCCCTAACTTTTCCCTTATTCAGTCATCTAGAGAGCAAATACACAGTAATTCCCCAGTTTCCTATTGACGTCCCAGCGGAAGTCTGACTCCTGCGCGTCACGCAGTTTCTGAGGCAACGAATCTCTGGCACGGAAGCTTTTCCTGGCGCGTTTCGGGAGAACCACGCCAACTACAACGTCCCTCACCAGAATTCAATGAGGCAGAGTCCCTGCATCTGCTCCCTGCCTGGCCTGGGCTCCCACATCCACAGAAGCGCCACAGCCGGGGAGCTTCGGAGTCACCGCACAGAGTCTGCTCTCTGCTCTGCGCTCCTCAGTCCCACAGTCCCCTCCAAGTCACGGGAGCTGGAGGCCAAGGAGCCCCTGCCACCTGCAGTCTCACTCCAGGTCAGAATCGCTGTCCTCTGAGGAGGAGGAAACCTGAAGGTCCTCATAGAGGACGCTCGGTGGGACACGAACACAGGGAGCCTCAGACTTCTCTGACACATGAGGGCTCTGAGCGAGGAAGGCTCCCGGCTTCTCAGGAGAGTGAAATGAGGGGGCCGCCAGGAGGCTGGAGCTCCAGCGTCCGTTTTCCAGTCTCCGGAAGAGCACTCTGAGAGGCTGGGCCCCATCATGGCTGGCCGCTGAGTGATGGGACATGGTGCAGGCCTGGGCAGTAGGCAGGCAAGGTCTGCTGTGCGGAGGCTGCCGTTCGACGCTGGGCACCTGGGCCGGTGTCCTCCTGCCCATCTGGGGCGACGTACTTGGTCCAAGTTCGGTTGCGGCTGGCGGAGGTTGGAGATTCTCCGGGGCCCCCAGCTCACCTCCCTGGATGGCGCTTTCGGGGATCTGGAAGGGACCCAGTCTCGGTTTCTTGGGGAAGTTCAGGCAAGCCTGAATCGGAGCCTGGGCAGGTCTCTTGGCTCCTGGCCCGAAGCTGAGATTGGAGCCTAGGCCCAAGCTGTGTGTGGCGGCTGGCGGGCAGGGCTGTGAGGTCACCGCAGGACGTTTGTCTTGTGCCTGGGGTCTGGCGGCCTGGAGCAGGCCGTGGGTTTTGGAGGCAGCCTGGGGAACTTCTCGGCAGCCACCCTCAGGGCTGCTGTGTGTCGGCTTCACCACGAGGAGAGGCTCGCGGCCCTGGTGCCTGACTGCAGGCTGAGGCATGTCGGCCGCAGCCCCTGTCTGTCTTTCCTTTGGTCCAAGACTTGAGGAGGAGCTCAGGCTGGCTTTTCTGAGGGGAGACAGTGAAGCCAAGACGGAGCCCCTGCCAGACATTTCGGTAGCTGAGCCATCAGCGAGGACAGGGTCCACGCGCGGCCTCTTACTGGTTGTGTGGACCGGCATTGGCCCGCTTGCAACCTGAAAGAGAGGAAACAACACAGGTTAGAAGTTCCTCAGCATGGAGCCAACGTGAAAATCAAGCACATCCAAAGACAAGGTGCACACGCCATGAAATTCTTAGTACAGTATCGACAGGCGGTCCTTGGAAGTAGGGACAGACCCTCCACCTGAGTGCTGATCAGGACAAGACACATGAAAGATGCGCTCTCCAGCTATGTGTAGCTGATCTAAGCACACCATTGTTCAAAAGATCGCGTCTTGGGCATTAACTGGATCAAAGCGCCTCCACTCAGCCTTCCATGAAGTGGAACGGACTAATGCCCTTCCCAAGGCAGGTTGCTGGCTCAAGGGTACTCGGGACGTCTTCTCTGAACACATGCATGTTCCTGGGTTTCGCCTTCTCCACGTTTGGGGCCTCTGAGGGACTAATTTCCTCATGCCGCTAGGAACGTGTTGTTGGCAGGCTTGCCATAATTGGACAGAAAGAAAGCCACAGGAAATACGGCATCTTCAGATGCCTTCGCCTGGAATCAAACTGACCTGGAAGGATCGTGGAGGCCCTGACCCCAAGAAGGCAAGAAAGAGGGGTTCCCCGATTTCCTCCCGCAGACGGGAAGCTGAAAGGAAATCAACCAGGGTGACCTAGAGGAGAAAAAGACCAGGGGCCCGGGGTGACACTCGCCCTCAGATAATCAGAAGGTTCCGTGGATCCTTTTCCATTCGGCAGCGGCTTCTCTGGAGGTTTCCCGGAAAACATGTGGAGGAGAGCCTTCCTCTGCGGGTCTTGTTGCCTGCAGAACAGAAAAAGGTCAGGCCGTGCCCCCTGGTTTTCCCCAGGAGACAGGGAGAACCCCGTCTGGGGCCCAGCCCCATTCCGTGTCTTGTGATACAGAAATGGACATCTGGTGCCCTTTCCGCCTCTGCACCTTCCCTCACGTGCCAACCTTCCCATCCTCCAGGTGGCCCTCTAGGCTTCCCAACTAAGGACTGTGATTTGGATTCCATCGCTTTTCCCGCTGTCGCGGGGAACCTGCACGAAGCGCCCCCGCCTCTCCCCGTCCCTGAATCTCCCAGAGCCCAAGGAGCTCCTGGGTGTGGAACCCCGGAGGACACGGAGCTCCGGCCTATTTCTCTGCAGCGTTCCTTCCCTGGCCCGGAGACGGAAAGGCACACGGTGTGCAGGTGCAGAGACACCATGTCCTTAGGAGGCAGTACCCCAAGAGTGGTGAAAACCCCTCCCACTGCTCACCTTGGTCTCTCTTCCTTCTCTCCCTTATCCTTGTTCAAGGGCCCCGGGTTGGCTTCAACCCGGGGCTTCCATGGTTTCAGGTTTTCCTTCCCTTCCTTTTTCCCCAAGGTCGCTGGAACCAGGGCTGCCTTCCAGCACTTCATGGGGCACCTGGTACTTCTGGCCGTGTGGCCAAAGGCCCCGCAGTTTTTGCACTTGAGCTGTGGGTGGAAAGGAAGTGATGTCAGTGAGTGAGCTGAAGCCACAGGCAGCGATCCCACGTCAACATTGGGACGGATTGTGAATTCAGAGCTGAATAAGGATTCCAAAGAGGGGACACCGGCATGGGGGCCGTTAAGTGCTGGGAGAGTTCGGATACGATGTTCCCTCGCAAAGCCCGTGTGACGGAGGAACTCTGAAAGGAAGGACTCAAGGTTCCAAGGGGCACGATGGTGAAGCCGATGTCAACAACGCAGCCAAACGTGGCTACACAGGACTCTAAGTAGAAAGGGAGGTTGCCCCCAAGAGTCTCTCAAGGGACCTATCGGGCCGGGGAGAAGGTCCCAAGCCACGCCCACCTTGGATGGGAAAAGCAACCTGGCTGGTGGTGACAGAACTCTTTGGAATCCAACCCAGTCTCTGAGGACCGTGGGACACCCCCTCCCCCCGTCCCCACCCCCACCCCGATACCCAAGAGATCCAGGGCTAGACTTACCCTGGGATCTTCTTCATCGGGCGGGGGAGCCCTTGGCCCAACTGGGGCCCTCCGCTGCTTCTGGAGGGTCTGGGCTCTCACCAGTCTCTTGGCCCAAGATGTGGGGTCCCGACGTGCCATCATCTTCGTCTCCTGGGGGTTTTATGACCGCCTTTTTCAGGGGTGGACTGTTGGGCCACCTGAAACACACACAAACACACACATGTCGATGGTTAAGCACGTTGGATATTCACACACCCACAGGAAGCCACCTGCTAACTCCCTGCCTGTGTGGTCATGAGGAGACCTCACCACCAGTCGGTCAAATCTGTAGAACACAATGTGCTGCGCGCATCCTCGGATATTGTGTGTTCCTCTGCCATGACTACCTAGTCCAAGAGTAAACCCCACCTGCCACAGGGCCCGTGGCCTAGGTATGGGGGGTTGAGCTTTCAACCCCAAACAAACAACTGATTCTGGAGACTGGACTTAGGTCTCTCACGATTCACTCCGGTAGAAGACACGGTGATTCTATCTCCCTTGACGGACAGAATGATCGAAGACACAGGGCATGGCGTGTGCCACCCTTTGGCAGGTCTGCTTGAAGTCAGGGATAAGGGATGCTTCCTGTGACAACTTGAATCGCTACTCTTGCCATTTCATTAGGCAACTTCCAAACACAAATTCATACAGAGAAGTTACCTTCCTCTCTACCGCACTAGCAGGTGATGGTCTTTCCTGTTCTATCTTTTGGCTTTAGCTCCAGCCCCTCTTTATTTATTTTCCTGGTATTTTACGCATACCACACGAATTCATCTGAACAAACGGGGAAGAAGTGCCGTATCGTATCGACGTCTTACACGGCTGAAGGGCAAACCCCCCTTTTTTCCAAAGTCCTTTTTCCATTTACCCACCAATTCAGCATGCTGCAGTACATTTCTTTTCGCATTCCCATCTTGGTCTTCTCCCACACGTGGAGACGGATATGTTGTCTCGTTTTCTGTTCCAAGAATTACTAGTAACGAGAACACATCCTACCCCACCAGCAAGCCCCAGTGTGATCGGTTTCTTTCGGCCTCCTTTGTCTCTTCCTCCCCCACACCCCCCGCAAAAACCCCTCAGGGATTGCGTGAAACAAACAATTGTTCAGCGAAACCAACCTGAAATTACACGTCTACTTTCTTTCCCAGGCTGGCGCTGAGATGGGCAGGTGCTGCAGCAGCCCGGCTGGAAGCGATGCAGCATCCAGGACGACGGAGGAAGGGGCAGAGAGGGACCTCCGCTTTCCAGGCTGCCTTTTATACTGCCTCTGGTCACCTGACATGGAACGTACCCTAACCTAATCAGTTACCTGTACCTTAATTGCAATTAACTTAATCCAATTACATGACCTGGAAAGGTCTATCTGCACAGCCCACTCTAAGATCATGTCCACTGCTGACAGACATTCTAAAACCTACTTGTACAGCTGCAAGCTTTGAACAATAGATGTTCCCCGTCAGACATGTAACACTGGTGCCTGTACCCCTGTCTTCTTTTCCATCTTTTTTGTTGTTTTGTTTTGTTTTGTTTTAAAAAATGTGGTAAAATAGACACCTTTTAATTGGACCACATTTTGTCTATCTCGACGTAGGCCTCAGTGTCATCAAGGAGACTCTCCTTGACATGCAGTCACGGCCATGATCCATCTTCAGAGCTTCTCTTTCTTCCCCAAGGTAAGTCTGTCAGCAGAGAACCCTGACCGCACCCTCATGTGTTTTCTCCCCCAGGAGGCGCTTGGAAACAACCGTGAATTGGACCGCACTGGGAAACACAGATGAGGAAAGTCAACAACGCTTTGTCCTTCAGTGCCTGGCTCCTTTTTCAGCTCCTCTTGCGACTCCAGGCATTATGCCTGAAAAGTCTCCCGGACGCCTGTGAGGCTCTAATTCCCTGGGTCCCATTGCCATGTCTCTGGATTTGCGAAGATCCACCGCACCTTCTGTGGAACTCCCGTGTCGGTGAACTTTTGTGCCACGGCCCCTAATTCTGCCCATGGTCATCCGCACCTGCACGACTTAGGGTCCATGTTCCTTGGACGGGAAGAGACAGGCAGGAGTCGGAATGATGAACCAGCACACTGGGGCGTTTTCTCATGTAGCCCAAGTGACCCCATGGTCTTCTCGAGCTTTGGAACCAGTCGCGTCCCCTTTGACACTGCACCCGGCTCCCAGTCACTCAATCTTGTTGGCCCTCCGGCGATCTCCCGTTGGATGAATTGCTCCTGCTGAAACTCGAGTCCCCTTTGATTTGCGCTTCATTAATTATTCATGATTCAGGTTGGAAGGCCTGCTGACGACCCCCTGTGGCCGTTCTCTGAGCTTTCCTGTCACATCGTTTCCTTCCACGCTCTTTGGTTCCTTACGGTCCTGCTCCTTCTGCTGTCAGAGGAGCAGAGAGTTGATCTTATTCATTCTGGATACGGATACTTTCTAGGTGATCTGGATAATCAAGATAACGACCCTCAACAGCGGCGGAGAGGGAGCAGCCAGTTGGTGTGTCTCAGAAAATCCCGCTGAGTTCCGAGGCCTCCTAGATGTGGAATCCTGCTGAGAGTTGTTCCCAGGTCAGAGAATGGAGAGAGCCTGTGCATGATGGGATATCCCCGCCTAGATCTTTCAGTGAGTCTCTGCCTCAGCTACTCTTAGGATCAGGGGGAGAACCATGGTGTCAGACATCCGGAAAGAAGACGGGATGAATGTTTTACCTCTGAAGTACATCCCAAATGTGGGAGTTAACTTCAGCTTTGCTGGGGTCTATTTGGCCAGTGAAACTCTGCCTGGTTCCTTCGCACATCCGGAAGCCACTTCACGGGGGGCCGTCGCAACTGGAACCACACACTTGGCATCGGCGGTTGAGCCAAATGGGGACTCGTGGTGCAAGCAACGCTCCCCACGTGTTAGCGTGCGTGAGATTCGGTTGGCAGAATTTTACTAGGTGCGTGTTGGTAGAGTGGGGCTGAGGTTTTCTTGCTCCTGTGGATGTATAGGAAGTCAAAGGTCCTGCCCAGCCCTGCGGTCCCCTCAGTCAACTCTGTTTCGGAGACGTAACGATTTGGATTGCCAACAAGTCAAGAAATGTTCAAGCCCTTGGATGTAGGGTAAAGAAAGAGAGATCAGACTGTCACTGTGTCTATGTAGAAGGGGAAGACATAAGAGACTCCATTTTGAAAAAGACCTGTACTTTAAACAATTGCTTTGCTGAGATGTTGTTCATTTGTTGCCTTGCCGCAGCCCCTTCCTTTGACCCAACTTGGAGCTCACAAAAACCTGTGTTGTATAAAATCGAGGTTTAAGGGATCTAGGGCTGTGCAGGACGCGCCTAGTTAACCAAATGTTTACGAGCAGTATACTTGGTAGAAGTCATTGCCATTCTCTAGTCTCAATAAACCAGGGGCGCAATGCACCGTGGAAAGCCACAGGGACCTCTGCCCTTGAAAGCAGGGTATTGTCCAAGGTTTCTCCCCATGTGACAGTCTGAAATATGGCCTCGTGGGATGGGAAAGTCCTGAATGTCCCCCAGCCTGACACCCGCAATGGGTCTGTGCTGAGGTGGATTAGTCAAAGAGGAACGCCTCTTGCAGTTCAGATGGAGGAAGGCCACTGTCTCCTGCTTGCCCCTGGGAACTGAATGTCTCGGTGTAAAGCCCGATCGTACATTTGTTCAACTCTGAGCTCGGAGAAAAGCTGCCCTGTGGCGGGAGGCGAGACATGTTGGCAGTAATGCTGCCTTGTTATTCTTTACTCCGCTGAGATATTTGTGTGGAGAGAAACATAAATCTGGCCTACGTGCACGTCCAGGCATAGTACCTTCCCTTGAACTTAATAATGATATGGATTCTTTTGCTCACGTGTTTGTTTTGTGTTGTTTTTGTTGACCTTCCCCTTATTATCACCCTGCTCCCCTACTGCATTCCTTTGTGCTGAAATAATGAAAATCACAATCAATAAAAACTGCGGGAACTCAGAGGCCGGTGCCGGTGCAGGTCCTAGGTGTGCTGAGTGCCGGTCCCCTGGACCCACTGTTGTCTCCCTATACTTTGTCTCTGTGTCTTATTTCTTTTCTCCGTCTCTCATCCCACCCGACTAGAAACACCCACAGGTGTGGAGGGGCAGGCCACCCCTTCACTTGGAAAATCAGTTACACACAAACACGGAATGAGAGTCAAAAGACAATATGTCATCTTCTTGAGAATTTTATTCACTTCAAAACACATTAAACACACATATGTACAAAGGCATTCCAGAGCCCAGTTTTCGAGGCTGAGGAAAGACCCCGAGAGCGCTTCGCACAGCACGCTTCCCAGCGTCCGAAACACTGCTCTCAGGGCGGGGCACAGCGGAAGGGCTGCACCTCTCAGGGTTCCCTAACTTTTCCCTTATTCAGTCATCTAGAGAGCAAATACACAGTAATTCCCCAGTTTCCTATTGACGTCCCAGCGGAAGTCTGACTCCTGCGCGTCACGCAGTTTCTGAGGCAACGAATCTCTGGCACGGAAGCTTTTCCTGGCGCGTTTCCGGAGAACCACGCCAACTACAACGTCCCTCACCAGAATTCAATGAGGCAGAGTCCCTGCATCTGCTCCCTGCCTGGCCTGGGCTCCCACATCCACAGAAGCGCCACAGCCGGGGAGCTTCGGAGTCACCGCACAGAGTGTGCTCTCTGCTCTGCGCTCCTCAGTCCCACAGTCCCCTCCAAGTCACGGGAGCCGGAGGCCAAGGAGCCCCTGCCACCTGCAGTCTCACTCCAGGTCAAAATCGCTGTCCTCTGAGGAGGAGGAAACCTGAAGGTCCTCATAGAGGACGCTCGGTGGGACACGAACACAGGGAGCCTCAGACTTCTCTGACACATGAGGGCTCTGAGCGAGGAAGGCTCCCGGCTTCTCAGGAGAGTGAAATGAGGGGGCCGCCAGGAGGCTGGAGCTCCAGCGTCCGTTTTCCAGTCTCCGGAAGAGCACTCTGAGAGGCTGGGCCCCATCATGGCTGGCCGCTGAGTGATGGGACATGGTGCAGGCCTGGGCAGTAGGCAGGCAAGGTGTGCTGTGCGGAGGCTGCCGGTCGACGCTGGGCACCTGGGCCGGTGTCCTCCTGCCCATCTGGGGCGACGTACTTGGTCCAAGTTCGGTTGCGGCTGGCGGAGGTTGGAGATTCTCCGGGGCCCCCAGCTCACCTCCCTGGATGGCGCTTTCGGGGATCTGGAAGGGACCCAGTCTCGGTTTCTTGGGGAAGTTCAGGCAAGCCTGAATCGGAGCCTGGGCAGGTCTCTTGGCTCCTGGCCCGAAGCTGAGATTGGAGCCTAGGCCCAAGCTGTGTGTGGCGGCTGGCGGGCAGGGCTGTGAGGTCACCGCAGGACGTTTGTCTTGTGCCTGGGGTCTGGCGGCCTGGAGCAGGCCGTGGGTTTTGGAGGCAGCCTGGGGAACTTCTCGGCAGCCACCCTCGGGGCGGCTGTGTGTCGGCTTCACCACGAGGAGAGGCTCGCGGCCCTGGTGCCTGACTGCAGGCTGAGGCATGTCGGCCGCAGCCCCTGTCTGTCTTTCCTTTGGTCCAAGACTTGAGGAGGAGCTCAGGCTGGCTTTTCTGAGGGGAGACAGTGAAGCCAAGACGGTGCCCCTGCCAGACATTGCGGTAGCTGAGCGATCAGCGAGGACAGGGTCCAAGCGCGGCCTCTTACTGGTTGTGTGGACCGGCATTGGCCCGCTTGCAACCTGAAAGAGAGGAAACAACACAGGTTAGAAGTTCCTCAGCATGGAGCCAACGTGAAAATCAAGCACATCCAAAGACAAGGTGCACACGCCATGAAATTCTTAGTACAGTATCGACAGGCGGTCCTTGGAAGTAGGGACAGACCCTCCACCTGAGTGCTGATCAGGACAAGACACATGAAAGATGCGCTCTCGAGCTATGTGTAGCTGATCTAAGCACACCATTGTTCAAAAGATCGCGTCTTGGGCATTAACTGGATCAAAGCGCCTCCACTCAGCCTTCCATGAAGTGGAACGGACTAATGCCCTTCCCAAGGCAGGTTGCTGGCTCAAGGGTACTCGGGACGTCTTCTCTGAACACATGCATGTTCCTGGGTTTCGCCTTCTCCACGTTTGGGGCCTCTGAGGGACTAATTTCCTCATGCCGCTAGGAACGTGTTGTTGGCAGGCTTGCCATAATTGGACAGAAAGAAAGCAACAGGAAATACGGCATGTTCAGATGCCTTCGCCTGGAATCCAATTGACCTGGAAGGATCGTGGAGTCCCTGACCCCAAGAAGGCAAGAAAGAGGGGTTCCCCGATTTCCTCCCGCAGACGGGAAGCTGAAAGGAAATCAACCAGGGTGACCTAGAGGAGAAAAAGACCAGGGGCCCGGGGTGACACTCGCCCTCAGATAATCAGAAGATTCCGTGGATCCTTTTCCATTCGGCAGCGGCTTCTCTGGAGGTTTCCCGGAAAACATGTGGAGGAGAGCCTTCCTCTGCGGGTCTTGTTGCCTGCAGAACAGAAGAAGGTCAGGCCGTGCCCCCTGGTTTTCCCCAGGAGACAGGGAGAACCCCGTCTGGGGCCCAGCCCCATTCCGTGTTTTGTGATACAGAAATGGACATCTGGTGCCCTTTCCGCCTCTGCACCTTCCCTCACGTGCCAACCTTCCCATCCTCCAGGTGGCCCTCTAGGCTTCCCAACTAAGGACTGTGATTTGGATTCCATCGCTTTTCCCGCTGTCGTGGGGAACCTGCACGAAGCGCCCCCGCCTCTCCCCGTCCCTGAATCTCCCAGAGCCCAAGGAGCTCCTGGGTGTGGAACCCCGGAGGACACGGAGCTCCGGCCTATTTCTCTGCAGCGTTCCTTCCCTGGCCCGGAGACGGAAAGGCACACGGTGTGCAGGTGCAGAGACACCATGTCCTTGGGAGGCCGTACCCTAAGAGTGGTGAAAACCCCTCCCACTGCTCACCTTGGTCTCTCTTCCTTCTCTCCCTTATCCTTGTTCAAGGGCCCGGGTTGGCTTCACCCCGGGGCTTCCATGGTTTCAGGTTTTCCTTCCCTTCCTTTTTCCCCAAGGTCGCTGGAACCAGGGCTGCCTTCCAGCACTTCATGGGGCACCTGGTACTTCTGGCCGTGTGGC